>NC_000004.12:182254714-182557744 GCF_000001405.40 Homo sapiens | reverse complement strand
GCTGGAGGCTGGGGGAGAGAGCACAGATGAGAATCTGTGGGATGCAGAAAGGGAGACTGTGTGGTCTGAACTTCAACTCCAAAATGTTGTACCCTGTGGCTTCTATTTAAGCATCACTGGCTAGAGACTATATGTAGATTCAATCAACAGAGCAAGGGCCAAATTCATCAATAAAAAAGACCATTAGCACATGGATTGATAGGATCTTGCTTAGGGTTCCGTAGAAATGAGGGCTCATCTGTTAGCTCAAATAAGGCCCCTGTCCTTTTTTAAAATGAAACAAGTATTTGAAAATGTTAAGAGCTGAGCCCTGGTTTATTTGAACAAAATGTGAAAAATAAGCACAATTGTAGAAATTCAAGTACATCACAGTTTACTTACAGACAATTACGATTCTAATGAAGCTCAGAGTACTTAGTTCACACACACGAGTGATCTGAGTTGGACAGGAACAATAAATAGGGTCCCAGTTAACAAATGCACTAACCATTAATATCCTTTTGAAAGCCGCAGTTTGCTCTGACCCTATGAACAGGATTGGTTTATAAACAGGTAATAATTAGATACAATGTTGAATAGAAAAAGTCATTTAATTTTGATTTTACATGAGATTTTATAATTTTGTTTTAAAGTTCTCCGAAAAAAGCTCCACAAAAAAACAAATACAGAACCTAGGACAATCTTGTAGAAGAAGAAAATGTCTGGTAACCATATTTAGCAACTGGTTTTCAGTACACATTAGATGTATGATTTTAAAAACTGGCTGCAGGAATGAATGAACTCTTGATTAGATGAATACTGCCTCTAGGGTAACCTAATGCACATCCCTCTTGCCTTCCCTTGCCTGTCTTCTAGGGAATCCACAATGTGTATGCACATTTTACCTAGTTCAGCCTGAGTCAGGCTATTGAGATGTTTTTGTATGCTTTTCTCTGCCTATTCTTTATATAGTAACATGGGGTTGATATGCCAGCACTTCAGTCTACGTAGGAGTGGGTCATCGTCATTTCAGTGTTTGCTTTATAATGCAACGTGGGTGCCCTCTTAAGATTTCCCAAATGAATTCAACAAAGTGCTGGCTACAGGGGAGTGGGAAGGGGAAGACACTTGTAAATTGGTCACTTTAAGCTTCACTATGTAAGTAAAACTTATAAGAGATAAGCTACCATTCTCTAAATATAAAGTTTTAAATAATTCTTTAGAAAAGAAAAATTTTATTTTTTAAATAGGACAATTCCTCTTTATGAATTCTCATGACCAAATGATTTCACTAATTACTTTGTTGTATTCAATTTTGGGATAGTTCGCATAGTTGAGTTTGTAATGCAATAAACTATGCCTGAATGGTCTGTTTACTCCACTGCAAGTTACAAGCAAAATGCTTTCTCCTGAAAGGACTTGTCTCTGAAATGCACAAAGTGGCAAAAAGCCAAGGGAAGCTAGCTGGTGCTTAAGCAACCAAGAATGAGCAGTGCCTGTGTGCATTGCAATCTCAGCCAACCGAAGTAAATGTTATTGGAGTTTTTGTGCTGTAAAATTGCTGCTTTCATGCCCACTGCATCTGACAACAGGAATCCTTGGTCTACTAGGAAGGTGGGAGGTTGTTGTGCCTTCTAGCCAGATTCCTACATTCCTAAGAAAAGGGCTGGGAAGTGGGGTAAAACTTCTATTGTTCCTAATGGGCTAGGGACAATGAGACTCAAGTTGGTGGCATATTTGGTCAGAGAAAGAGACTAAACAACAAAAAAAGTACTAATATTACTTCCTGCATTAAGCATTAGGACCTGGGAAGTTATTCTTTTAGAGAAACTCTTCAGTGTTTGTAGAATAAAAAAAGTAATTCCAGAGGCCTCAGGACCTGGGAAGTTATTCTTTTAGAGAAACTCTTAAGTGTTCGTAGAAAAAAAAAAAGTAATTCCAGAGAGTAGTGGATTAATGACTTAAGTTTTTAATTTTCAGGAAATTTAAAAAAGCATATTTTACAAATCATAAAATCAAGATCAATAAATACATTATTGCATTTTGAAGGGCAACAATTTAAAACCCATATAAATGCATTTAAGTTAATATGTGCACTTGGTTTTCTTGATGTACTGAGTCTTTCTTGACATGGTATTTATTTGTAAGGCTGTTTAGTTAATAGCACATTCATTCAGTGCTCACTTACTGAGCACCTACTTGAACCAGGCCAAAATTTCATCACCAATGCTGTAGTTTTAAATGTACTTTAGGTCCCAAATCAATGTTTAAGCCCCAAACCATACAAATAATCTTTTTGTTTAAATATATTGAAAAAAAATTTTAAAGCATCCACTGCTACTTCTAGGCAACTATTTTTTTTCACAATTATACTAACATAATGTCTACCATATAAGCATAATATTTTAAGTAAGACTTACATAGTATTACAGTTCATGGAGGAGCAAGATTCAAACTATATTTCTTGATTTTAAAAAACCCAAACCTCTATGATAGTTGTCACTGGTGGCAACACACAGTTAAATTTATGCCTGATATTAAAAAAAAATGTACTGAACAATACAGAATGATTTGGACTCGCTTGCCTCCTTCAGTCATAGACTAATTCTATTAGAATGGTTTTTATGTTAATTATGTCCTTACTTTCCTAAATATACATTTTCAGCATGCACTCACATGGCCATTAATGCGAGCTAAGTAAGGAACCACGTTCACTGATTTCTTTTTTTGGAAGACAAGGAATATTACTACATCGTATGCTTGAGGCATGACAAATAAAGAGACCACAATAGTTCCGCCTCCCTACCTCCTCTTTTCCTTAACCTTTCAAGCTGCTCACTACTCTGGCTTTAGAGAAACGTACATCATGTGAAAGGAAAAAAAAAAAAAGCTTAAAAGGAAACGGACAGAAGTAGAAATAGAAAATTAAAGCTGCGAAAAGACAAATTAGACACTGACCCCTCTCTTCCAAGTACTCTTGATTCTGGTGACATGGGCTTTGTTTCAGAATTCTTTTGATTATTTTTTTTCTCTATGACTTTTAAGTAAATGAGCATTTGAACTGCCACTTAATAAACCTAAAATCTTGGGCAAATTATTTAACCTCTCCATGCTACATATTTTTCATCTGTAAAACAAGGTTAATGATAAGAAAGCCTCAAGACTATGAACATTAAATTAAATATCACACACACACACATACGTGCACACACACACACAAATTGCCTGGCACACAGGCTTGCTCAAAGTAGGCACCCAATAAAAGTTAGTTTCATTTCCCTCTTTTCCTGATGCATTTACATTACTATCATGTAGAAAACTGTAATTCTTGGTAAAATATGAATTACAAGGATAATGTAGTTCAACTAATTGTTCAATCACACTATAAAACTTGATTTTCGCAAGTCAGTGGTCAGATGGGATGAGGTCAGTTAATTATCACTCGGCAAAAGTTGGAATATTTAAACTGGGCAAGCATGCATTTTTCCTCTATTAGAAGAACAGTACAAATAGAGCTTTGGCATTGCAACTGAGAAATAAAAACACGAAAGAAAAGATTAATCAGATGAAGGATGAAGAAGAGATAAAACTCAGCTGGTCATCAGAAAGCCTTTGTTATATTTAAAATGTTTCTAAGCATGAGGAGAAGCAATTATTATCCCTTTTTAGCTAAGGAATAAATTTTTGTCAGGTTCTATGTACGTACTTACACTTGCGTCTGAGATTGGCCACAAGTAATACAGCACAGAAGGTTTTCATGAAGAAAAAAACTGAGATACCTTCCTAAGTATATTACTGAATACTAGATTTCAGTGGCTGTAGAGTAAGGGAAGAGACATAAAATTGTTCATTTGGCAGAGAGAAAAGATTGAGTTAAGGGGTCTTGTGCTTTGAGAAAATTTGGCACCTGAAGTGAAAGGGCTTAAAAATCAGAGGCTTTGAAAAGTTAAATCACAACGCAGATGGACTCTAACTCTCCATTTTCTTTGAAGGTTTAGATAGTAACCCGAGTTATCAAGCTGTTGTGGTCTGAAAAAGTGCTGTAAACGCTAACGGCAAGAATGCCTTTCAAATCTAAATGAGAGGAGGCATTAACTCTTAGTAGACATCGTCCCTAGCAATATGCAACCGAGCAAAGGAATAGGAAACTCTTTAAAAATAAACTTTCATTATGCTCTTAAGTTTATCTCTAGTAAATGAGTTTCAATTTTCTTTTTTTTTTTAAATTTTATTATTATTATACTTTAAGTTCTAGGGTACATGTGCACAACGTGCAGATTTGTTACATATGTATACATGTGCCATGTTGGTGTGCTGCACCCATTAACTCGTCATGTAGCATTAGGTATATCTCCTAATGCTATCCCTCCCCCTCCCCCCACCCCACGACAGGCTCCAGTGTGTGATGTCCCCCTTCCTGTGTCCATGTGTTCTCATTGTTCAATTCCCACCTATGAGTGAGAACATTTCAATTTTCTAAACGATTTATGAAGACTATAGAAGCACTGCTGGGCGTGGTGGCTCTTGCCTGTAGTCCCAGCTACTCTGCAGGCTGAGGCAAGAGGAAGCCTTCAGCCCAGATGCTCGAGGCTGCAGTGTGCACGATCACACCTGTGAATAGCCCTTGCACCACGGCCTGGGCAACACAGTGAGACCCTGTCTAAAAAAGTAGAACAAAAAAACTATTTAAAGATTACAAAAGCAAATTACGATATATTTACGAGAGGGCTGCCCTTGCTGTGACCATTTGCTTTTTACTGATTCAGTATCATGCATGTCCCGGAACCAAGTGTTGGCTCGCTCCCTAGTCAAGCTCTATAATTTTCTGAAAGATGATACAAAAACTTGAACACTCTTTTTCTGTTAATCCCTAAATTCAGTCACAGTTTAACTTGGGAAAACAAAAAATACTTTATGTAACTTAAAAATACCCTTTAAAAATGTCAGGACTACATTCATTAAGAGGACTCATATTAAAATAACTCCTGTGTTCTTAGACTCTCAAGTCTAACCTTACTATCTCATTCTATAATTTAATCCACTTCTTCCTTTCCCATCTTTGGCCAATGCTAGAACTAGATGGTCATCATCCATTACATCTTCAAAAATGATTAATGTATCTCCCTTTAGCTTTCTCTCCTTTCTGTTAAATAATTCAATTCTTCTTGAGTTCTTTTCATGAGTCTCATTTTCTAATCCTTTAATTAGCTTGGTAGCTCTCAGAACACTCTTCAAGTTTCAGAATGGTACAGCAAAACTGAATTCAGATAAAGGTTCAACTAATGCAAAATAAAATAGTTTAAGTATCACAGAGTAAGACTGAAATATCCTGGAGGGTAGGAAACAAAGTCTTGTACATCTTTGCAGCATCTGAAACATAAGGAGATGTTCAGTAAATGAAGAATTAATGGGTTGACAATCATTGGAACTCCAAATTCACCCACTACTAGAAAGCAAATCAAGAGTTAACTTTTTTTCTTTTGTAGAGATGGTGGCGGGGAGGGCATCTACTACGTTGCCCAGGCTAGTCTTGAACTCCTGGCCACAAGTGCCTCAGCCTCCCAAAGTGCTGGGATTACAAGAATGAGGCACCATGCCCAGCAAGTTATTATTTTTAAGTCATGGAACAAGAAAGGAGAAAAAAGCTAACTCTAGAAAAGTTGCTGCCAGGCCCCAAGCTGATGAACAGTCTTGTCACTCCCAAATGTTACATATCATTTAACTTTTTTTTTTTTTTTTTGAGACAGGGTCTTGCTCTGTCACCCCGGCTGGAGTGCAGTGGTGTCATGATGCAATCACAGCTCACTGCAGCCTCAACCTCCCAGGCTCAAGCAATCCTCCTGCCTCAGCCTCCTGAGTAGCTAGGACTTACAGGCATGCACTACCACGCCTGGCTAGTTATTTTTTGTAGGGATGGGGGTCTCACTATGCTGCCAAGGGTGGTCTCAAACTCCTGGCCTCAAGCGATCTTCCCAGCCTGGCCTCCTGAAGTGCAGGGATTACAGGTGTGAGCTACTGTGCATGGCCCATTTAACTTTAAATACAGTAAAAGATGCAACTTTAGAATACCACTACACAATTATCAAATTCCACTGGTCTGCATAATGAACAGGGGGTCATATTAAGTCAGATGAAATAGTAATGATGGCTTGGTTGCCTCTTATGAAATTATATTTATAATTTTAATTTTATTCCTATATTATTATCTCTCTCTTTTGTACAATTTATAATAGATTCATTGCACTTTATTCAGTCCTTTTCTAATCATCACAGTTTGAAAAGTTATTTCTTCATGCAAATTCACGTAATTGACCATGTATTTATTTCTTCACATAGTTTACATAGTTATCCTACCACCGCTGCTGTTATATTTCTTTGAAAACTGTTTATTAACATGGACTAACATTAGGTATGGACCTAAAAATCAAAGTCAGAAAATTTTAGCTGAGAGCTCTGGGAAAAAGGGACAATTTCATCATCTTCGTGTTATTATGGACAAATGAAGGGACAATTATACATATAAGGTTTTTTTTTTTTTTTTTTTTTAGATGGAGTCTCACTCTGTCGCCCAGGCTGGAGTCAGTGGAGTGATCTCAGCTCACTGCAACCTCCACCTCCCGGGTTCAAGCGATCCTCCTGCCTCAGTCTCCTGAGTAGCTAGGATTACAGGCAGGCACCACCATGCCCAGCTAATTTTTGTATTTTTTAGTAGAGACAGTGTTTCACTGTGTTGACCAGGCTGGTCTCAAACTCCTGACCTTAAGTGATCCACCCATCTTGGCCTCCCAAAGTGCTGGGATTACAGGCGTGAGCCACTGCTCCCAGCCAAGGATTTTTTTTGTGACAGAAACTAAATCATCTCCCAACTGGTTTACTCCCTAAAGCACTGCTTAGCCCCTTTGGTAGAAGTTGAAAATAACATCTTTCCTTCCCAATCCCAACGCCTCAGGATATGTTTTCATTCAACAAACATTTAGTAACTGCTCTGTGTTAAGCACTATATTAAGTATTGAGGTTAAAAAAAAATAGACATCTTCTATTTTAACCTCATATAGTTCACTTTAAGGGAGCACAGATTTACAGTGATAGAAGATCCTCCACAAATCCCTGGTGTTAGAAGCATTAATAACTTGTCTCTAGTGATGAACACCCAGAAAACCCAAAAAGAAATATTTTAAGCAAGCTTCAGAGGCTAAGAATTAAAGTCAGAATAAGGTTTCACAGAACAAAATTAAGAATGAGTCCACCAGATGTTGAAATTAACATCTGCAAAGGATGCTACCACCTGAGAGAAAGGTCACAGATTTATTAGAGCAGTTGAGAAAAACAACAGGAGTGACTTCAGGATCTGTGACCCTAGTGTTAAGTCTTAGTAAACAGAGAGATATACAGTGAACCAATATATGTAATTATTCTGTGGATTACATCTCAACAAATAGGTCTGTAAGAATAGCTACTTTTCATTTATTTTGTGAATCAAAGTATATTCTAATTCTTAAATTCTGTATTTAAATTTGTAAATCAACGTACATACATACATACATATGACTACAAGAGCTATTTTAGGAATTGCTATTTTCTGTTCTCAAACCCATGTTAACATTTTATGCTGACTTTTTTTAAACGTAAACTTTCCACATAATTTTATGGTCATCTTGGTTAATGTTTAAAATGTAACTCCATAAAATAACAGACACTGGTTTTGAGCGGAATTTTTATTAGACCTTCAATTATTTTCATACACAAGTAAGACTCCAATACATAATTGTAATGCCAAAGCATTTCCATTTTGATTTCCCATTACGTATGAAAAAACCAATTGCAATTTCTAAATGAACCCAACATTTCTTATTTTCTTGCCTAGATATAGTTCTCTATAGTCAGACTAAATTAAAAAGGGAAAAAAGTCAATTTATAATGCGACTGCAAAACTTCTTCCACAACCCTTATTCTATCTGTCCTTAATGCCCTAATGTTTTTAGCCCTACTTGACAGATTACAAGTATCCTATGTTTCTTTGTATTATTAGAAAGGCCAATTCTTCTAAAGAAGAATGCATGATATTTTGAAAGAAAATACTTCTGAAAGGATCTCAAAGGTGGAGAAAATTAAGCAAAGAAAACACTTCAAAAGCAGGCTCCTCAGTGAAAAGTGCTGGGCCCTGGAAGCGTGACTCGAACAATGGGTGGACTGCTTCTGCGGTCCTCAGATGCTGACAAGCCTAACATTTGCTTTCCAACTCTCTACAAGAACACACATTCCTAATCCCAAAAACACCAAAAGCTAAGCGCTTAAAGAGTTCTGAAATCCGATCAGATGGGCTGGAAAACTCAAACAACACACTCTTTCCTATCCAGAGGGATTTTTATGCTATTATAGACTTCATCCTAGAGTGGTAACTACTCCTCTCAACTTTTAATGGAAAGGAACGAAAAGAAAATGCTTTAGTTTTACATTTGTGAGTTTCCAAATCGTGAATTTTCCTTTGAACAGTATTAATTCTTTGAAGTGAACTTTTTTGGTCTATAATTACTGTGCTGACATTTTACTTGACCGTAACATCTACCAGCATGCACACAAGCATGCACACATGCACACATCCCAGAATAATACATGGTTCCAGGGAAATTTACATTTTCTGCAGTGTCACCGGACACATTAGAATTATATCTGGAGCCGACTTTAAAATTCTATCTTACCTTAAAAAGGCTACTGCTCACTTAGTTAAGTTATTGCTGGGCTGCCAAGTAAGAGAGAAAAAAACCACATCATCTCTGTTTTCCATTTGGTAAAAGTAAATGACAGGTTCTGTAGAAAATATCATAAAGCAATCATAAAAATAAGAGTCTAGTTGCCATGGTAGGGGATGGGGAAGGGTGGGAAGAGGGGATGCATAGCATAAGAATAGAGTAAGAAAAACGGAGAGGGATTTCAGGGAGTGCTGATGCTTCTTTTTTAAAACAAGGTTGGCAATTGAAAGTGACTGCTGTGTTAAGACAGATCCCAAGACTGTCTTTGCACTCAGTAGGAAACACTGCAATGATCCATTATTAAACCGGTAAGAACAGACACTACACTTGATCTTAGCCAAAAGGCTGAGAAGTGGTGATCCATTATTGATGTCTGTTGTAAGTATTGGAGGTGGGAGTGTTAACAAATGTCCCACACGCTTGCCACCTCTGGAGTAGAACATCTACATCAGGTGACTAACCAATGAATGCCAGAACCAACAGGCTCACCCGGCCTTGGGGTCATGGAAGTGTTCCTCCCCCAGGTAGAGTTGCCTCGGCCTGTGCACTCCTTGCTTTTCAGTCCAAAGCTTTAGTGATCTGTGTTGGAGTTAAGAGTCTGGGTTCTATGTATGGACGTTCTTCAAGTTCCTAAAACCGTGTGTTTACTGTGAACATTGTGCAACTCAAGGCAGCTCATATTTTCATAAAATGTGGAAAAGCTGGGTTTGGATTGCAAAAATTCTAAACATGAGTCACGGGCGGTCTTTTTCTATTCTGATCAGAGATGAGAAGGGAATATTTTATTTTCTGAGACAGGGTCTCACTGTGTTGCCCAGGCTGGAGCACAGTGGTATGATCATAGATCACTGCACCCTCCACCTCCTGGGCTCACAGGATCTTTTCCACCTGAGCCTCCCAAGTAGCTGGGACTACAGGTGTACACTACCATGCGTGGCTAATTTTTTTATATTTTATTTTTGTAGAGATGGGGTCTCACTTTGTTGTCCAGGCTGGTCTCAAACTACCGGGCTTAACTGATCCTCCCACCTTGACCTCCCAAAGTGCTGGGACTCGAGGCACGAGCCATCGTGCCTGGCCTTGGAATTTTTTTTCAGAGAGATGGCAAATGATTGGGTTAGAAAAAGAAAACAATTTCTGTGGCTACAATAAAGCATTTATTTCTTCTCCATGCCTTAATATCTGTAGTGATAAAACATTCCCAGAAAATTTTAAATAAGGAGCTATCAAGGAGCAAGTTTAAAATATGATTTTGGTTCCTTACATGACACAAAAAGATAGTTTAGTCAAACTATGAAAACCGAAAGCTGTCATCTTCTTTCTATAGGGCTGGACTCAAATGGAAACTGCACCAGTGAGTGAGCATTGGATAGAACTGGTAGTGTGCTTAGCGTTTGGCCACAAAATGGCCTGGATGAAACTAGCACTTAGCAACCTCCTCTGATTGTCATGAAGATGGGATGGGGCGGAGGTGACGTAATATGTTCAATAACTGATGGACCAGATGAAGAAGCTGACATGAAAGAAAACAAAGGGAAAAACTAAAAAATTAAAATATGGGCTAGGACACTATACAAGTGAAAGTATACAGGCTCACTATTTTATTTTGAAGCAAAATTATTCATTAACATTTAATAATAATGAATTCATATTCATGACAGCACATAAACAATTTCTCAAATATCTGAAAAGCACGAGAAAAGTAACCATAATATAGTTTAGAAATAAATCTATAAAACATTATACTCTACTTTCTATTTACAACAAACCTAAGAAGATCTAAAATTAAGAGTTTGCAGTGTTTTTTTGTACTAAGTTGGGAGACGTGTTTGTAAAGCAAACACAAACGCTTGTACCATGCCTCTGTTTTACCGTAATTCTCTGTTCTGCTAAACAAATAGGCAGATGTAAGAAGCTACAGGTCAAGATCTCTGCTTACTCATGAGAATTAATCACGTGAGGTACATCTAGAAATGGAAGAGGAGATATTTCTTTTGTAAAAATATGCATATTGAAGATTTAGAAAACAGGATTAATCCAGCAGTTAACATACTGATCAGATTCTACAAACATGTTGCAAACCTACAATTAAAGACTTTTCATCATACACACTCAGGTATACACAGATTCCAATATGAACAGCTTTTGAAGCGACCTCTGCTAACTACAGCAAGGCATATATAGAACCTTTTCAAAAAACAGATTAACTCTTGGACACACTTTTGATTATCCATAAGCAACTTGTCCATTTTCAGGATTATCTGTGGACAGATTAAATCTCTGGTAGGATTCCCTATTTCTTTGCACATTTCCAGACTATTTTCAGTTGCTTGGAGAATAAAAGATTGTCGGTTTTCAGAGAATAAAACTTATTTTAATTAACTGAAGTAAAATACAGATAAAAAGATAAATGTCAGCCAGGCACAGTGGCTCATGCCTGTACTCCCAGCACTTTGGGAGGCCAAGGCAGAAGGATTGCTCGAGCCCATGAGGTTGAGGCTTCAGTGAGCCATAATTGTGCCACAAACTCCAGTCTGGATAAAGCAAGTCCCTGACTCTAAAAAAAACAAACAACAAAAAAAAATGGTAAATGTCTAATTGAGTCAAGGATTCAACAAATATTTGTAGAGCACTTACTTGCTGTGTGCTTGGAATGTTACAGCATTAAACCAAACAGACATGGCCCCTGCTGTCAATTTTTCTAGAAAGAAAAATTAAAAGGAAACAAATAACAAAGTAATAATACAGCTGGTCCTTCAACAACAGGGGTTTGAACTGTGCAGGCGCACTTACATGCAGATTTCCTTCCTCCTGTGCCACCTCTGGGACAGCACGACCAACCCTTCCTGTTCCCTCTCCTTGTTAGCCTGCTCAGCGTGAAGATGACAAGGATGAAGACCTTTGTGATGACCCACTTCCACTTAATGAACAGTAAGAATATTTTCTCTTCCTTATGATTGTCTTAATAACATTGTCCCTTCTCTAGTTTCCTTTATTGTAAGAATACAGTAAAAAATACATACAACATGCCAAATATGTGTTAATCGACTGTTGATCGGTAAGGCTTCTGGTCAATAGTAGGCTATTCATGGTTAAGTTTTGGAGGAGTCAAATGTTACATGAGGAATTTTGACTGTGTAGATGGGGTAGCACCTCTAGCCCCCTAATTGTTCAACGGTCAACTGTAATTCCTATGAAAAGATGCAAACAGGACAGAGAAACAGAGTAAAACAGGTGGGCTACCTAAATAGGGCAGTGAGGGAAGGTTTTTCTGTGGAGCTATATTAAGCTGAGATCTAAAGACAAAGAAAGAGAAGCCATACCAGTTGACAGGGGCAGAGTCTTCTGGAAGAGGGAACTGACTGTGTAATACCACCGGGGAGGGAGACTGTGGCACGTTCCAAAACAGGAGAAGGCCCAAGGGCAGAGGAAAAGGCAGAACAAGATGAGACTGGAACGAAAGGCGAAGGCCAAGTTATTCAGGGTCTAGTAGGCCAGGAGAGGTTCTGCGCAAGAGAGAACTGAGATTCAGCTTTTATTTAAAAAATATTCTGGCTGCTAGAAACCAAGCAGGAGGCAACTGTAGAGGTCCAGGCAAGAGGTAATGGAGAGTGGCTTAGACCTGGGTGGTTGTAGTGGGGCTGAAGGCAAGTGGAAATATTTAAGATATAATATAGAGATGCTAACAACAGTTTGCTGATATATCACCTATCCAAAAATATACATCTATTAATGAGTTCTTACAAACAAAAAAGACGTCTTTCCACGCAAACAGACATATCAAGTAAATACACTGGTATGTTGTCTTAACTTTTTTCCCCTCAATTTTATTTTACTCACGTGATAGACTCATAGCTCTGTAATTGTAGAACTAGATGGCATCTTAGAAATCACCTTGACTAAAAACTACGACTTTTTTTTCTATCAGGAGAAGCAATTTTCCTTTACTTTTTAATCTCTGCAGAGATGGGGAATAAAAGTAAATCCCCAAGGGGAATTTATTTAAATGAGATCCAGCATGTACGTTTTCAATATCTACTGTTGAAGATTTTGATGCGCTGATTGATGGTTCCTGATCTACCCTAACTCTTGTTCAGGTAAGAAAATTGATGCCAGGAGGTGTTAAGAGATTTGCTCAAATTCACCTAGATGAAGACTAGTTATGTGTTAAGTAAATGATACTGTCTTTAACAGTGTGGGCATATATTTGACTCCAAGTCCCTAACTTTCACACAGTCATCATTCATCAAGCCAACGCATAGGTTCTCTCCTTAAATGAATGTCTCCTTCTTTCCATTAATTCCTGGGTTTAAAAGGTGAGGAGGTAAGGAGAAGATGAGCAACACAACTTTTATTTGATAGTCATGAGAGCTAAGGAGACTGAGAGGTTACCTATTTAAAAATCCACAATGCAGGCCGGGCGCGGTGGCTCCCACCTGTAATCCTCACCTGAGGTCAGGAGTTCAAGACCAGCCTGGCCAACATGGTGAAACTCTGTCTCTACTAAAAATATAAAAATTAGCCAGGCATGGTGGTGGGCCCCTGTAATCCCGGCTACTCGAGAGACTGAGGTAGGAGAGTCGCTTGAACCCGGGAGGCAGAGGTTGCAGTGAGCCAAGATCACACCACTGCACTCTAGCCTAGTGACAGAGCAAAACTCAGTCTCAAAAAAAAAAAAAAAAAAAAAAAAAATCCACAATGCTGTGCTGGAGGGAGCTAGGAAAATGCCTTGCAGGGGAAAGTTGAGCTGGAACTTGAAAGGCAAGTAGAAATTGGAAAGGCGAGAAAACACAGAATAGGGTAGGGCAGAGTACTGCTCTCTTTCTGCACAATCAACTAAAAACTTACATGTATATACCTTTCTGAATACAATATTTGTTATTAGTTATATAAACTTATTGAACTATAAACTGAAATCTGATAACTCACTTATTTGTCAGGAAACATTGAGAGGAAAACTGACAGTGTGTTATCTTTCCCTTTATTTTAGTTTTTTGAAACATTCTCACCTGAACATCTTGAAGCAAAAGGTACTACACAATATTCTGGTTCTTAAATATAAAAATAAAAGGCAACCTCCTTCGTCTATTTAATCCAAAAGGATTATATTGATGATATCATCTGAATTGGTATTCCAAAGAATAAAATAAGCCCTAATAAAATTACTTTTATAAAGATTCATATCCGACTATCCTATAGCGACAGTATGTAAAGCACTTAAAATAGAGTAGCTGACACAAACTAAAAAAAAAATATACTTTTCTGGAAAATTATCCTTTCTATAGATGGAATACCACCAAAAAAGCATGTATCAACAACTTACATATATACACACACATATATATATATGAAAATATGTTCTATCTCAATTTTTTAAGTTTTTTGGTGAAAAAAAAGATGAGACTTTAAAGAACTTTTGTTTTTAAAGATAAGGGAACAGATGCCTAGATGAGGCCTCAGTAACCTGTTTAAGGTTAGAGGTTATTAAAAGCAGAATGCTGGTCTCCTTGTGCTCGCCCATTCTTATTATATTACTTCACTCATAAAAATCAGCATACACCAACAACTGGTAATACAGCTAAACTTTCTGAAGATACATGTAACCTCCAAATAGAAGCAATGACCCTACCAGATGCAGCAGAATAATTGCATGAACCTCCTGACATAGAACCTTTCTTCTTTCTCCTATTGAATTTGTTCAAATAAATACACTCTGTAGTGCCATTTCTTCTCCTGGTCTCTATGTTGAGACACTTCCCTTCCTCCCTCCCTTCCCTCCATCCATGCATCCATGCATCCCTCCATCCTTGCATCCATCCATGCATCCCTCCATCCTTGCATCCATGCATCCATCCATGCATCCCTCCATCCTTGCATCCATGCATCCATCGAGTCATTACTGGTGTGTTTGTTCCTTCTAGTAGGAAAGATATAGGTCAATCACAAGCTACATTCGTTAGGAACTCCTTTGTTATGTCACCAACATTTGCTATAGCTTCCAAAGTTAGACGGCTTGGGTTCAAACTCCTTTTCAAATTTTTACTGGCTGTATGATCTTAGCTGAGTCATACAAACCTCTTTAACCCGTGTGTTCTTCACATCTACCACGAGAATTGTTGTGAGGATTCAACAGCTTAATGCATAGTTAAAAGCTTAAACTTTCATTTACAGTGATATGGAAAGTAGACACCTGAACAACTCTCCTGCTAACATTAAATAAAGGATAAAAAATTGTATAGAATCATTTTTACTCATCTCACTGACTTTGTAAGAAAGTAAAGTATACTAAGAGGCCAAAAACAAGGTGAATCCGAAACTTGACCTCGAGCTTCATCATGAAAGAGTACACGGAACGCTGGGGTGAAGATAAAGCCCAGGGCTTGTCCCTTTGAAAGTAGAGAGTTTAATAAAAACCCTTCCATAAAGCAAGGCTCCCAAAGAATTGTGCTCTCAGTATAGGGAAACTATAACAAAACTACCCTATATAAAGTGACACAAAGAAACCTGCCTGCCTTGACCTTGGCTCTAGGTGGAGAAAGAAAAACATCTCCTTCAAGAATTTGTATCCAAGAGGTAGCCCTCAAATGGGTTTGCCCATTGAATTTACATTACCTGTGTCTGAAAACCTCAAGCAGAGGAAAAAAGTGTCCCAGGTAAGCTGTGCCTCAGGTACTTGGCAGAAACAAAGGAAAATCGTCTGCTAAAGAGTTCCCCTAGAGCCAGAACTCAAGGCATTTCCACAGACACAGTTCCAATGAACATGACCTCAGAGCCAAAAACTGAAGATGCTGGCATGATGTGAGGCACAAAATAAGCACTCAATTTACAAACAAGGGGGAGAGACTTTGCTATAAAATACTTGGTTCTGGCTTTGGTATCATAACCTTCAAACTAAGTAGGTGCTCAATAAATGAAAACTGCTATATATGGCTGTCACTACTTTTTCTTTTTTTTTGAGAGACAGAGTCTGTGTCGCCCAGGCTGGAATGCAGTGGCATGATCATAGCTCACTGAGGCCTCAAACTCCTGGGCTCAAGCGATCCTCCCACCTTGGCCTTCCAAGTAGCTGGGACTACAGGTGTGCGCCACTACGCCTCGCTAATTTTTTTTTTTAAGTTTTGTAGAGACGGGGTCTTGCTATGTTACTCAGGCTGGTCTTGAACTCCTGGCCTCAAGCAATCCTCCTACTTCAGCCTCCCAACATGCTGGGATTACAGCCATGAGCCACTGTGCCTGGCCTGTTGTTACTATTTTATTAAATGATAGCTTATTAAATGTTACTTAAAACCAGATTTTGCTATTGAGCTTGTTGGCTTTTAGCATTTAAAATCTGTTTTCTAATCTTCTCCATCATATTAAGTGCTGAATTGCTAGTAATGAGTTCTGGTATGAAAACACAGCTTACTCTTCGTTACATATACTACATAAGATAATGCATGTTAAGCCACTAGCAAAATTCCTATAAAATAGCATGGATTCAATAGAAGTTCTCATCTAACTTTTTTCCCTTGACCAATGGCATGATTGAAAATGTTTGCACCACCCTATAATTTTAAGACAATCAATTCAGTATATTGTTGGATGATTGTGTTTTTGAAAGATGCTCATGTGCACAAATGACAGATTTCTTAACATTCTGCTCTCTATTTTGAGGCTTTAAGGAAATGAAGGAAGTCCAAAAATATTTCGTTTCTATACACACACACACAGAATCACTTTCTATGGCTTAGGATAAAGTCCAAAATTGCAAACCCATAAGATAGCACATGATATTGCTCTGTTAAGTCATGTTAGATGTTCCTCAGTTTTTCAAAAACACCATGCTTTTAAAAAACCAAAATAGAGGTAAGAATTTGTGCTGTGAAATCAGACTTCCTGAGCTAGAATTCTGGGAACCATTTACCAACTGTTTGAAGTTGAGCAAGTTTTTTAAACTCTTAGCGGTTTTAGTTTTCCCATCTGTAAAATGGGATTAGTGATAGAATCTACCTTAGTAATATAATGAAAGTGTTTAAAACTGTGCCAGGCACAGAGTGAATGCTCAGTAAATACTAACCTTAGTACCACTCGCTCGCTCTGCCTGAAATGATCTATGTATGTTTCACATGTGAGCAAAACACTGATTCCTCAGGGAAATCCTCCCTGATCCTCCTAACTAGGTTAGTTCCTTCGTTAGGAGCTCTGTTAGCATATGCAGTTCCTCTTCATTGCCCTTTGCAAAATTACTAAGTTCTATGAGAGCAGAAGCCATATATGTATATGCATCTATTTTTTTCACCGAGCTATCTCAATTCCTAGCCCAGTTCTTGACATGAAGTAGGTGCTTACTCAACACCGCTGACACCATTCTGTCAGCCTGTTTTCTCAATCCTTGGTGAGACACACGGGTTCACTGGATAAATATTTTTTAAGTGAAAAATTTTTTTTTTTTGAAATGGAGTTTCACTCTTCTCCAGGTTGGAGTGCAATGGCGTGATCTCGGCTCACCGTAACCTCCGCCTCCTGGGTTCAAGTGATTCTCCTGCCTCCGCCTCCCGTAGCTGGGGTTACAGGCATGCGCCACCATGCCCGGCTAATTTTGTATTTTTAGTAGAGACGGGGTTTCTCCATGTTGGTCAGGCTGGTCTCAAACTCCTGACCTCAGGTGATCCGCCCGCCTCGGCCTCCCAAAGTGTTGGGATTACAGGTGTGAGCCACTGTGCCTGGCCTTAAGTGAAATTTTTATCTGGTGGAAACGAATACTCTGTTAGCAATTTCTTGTTTTTCTATACAACATCTTGAATTTTAGTCCCTCTTCCTCCCTCCACCATGGCTTCATAATAACTTATGGAGGAAATGCTAGAGGCCTGAAGGTAAAATGAACAAAAGCTACAAGTAGGGCTAAGGTTACAAAGGTTTACATTCAAATCAAACTTTCTTGTCAATCTTAGATTTACCGTTTTCTATTCTTTATTGTGTCCCACAGTAAACTTTGTATCAATTAGGTTCTCTAGGAGTATTAGGAAGAGTGCTCAAGTCAAATTATGTCTGTGTTCCAGACGCTGGGGATACAGCAATAAGGACACTAAGGTCCCTGTCCTCACATCTGCCACACTCTACAGTCAGCTTCTCCAGCAGTCTATCTGACATCTCCACGTGGGTGTCTGGAAGACAGCTCAAACTTAACATGGCCAAAACAAACTTCTTGATTTTCCCCCAAATTCAACCTCACCCACACCGAATCTTCTCCATCTCAGTAAATATTATACACATTTATATTCCCAGAACCTAGAACAGTGCATGACACATAGAAAGTGTTAAAATAACTATTTGCTGAATGAAGGAATGAAGTTAATAGTTGTGCTTAGAGGAGAAATTTTAATGCTGTACGAAAATTTAATATCGTTCGAATGATCCTTATGGTTTGTTGATGATCACAAACCTGGTTTACACATCCAATATCTTCCTTCTACATCTGAATAGCACTTGAGCACTCATAATTCTCTATAATTTTAAAAACATTAAAATATTCCCTGAACATACAGATACCATGTTATTCCTCTCATTCCTATTCATAGCCGAACTTCTTGGAGGAGTTCTCTGTTCCCACTGTCTCCATCTCCTTGCTCACTCCTTCATCCACTCTGGCTTCCACTCCCATCCCTCCGGAGAAGTCACTGCTAGCTCATCAGTATTCTCCACGTAAATGAATCAAGCAGAGCATTTTTATTTTTCATCTTTCTTGATGTTTGATGGTTTTCTACACCACTGATTAGGTCCCTCTTCAAATGGTCTCTTCTCTTGCCTGCAGGGACTCTGCACTCTTCATCTCTCAGCACTTCCTCCATGCCCTTCTGCTTGTACCTTCTCAGTCTATTTTGTAGCCTCTTGTCCCTTTACTAAGCCACTGAAATACAGAATCACTCAGGCCTCTCTTCCCAATCTATGCTTTTTTTCTTAAGCAATCTCATCTATACGCACAGTGTCAGTTATCATCTATATAATGATCACTTTATAACACCGATATCCATAGCTTTGACATTTCCCTTGAGCTACTCAGCCACAGATCTAGTGGCTTGACATCTCCACTTGAATGCTGCAAAATGTCTCAACTTCAGAATGTTCACAACAGAACTAAGGATCTTTCCTCAGCCCCCAAACCTTGTTCTATTTTAGCATACCCCCTTTCAGAAAATGGTACCACCAGCCATCCTTTCCTGCAAATCATAAATGTAGCTGTCATCTTGGAAACCTCCTTTTCCTTTGCTTTTACATCCATACTATATTAGTATTCTCTAAATATCTTCCAACACCCACCCACTTCTCTTCAACTCCACTACCACCTCCCTGCAGTCTCCAATTTGCTCTATATTGTAACCAAGGTAATAATGCAAAATAGCAATCTGGTCACATCCTTCTAACCCCCAGCACTGTTTACTGCTTTCTGGCCAAAGATCCAAGTCCTTAAACAAAGCTCACCTTGCATTATGCTGCTTTGCTCTGTGTTCCAGCAACAATCATCTACTTCCAATTCCTCAAACATGTCAGGCTCCCACCTGCTACTTCTGCATATGCTCTACCCTTTACCTGTATTTTCTTCTTTCTCTCCTTCCTCCGTCCCCAGGTATGTCCTCACCCTTCAAATCTCTGCTTAAGTACCAGTTCCCTGAGTGACCTGAGTGGT
Organism: Homo sapiens; assembly: GCF_000001405.40. NCBI lineage: Eukaryota > Metazoa > Chordata > Mammalia > Primates > Hominidae > Homo > Homo sapiens. Next base: position 182,538,352 of record NC_000004.12, on the reverse strand, counting down.
GACTTGACATTTATTTGTGTGATCATTTCATTAATATGCCTTGTTAGCTTGTAAACTCCCTTTTCTGAATTTGCCTACTATTGTATTCTAAGCATTTAGCCAAATGCCTTGTGCCTCTGGGAACTCCATAAATAATTGTTAATAACATTGTTTCTTCAAACTCTTCCTGGGTACACCTTTGGTAAACAGAAGAGACGTGCGGATGCCTGAATACTTGCCCAAAACGTGAACATAAAAAACACTATCTAAAAGCTTATATTAGACTAATTAATGTATATATTTAAGCATTCAATTGCCAAGCACTATGAGCATTTTTACTCCTGTTCAAAAAGAACAGCCAAAAGCAAATGGTAAGTGCTTTAAAGCCCTCACTTAATAAAAACAGTTAAATCACTGGGAAGATTACAAACAATGCACTCTCCAAAATAGCAGTCAGTGAGCAGCAAGATGAATCAATCATCTTCCATGGTCATATAAATATATTTCAGTTTGCATCTGTGCACATTCACAGAACACTGTATGGGGTACCTGGAAACTTAACACGCTGCAGCATGAACAAAACACAGAGACAGGGACACAAACGTATCCACAGAAACCTGATAGAAAATTAACGTCAAGTAACTAGTCATGGCTAAATAATTAAACACATGTGGAAAATGTAGAATTACTAGAGGCAATGAGATTATGCAGACGGTGTCATAGAAAACTTTTGAAAAAGGGCAGAAGACGTTTTCATGGTGAGAAGGAAGGAGAGCATTCTACATGCAAATGTTAAGCATTTGCAAGTATAGAGGCCAAGAAATAGCAGAAAGCAAAGTGCCTGCTCCGGGAATGGTAAATAAATAGTTTACTTGACTGAAGCTGAGAATTTGGTTTAGGGAGTAATGGAGCACGAAACAGAAAGATAAAGTAGCTGGTGCAAACAATTGGTAAAAGACCTCGAAGTACGTAATTAGAAGATTGAACTAGACAAGAGAGAGATCTTACATAGAAGAGAAAGAGACGGCAATGATATTTATAAACCAAGAGTTTAGATCCTGCAATTACAGACTGTAGTTCATGATGAAATGACTGCAGGAGCTAGCCTTTTTGAAAACTGAGTCAAGAAACCACCAATGACACTGATTTATGTAAGAGTTCCACAGGATGACGAGAGAATGCAAAAAGGATGAAACAGGAGAAAGATAAGAAATCAGACAAGATATTCTAGAGCAGAGAAATGGCAGATATTATCAGAGCTCCTAACACTTCATTCACACTGTACTTCCTTGAAATCCTTATTTTTCCCTAACTGAAACACACAGTTAACTGTATTTATGTCTTTCATTCTTCTGGACACTCCTTCAAAGTACCTAGTGTATCGATATCTTGCCAGCTGTCAGGCTTTTAGTGAATAATCATTGAATGCATAAAAAGCAAACAAGGGAAAAAAAAGAACCCCTGACATAGAGTAAAAAACTATTTAATAAACATTCCATCTGACAAACAAATGAAATATCTAATATTACATGAATTAAACTTCAGCTTTCTGACACCAGGAGAGGCAACAGATGAGATTTTCATGGATATGGGGTAAGAAGGAGTGACTTCACAGAAACGTTCACCATGAGCTAGCAGAAACAGGCTCCATGCTGAGGAATGAAGCCTAAACCAATATAAAATATTTATATGTGCCCAGCGTTCCGCCAAGCCATCAAAGCAGGAAAACATAGGAGGCTGGCCTGAAGATGAGCAGCAGTCACATCTGCTTATTTCTTTCCAGCAAGTCAGTGATTTTGGTCTTGGCAGAAGGAAAGAAAAAAAAGTGTGTACTTTTTGCGGCGGCCAGGATGTGATCCTCTGACCCACTTGTGAGCTGCCATCAGCCACTAAGAAACCTCTCAAGATTTCTAACTGGAATTTCACTGAAGCTAAAAAGCATGGCATGCCTATTGGCAGCTATTTTGCTCCGGCGCCCAGTAGAGGCATTAGTTGTAACATTCCTATTCAATGGTCTTCAGTCCTACTGCTAGAACATGGCCACACTGATAGAAGAAAGACTTGAGAGGCTATTTGCATGTTAATTTTATAAGAATGGCTTACAAATCTCAACGGATTTTCTCTGGACAGTGCCAGTTGACACTGGTTGCCCCAACATAATTGCAAGTTACAAACTTGATCTATGAAGAAGAAAGACTTGCTATAAACAGAAAATAAAAATATTACTACTAACAGCAGAAACAACAATCTAGTTAATCTGTGCAAATTTAAAGTAAATAAAAATACACCATATTTGTTCGTGGCATTTATCTCAATTCCCATTTGGAGTTTCCTACATATTGGACGGAATTCTTCATTGTTGTAAGGCCAATACATATACAATATTAAAATAGATAATCTAAATATAAAATAAAATAAAAAATGTGTAATAATAACAAATACTTGTATAGAGGTTATTGTGTGCCAGTAACTGTTCTAAACATTTCACATATGTTAACATATATTTACTCATTTAATTCTCACACTAATCCTGAGAGGTAGGTATTATTAACATATAATAATGTAATAATGTTTATCATAATTCATTACAGATTAAATGCCATTACAAAAAAATTCTGTGTTTTTTTTTTTTTTGACATAGGGTCTCACTTTGTCACCCAGGGTGGAGTGCAGTGGCGCGATCATAGCTCACTTCAGCCTCGAACTCCTGGGCTCAAGTAACCCTCCTACCTCAGTCTCTGGAGTAGTAGGACGGCAGGTGCATGCCACCACACCTGGCTAATTTTTTAGTTTTTATTTTTGTAGAGATGGGGGTCTCACTATGTTGCCCAGGATGGTCTTCAACTCCTGGGCTCAAGTGATCCTTCCACCTCATCTTCGCAAATCACTGGGATGACAGGCATGAGCCACCACTCCCAGCCACAATAAAAATTCTTTATGAAAAAAAGACTCCCTCTCTGCCCAAATCCTGGCCTAAGCAGTATTCTGCCTTGCCTCAGAGTCTATGAGAAGAATACAATAATCACAATAGTTCATTTTTTCAATAGAAATACCAACAAGAATTTCAGAACAAGTATCAAAATTGACCAAAATATGTACGTGAGGGTCAGAGTTTGAAAATAAGTAAGCAGTCTCACTGAGAATTTATTTTCCATAGGAAAGATGAACACATTTCTATTTGAAACTCTGCAGGATTTCCTGAGGCAGATCTAATCATCTAAGGAAAATGTACAGCTTGGTTGTTGTTTTCTTATTATAATCCACGCTACCTTTCCACCTGTATGTATTAAAAGGCTACATCTCTGCACTGGGCTAATTTGAGGAGGAGGGTGCAAGTCAGTACCACAGCAATCCTGACTCTTAATCATCCAAGAAAGTATGTTATAAAACAAAAACCATCCACCAAGTTTCAGCTTGCTTGGACAAGGTGCTACATAGTATAAGAGGAAAAAAGATCCATTTTGTAATCTGGCACATCTCTAAGAATAAAGCACTGTGAAATCAGTGATCGTCCTCATTTTCAATTAATCCAGTTATAACCAGAAAACATAATCTGATCCCACTTTCCAAATCCACGTTTTTAAGTGCTTACTCACTGTATAATCCTGGGCAAGTTGTTCAATATCTCTGCAAGTTTGGATTTTGGAATTCTGTAGAAGTGAATTCTATCTCCATCGCTTATCTTCTCTGAATCCTTAGGCAATTTGCTTAATATTTCGAAGAAACAAGCTCTTATATATAAAACAGGAAAAATAATACTATGCCCCATATGGATTCTGGGGAAGAATGTATAAAATAATGAACTCCAGTGACCATGTGTTTACTGTCTCCACTGTGTACACACACATTACTCTCCTTTTTCTAATTAGGTTACAAAAAACTCAGCAAATTTAAACCATGGCATATCCCTAACCTGATGTCTCTCTACTTACTCAGCCTTGCTTTCTGCTTTGCACATGAAATAAACAACAAGAGACTATTATAGCACTAGCCCTCTGCCCGTCATCTTTTTTCTCAACTTTGTATCTTTATATTGTCCTCTGGGGTACAAATAGCCAGATGACTCCTATTTATCCTGTAAGATTGAGCTCAGCCTCATCTCTTGGAGGTAAATAACCCTGACTCCTTCCATTCTGGGTCGGTTCTCCCTCTGACATGCTGAAGTAGCTGGGCATGTTCCTCTGAATGCATGTTTACAGCTGCAATGGTATTGTACTATGATGTCATCATTAATCATCTCCCCCAACAGACTTCAATTTCTTTGATGTTTTGTATTCTTAGAGTACATAGCACATAGCTCTCTAAGCAAGCATCTACTGAATCAATGAGCAAGCCAGTCATATATTAGTTTTGTATCACTGAAAGCACTTAATGTTACACATTCAGTGACAACTCAGTAAACACTAAGTGGCTCATGGATTATTGGACTATACTATATCAATGAAAAGACAATCTTTTTTTTTTGGAGATGGAGTCTTGCTCTGTCGCCCAGGCTGGGGTGCAGTGGATCTTGGCTCACTGCAACCTCCCCCTCCCACATTCAAGCAATTCTCTGCCTCAGCCTCCCAAGTAGATGGGTTTACAGATGCCTGCCACCACACCCAGCTAATTTTTGTATTTTCTGTAGAGACGGGGTTTCACTATCTTGGCCAGGCTGGTCTCGAACTCCTGACCCCGTGATCCACCTGCCTTGGCCTCCCAAAGTGAAAGACAACCTTTTATATTGCAAAAACTAGTACTTCAGGAGTCGAATATTCTTTCCAAGAGAGTAACAACAATTTTCCCAGGTGACCTGGAAAAATATTTGACTAGAGATTTTTTTTTTTTTTTTTTTTGAGATAGGGTCTTCCTCTATTGCCCAGGCAGGAGTGCAGTGGTGTGATCACGGCTCACTGCAGCCTCGACTTCCTGGGCTCAAGTGATCCTTCCACATTAGTTGGGACTACAGGCATGCACCACCATGCCTGGCTGATTTTTAAATTTTCTGTAGAGACAGGGGTCTCAATATTGCTCTGGCTAGTCTTAAACTCCTGGGCTAAAGCAATCCTCCCACCTCAGCCTCTCAAAGTGCTTGGGACTACAGGCATGAGCCACCGTGCCCAGCAAAAGATGTAATTTTAAGAATAGATTGCAGACCCCTATTCATAAGAAAGTAAAGAGTACTCCTGAATAATTAAAAGCTGTATTAGAATTAGCCATAAAAACACATCCACAGGAGTACTGATAATGTATACATTTAAAAGGCAGGATTCCTGCCCACATGAAAGTTTACCTGCTACAATGCCATGAGGCACAACTCTCTTTAGTGCTCAAGCACTTAGGGAGGCATAATAATATGACTCCTTAGTACTCAGATCATAATCGGGGAATCACTTGTACCCTTGGGAAATAATGCCCTTCTTGCGCACTGTGAAAGGTGCATTTATTATCCACATCGGATTGATTTTGCATATTATATAGTGAGTACCGATACTTTAAATCCCCTTAGAAGGTATATGAGTGAACTCAGCATACTTTTCATTGAGCTTATAAGGTCTATTAAAAATAAATAACTGTATCCAATATTTCATTTTTTAAAGAAAATGACAATTATAGGAAGGGAAACATTTAATATAATGAGACTGATCTAATAGTAAGGAGGTAGTCAAGTGTTCAGCCTGTTGGTGCATTATTAACTCTTTCTGGTCACTTGGGTAACATTTTGAGTACTGTACAAAAAGAGAAGTAATTTACTAAATGGTACCCTAATGGCCAGAAAGAGTTAATGTGGTAATCAAAAACGAGCAATTTACTTCTCATCAACTAATCAAGCTCAGTAAAATTTTTTATTAAAATGCCTCTGATACTGTTCAACTGAAAGTTTAATTGAAAAACTGAAAGCCATTTAGTGAAAATACAGGAGAGTGGATATTACAATCGATTAATCCAGGAAAAGTAATGGCATGTCTAACACAAGAAAGACAATAATAAAACAACTCTTGTTGCAATTATTAACATCAATGCCACCAGTATTTCTGAATGGCCACCACGTGTCAGTCACTATTCTAGGTACTATATGCATATATCACTGAATCTTCAAAATGGTAGGTTTTATTACCAGAAATGGAGGTACAGAGAGAGTATGCAGCTGAGCCATGACTAGAGAAGCCATATTTGTCAAATTTCACAGTCTATGATTATTTTATTATATGCTAGACTGCCTCCCAATACATACAGACAAAAATTTTAGCTTACTAGCTATCCAAATGATTTAGAATATGTTAGAAACAGTTTATTAAACAAATGCCCATTCCAGAGAAATTCTGATGTAGTCATAGTGCCAACTATGCTTGTATTTTCCTTGGGCTTTGGCCTGTTTACAAAAAACAGAGTTCACATAGCAGTCCCGAGACGGCTTTAAAAGGCCTGCTTGCAAGGCTAGCCGTGGCTGGTGTCTGGGAACCCAGATTTCCGGAAGGTTCCCACCATTCTCAGACTAATGAGAGCAGCTCACCATGTTTAAACTGTTTATGCACACAGTGCAGTTTATGCTGAATCCGCTTTCCTTCTGTGAGCCTGGGATTTTGGTACATGCCGGGCAGAGGGTGCCTCCATGACCAGTCCCAGTAAAAACCTGCCCACGGAGTCTCTTACGAGCTTCCCTGGCAGAACACATTTCACACATGCTGTCATAACTCACTGCCACAGGAATGGACTGTCCTGTGGCAGACACACACAGGAGAGGTCTTGGAAGCTTGTGCCTGGTTTCCTGCAGACTTCACCCCACATGTCTTTTCCTTTTGCTGACTTTGCTGTAGTTCCTCTCACTCTAGTAAATCTTACTTGTGAGTATGACTAACATATTGAGTCCTGTGAGTCCTCCCAGCAAATCATCTAGCCTGGGGTGGTCTTGGGGACCCCTTTTACTTTATGGTCATTGTGAATACTGGAAGTGACTGAAGGCTTTCTAATGGCTTTTAGAATGTCCACAGCCAAGATCTGTAGCACATCCAGAGCAAGGGTTATGTCTTTGGGATTTGTAACTTTTGGCATTTTAAATTCATTTCACAGCCTATTTTATGTCCCCATTACTATCTTTTTATTTACTTTAGGACCTAATTTTTTCACAGCTAAAATTAATTTCAGTTATTTATAACAAAACAGTGTTAGCATTTCTTATTGAATGTCTCGGAAGTATTTAACAAAAGTGAATACTCCTCCTTGACACACTTTCCTTTCTTGATTTCCACGATAGCACAGGCTCCTTGATTTCTTCTCACCCAGCCTTCTTCACTGGTCCATTCTCCTCCAACCACTCCCAGAGCTTGGTTTCGAGACCACTCTTTTCTCCTCCATCTACACTCTCTCCAGACTCTGCTTTAAAATACTCTCCCTTGAGCAACAGACTCAACAGCTGCCCATTTGACATCTCTTTTGGATTTAAACTTGCTATGTCCAAGTCAACAAAAACGATTTGATTTCCACCTGCCCAGTCCCCTTTATCACCTGTCCTCCCACAGTCTTCCCCATTTCAGTAAATGGCACCAAACTCCACTGGGCATGTAAGCCAAACATCTAAGATTCACTTCGAGCTCTTTCCTTTTTCTCAACCTTCACAGGGAATCCATAAACAAGTCCTACTAATTCTACCTCCAAAACAGATCCATTTCTCTGCAACTATGCTCCAGGCTAGCAGTTCTCAACTGGGAGCAATTTTTCCCCCGGGGACATTAGAAAACGTCTGGAGACATTTTTGGTTGTCATGACTAGGAGGGTGCTACCAGCATCTAGTAGGTAGAGGTCAGAGATGGTGCTAAACATCCTAAAACGCACAGCACAGCCCCACAATAAATACCTGTGGGCTCGAAATGTCGCTAGTACTAAGACGAGGAACTCTACTCGAGACCAAGCAATACAGAGTGCTGCAGCACTTACTTGCTTCTAGCTTTAATGTGTACATTCCCCTTCTGTTTCACGTATCCTTCTGAACTACTTTCAGGAGTAGTTTCTGGAACAGGGCAATATAAGTAAAATAGAAATACTACAAACAGGGAAAGGCAAAGTTCAACTAAAATCTGCAGTGTTTCGAAACACAATACTTTGGAGAGGCAGCCTGTTGAAAATGTGTGGCGTGCATAAAATTTAGAGATAATTCCAATGACAAAAAGAAAATATGAGCCTGCGGTCTGAGTTTCAATGCCTAATATTTTTTTCCTCATGTTCCAAAAAAATTTATAAACAAGTCTCTGACTATGAGATGAATATGTTTGTGAACAAGTTGTGGATGAGATGTTGGCCACATCTACAATTTAATTTTAAAACAGAAACAAATTCTCACAGACCAGTCTGAAATTCCCAGTTATTTCAAAAAGTAATTTTCCTTTACTACTTGGTATCAAGATACCTCGCTTACATATATACTCAAACCAGCTACCACATAAAAACCCACTGGCAAGGATAGAGCAAAGGCTTAAAACAATATTGGTCTCTCCTCACTAGAGCCCAATTTAAATCATTTGGCACGTGTACACAAGTCTACTTACTGTATTTATCACACTGTATGGTAATTGTTGACTTTTCTCTGTAACTACACTGTAAACCATGACTTTGGTGTCAGTGGCTAACTGGGATTTATATACGGAACACCTTAGCCCATAAATTGGTGTTGAACAAATATTTGTTAAAATCATATGTCAAGGAATAAATGAACAAATGAATGAAGGAATAGATGGATAGGAAAAAGGAGTGCTCCCTGGTTATTACAGGGAGAAGGTTATGGTAGGCCTTTAGTACTATCTAGGCCCCTGAACCAAATGGGGTGGAGTGGAAAAAATTTATACTACGTAGAAGAAAGGAAGAAGAATGAAATGGAAGCTAAAAACTCATCCTGGATTCACAACCCTAGACAAACACTAAAAGTTAGTGGGGGCAAAGCAGAGAGAAAAGGCCTGTCTTTCCAGATGATTATCTCTATTATACCCTGGAACTCCTAAGTGATAAGAAAGTTAATGAAAAATCGATGTTGAACACTTTTTATACTTGAAAGTCCACCATAATTTATCGATAAGACACAAAATAAGCCACAGTGATAATCTTTTCAGACCAAGTGATACATTTTGGTTCATCTTAGGGTTCCTCTTTAGAACACCAGCGTTCCTAATGTTCTCCGCCCTCCCTCCCAACTCCTTTCAGGTTCAATTATGGCACTAGCCCAGTATATAAGACGTTCTTCCTTTCTATATGAAAATATTGAAAACTATAATCTACTTGGAAATCTCTTCAGAATGATAGGAATAGAAATTGACAAGTTCATAAGCCAAAGTGAGTTTGTCGCAAGCATAGAAATCACAAAAATTTGTTACCGCAGCTAAACGTTGACACAGGTAAGCAGAGAACGATCATGCGTTAAGTACTTAAGGTACAGAGTAAATACGAACTCTGAACTTCTACAATCAAAGTACAATCTTTTAAATCCAGCTTGTCCAACCTGTGGCCTCTGGGCCGCAGGCCACATGCAACCCAGGACAGCTGTGAATGTGGCCCAACACAGATTCATAAACTTTCTTAAAACATTATGAGATATTTTTGCTATTTTTTAAAACTTATGGGCTACTACTGTTAGTGCCTCTTATGTGCGGCTCAAGGCAATTCTTCCAATGTGGCCCAGGGAAGCCAAAAGACTGGACAACCCTGCAGTTTAAATGATCCAAATTCACCATACTGAGTGATTCATAGTAATACAAAATTGGTTTGTTTAATGCATAATTTACCGTAATAAACTGTTGTAATAAAAGAAGCATTTTTGCATGAATAAATGAGACTCCTGTTTGTTCTCAGATTTTGGTTTAAGGTCTTTGCTGATAAAAAAGAATCACTCTTCCCCTAAAACACATACATAGATCAGAGAAATAGCCTATTTTTTCTTCAGAATTCTGTAATTTCATTAAATGTTTTATAATACAGTATTTGTATATCTTCCTCTACTAAACTGATTCTAGGAGCAGGCACTGGAGAAACCCCTGCGCCACAGAGAATGTGATTTTAAGTAGTGATTAAAACTTACAGCCTGGCCGACACTGTGAAACCCTGTCTCTACTAAAAATACAAAAATTAGCTGGACGTGGTGGTGCATGTCTATAATCTCAGCTACTCGGGAGGGTGAGGCAGGAGAGTTGCTTGAACCCAGGAGGAGGAGGTTGCCGAGAGCCAAGATCGTGACACTGCACTCCAGCCTTGGCGACAGAGTGAGACTGTCTCAAAAAATAAAAAAACAAACTTTTAAAATCTTGCTAAGTTTTCAAGATTCATTTTCAACATAAGAACACAAGAATATTAGGGTTGGAAAGGATTTTTAAAAATCTCTGGCCTAGACCGGGCCTGGTGGCTCATGCCTGTAATCCCAGCACTTTGGGAGGCTGAGGCCAGCAGATCACGAGGTCAAGAGATGGAGACCATCCTGGCCAACATGGTGAAACTTCGTCTCTACTAAAAATACAAAAATTAGCCGGGCGTGGCAGCATGTGCCTGTAGTCCCAGCTACTCAGGAGGCTGAGGCAGAAGATCTGCTTGAACCCCGGAGGCAGAGGTTGCAGTGAGCCGAGATTGTGCCGCTGTACTCCAGCCTGGTGACAGAGCGAGACTCCATCTCAAAAACAAAAAAAACAAAAACAACAACAACCAAAAAAAACAAACTTTGACTTAACTCCTTATTTACACAGGTGAGAAAATCAATGTTTAGAAAGGTTAAGTGACCTATCCAAATTCACACGATCACTATATTTCTTCTATCTGTGAGATCATGAATTGTAACATCATTAATCATCCATTTAATTACATCTTACACAGGGTAAAATGCCACGTTAATGTATACATACAGGTACATCATTAGGTTTTTTTTTTTTTAAACCAACAGATAATAGTTCCCCTTAATCTACATAATTAAATACCCTTTTTTTTGGTTTGTTTTAGTAACACAATCACGAGCCTTTCCTTCATTTAAAGTCTAACGATTCTTCTGAATGACTTGATCATCTGTAATTAGGTATAGCACCATGGTGACAACCGCGTCATAATTTATTCCTCTTACCTGGCAGCAAGCAAGTTTCTTTTTGGAAATACATCCCAATTTCAGAAAGTTAAAAAACAAAAGTATGTTTCAAAATTGGAGGAAATAAGGTAGGCAACAAATAGCAAATGTATGTTAAGAAGCTGTTGCCTAACTTTTTATTTGACTGTATTACCTCCTTTGATTGTTAACTACTTTTGACTTCTTTAATTGAAATATTTGCTTTCAAGTCTAATACTTTAGACAACTCATTATATCTCTAAAGAAAAACAATATAATTATCCACATTTCATTTGTCAGATGTATTATACATACCAGCAGATTTCCATATTAGGAGCTCAGAAAAAAAAAAATTAAAGAACTCAGAAAGGAGCGAAAGGGCTAATTAGTTTCAAGAAGGTAAAAGAGAGACAAGTAACCAATAATATTACATATAGTAGTGAATACAGCCTCAAGACTATCATCACATAGATTCAGGACTATCATCACACAATTCAACAAGCCAGCATGAGAACGGTAGCTACCTGTCTATGTTAATGAATAAAGATGTACTACCATGCTAAATCCGTTAGCAAGTAAAATAGTTAAGAGAAATGAGCAGCTATTGAGGCTCCACAGTAAATTAGTGCAATTCATTTATTCAGTCGGTCATTCAGCAAATGTGTTCTCTGTTTGAGAGGTGAACAAAACACAATTACAGCTCGACCTTCATGGAGTTTACATTCTAGTGAGGGTTGCAGACACTAAACAAAGTAATATTCTTCCTTCCCACTATTTTCTTTTCCCATTTTAATTTCCTTTAACTTTGAGTGCATGTCTATACCTGACAACGATGTCAGGTATAGAGTCCCACTAAAGGAAGAAGAGAGAGTCGTGTGTTTGATTTGGCAAAAGGAAAGTGAAAAAAGAAGGGGAATGTCATACGATTAGACTATGTACAGCACTACTGAGGGGACGACCAATCACAACAGGACAGTGAGAGGGGCGGTGCACTTGAAATGGGATAGTTAGGGACTGCCTCTACGAGATACATAAGAAAGCGGCAAATGTAGCTGGGCGCGGTGGCTCACGCCTGTAATCCCAGCACTTTGGGAGGCTGAGGTGGGTGGATCACGAGGTCAGGAGATCGAGCCCATCCTGGCTAACACTGTGAAACCCCGTCTCTACTAAAAATACAAAAAAATCAGCCGGGCGTGGTGGCACGTGCCTGTAATCCCAGCTACTGGGGAGGCTGAGGCAGGAGAACGGCGTGAACCTGCGAGGCAGAGCTTGCAGTAAGCCGAGATCGCACCACTGCACTCCAGCCTGGGCGACAGAGCACGACCCTGTCTCAAAAAAACAAAAACAAAAAAGGAAAGAAAGAAAGAGGCTAATGCAATAGGAAAACCTGTGTCAGGCATTGGAAACTGCAGAAAATAATCTAAATCAGTAATGAGTTGTTCAGTGTTTTCCTGATTATGTCCTCTCATGAGGCTTGAATATTTCCATATTACTTATCAGAATGTCTTTCCTTTATTTGGAAATCTTGCTGGCTTCATTTTGAGTATGGTACTCCACTCAAGCAAACAATGCTGTTAACTGACAAAGAGGCAAGTAATTTGACAACTAAACTCCTGCAGGCAATCAATACACATGGGGACAATAGAACTCGAAGGGCAACAGAAATTCCTTACTACAACTCCCAAACGTGGCAGATGTCAGAGGGACGGGTGTACATACACACAGTTCTGGACAACTCTATAGCAGCATTACATTCGTAAGTCACATACATGTGCTTTGCTTCATCAGAAATGGATTTTTTGAAAAGTATAAAGGAGAGAAAGCATAGTGTGATGGAAAGTGTTTGGTCTTTGAAGTCAGATAGGCTGAATTTTATGTTTTGGCAACTATTACTGTATGACTTTGGGTTAATCACCTAACTAACCTCTCCAAGTCTCTGGATCCTAATCTGTAAAACTGGAGATAATATGCATCCAACAGCATGGCTGTGAGGATTAAATTTATGTCTGCAACCAGCAGCTGCTATAGCTTGTTTTTGTTTTTAATTTTTAAGATCATATTTTTAATAGACTATGGAGTCCACTTTGTGGAACAGCCCTATGGGCAATTCTTTCATAAATTTCCTGACTACTAAATTCGTTCCTTACTCAAGGCAGAGGCAGGGAATCGGCAGGTACAGATGCTAAACTCAAGGACACTAGGGCCCACCTCTGTGACTATGAAAATTACTGTGCACCTCCTGGGTCTTTGTTTCCTCACATGAAATTTTATTCCCTCTGGTCTTTTTTGTTGTTGTTGTTGAGACAGGGTCTCACTCTGTCGCCAAGGCTGGAGTGCAGTGGTGTGATCTTGGCTCCCTGCAACTTCCACTTCTTGGGTTCAAGCAATCCTTCCACTTCAGCCTCCTGTGTAGCTGGGACCGTACCACAGGTGCGCGCCACCAGGCCCAGGTAGTTTAATTTTCTTTTCTTTTCTTTTTTTTTTTTTTTGTAGAGACAGAGTTTTACTATGTCTCAAACTCCAGGGGGTAAGGGATCCATCCACTTTGGCCTCCCAAAGTTTAGGATTACAGGTATGAGCCACTGTGCCTGGCCCCCTCTTGTCTTAAAAAGCAATGACTCTGAGTTTGGATTTACAAATATGAGTTTGGTTTTAAAAGAGGTTTGTCAGGTCGGGTGTGACGGTTCAAGTCTGTAATCCCAGTACTTTGGGAGGCCGAGACAGGAGGATCACTTGAGCCCAGGAGTTTGAGATCAGCTCTGGCAACATAGCAAAACTCTGCCTCTACAAAAAAATAAAATAAAATAGCCAGGCATGGTGGTGCACACCTGTAGCCACAGCTGCTTGAGAGGCTTGAGAAAGATTGCTTGAGCCTGGGAGGTGGTGGATAGAGTGAACCGTGGTCATGCCACTGCACTCTGGCCTGGGTGACAGAGAGAGACTCTGACTCAAAAAAAAAAAAAAAAAAAAAAAAAAAGCTCATCAGTGTGGAGGTATATTAACCCACCATTCTGAATGAATTAAAAGATGGTATAGTGGTTCTCAATGCAAGATTTTTGACATGTCACCAATTTGAAATGATAACCCATTCAAGTATTTGGCAAAATAATTAATTGTACAATTTGACTTTTGCTCTCCTGTTGTGAGCACGTTCTTCCTTTTTTCCAAATAAACTTCAGCAACTATTGTCTTCTAATAGACTGGACTTTAAACGTAAAAAGAGGATGACTGCATCCAAGTTACAGGAAAGTGACGAATAACAGAGGTAATGGGAAGGAGTGATATGAAAGGGACTGCATGAAATGTCAGATTTCTAGCTCTTTTTTTTCCTACGGAAAATTCTTCCCTCTAAACTGGTTATATTCCTTTGTAGTATGTTATGATACATATGAGGAAAGTAAATATCCTATAGAATCTTTATATGATATTATAAAAGAAAGTAATAAAGTAAAATGTATTGTTTCTATTCTCTTCAATTATTCAATTTGTCTCTCCGAAATAATAATTATTTTTAAATAGGAAAATAAGGGGAGTTGACTCAAATCTTGCCCCTTCCAATCCAGGTATGCTGTAAGTGATATATATGTAGAAAATCTTCAACCAAGAAACAAACAGTAATAAAAGACATCAGAACCTATACTGTCACTAACACAAGCAGCTTCAAATTGCCCAGAGCTTCTTCTTGGGGAATAACATTTTCTCTAATTTTTAATACTTAATGGAGAAGGTAGATTATTCCACGATGTTATGACATGTCATGTTATATTATGCTATATTATGCTATGTCATACTACAATACAGCAATTCTCTTCTCTTCTCAGTACCCACTAATTTACTATGAGAACAGGGAATGGAAGGTTGCCCCTACCCATCACATTATGCACAAAGGAACCTTACATGTTCCAAAAAAGGTTATAATTGGCTAACATAACCGAGGACAAAGCAGACATAATTAATTGGTTGACAGGGTAAAAGCAGAAAGGAGAAACAGTGAGTCTTGATCAGAAGTACAGCCTTGGTGGCAACAGCATTCTCCCTTTGGTCTATGAACTGTGTCTGGACTGGAAGTGGAGGTCTCAATTAAGCATTACTTAACATGTGCCTACTCAACAGCAAAACAACAACAACAACAACAACAACAACAAAACCACACACACACACACAAAAACAAAAAACAAAACCCGCCAAATTATTCAATTTAAAAATGGACAAACGGCCTGAACAGACATTTCTCAAGAGAGACAGATGGCCAACATGTATATAAAAAAATGCTCAACATCATGAAGCATCAGGAAAATACAAATGAAAACCCCAAAGAGACCATCTCACCCATGAAAATGGCTGTTATACCAAAAAGACAAAAAAACAAAAAATTCTGGTGAGGATGCGAAGGAAGGGAAATGCTCACACACTGTTGGTAGGAATGTAAAGTAGTGCAGCCGTTATGGAAAACAGTAGGAAGGTTCCTCAAAAAACTAAAAATAGAACTACCATATGATCCAGCAATCCCTCTGCTGGATATCCAAGAGGAGTCAGTATGTCAGACATATCTGTACTCCCACGTGTACTACAGAATTATTCACGAGAGCCAAGATTTGGAATTAACCTAATTGTCCATCAACAGATAAGTGGATAAAGACAATGTGGTATACACCACGGCAGATGTCTACCTACGTAACCTATGTAACCAACCTGCATGTTCTACACATGTATCCTAGAACTTAAAGTAAAATTTAAAACAAATAAATTTTTTAAAAAAGAAAGAAAACGTGGTATATATACACAGTGGAATATTACTCAGCCATAAGAATGAAATCCTGTCATTTGCAACAACATGGATGGAGGTGGAGGTCATTGTGTGAAATGAAATAAGCCAGGCACAGGAAGACACATAGTTCATGTTCTCATTCATACGTGGGACTGAGAAAAGTGGATCTCATGGAGGTAGAGGGGAGAATGGCAGTTGCCAGTGGCTGCAAAGTGAAAGCGGGAGAAAAAGATCAAGATAATTTGGTTGATGGACATGAAAATACAGTGAGACAGGAGGATTAAGTTCTATATTTGATAGTACAATGGGGAAATGATAGTTAATAATAATTCACTGTATATTCCAAAATAGCTAGAAGAGAAGAATTATAATGTTCCCAACACAAAGAAAAAAATTAATGTTTAAGGTGCTGGATATCCCAATTACCCTGATTAGATCATTTACACATTGTACACATGCATCAAAATATCACATGTACTTAAAAACACGTACAGCTCTATCAATAAAAAATGTTTAAATTTTTTTCCCTTCCTGTATGAAACATTCCTAGCCACTAGTTCTTAAGAGCCAATCTGAGTTAGAACGTCATATAAGTCTCTTTTCTGAATGATTTTTCTAGAGTCAATAAAGACTATTTTCTGTTTGATCTAGGTCACTTGTAAGAAAAATTCGTTTGTGAACATGGGAAGAGAATCTTGACTCTAACGAATCAGGGAAAAACAAGGAAAAAAACTGTCATGGACTATAACGTTCCTGGTTGAGAGTTAAATAATAATTGCTTAGAAAAATAAGCCATATGCTGAAATTTTTTAAAAATATCCTACTGAGGCAGCAACATTCAGGATACTCTTGAAACGCATTAAAAATAGGGAATTATTTAAAAATAAATGAATACATCAAAAATATTTTATACTTTTCATTAAAGTACAAAGAAGTGACTCTCATGCTTTTAATTTCAAGCCCATTTTATCTTAGCGACCCCCCCATTTGCTACCCAACCTGTATGACTTGGCACTGGCATTTATCTCCCTGCTGGAGATTGCAGCCTTCTGCAGCCAACCTGTGGAGACAGTTATCTCTTAATTAAAACTCTACATGCAAATATTGCAGTATGAAAAAGCATTGTTCCAAAAGCACAAACAAAGCATGATAATTTATAACTGTACAATCCTTTTCATCTAATGTTTTAGTACCAAAGACAACTACTAAAGTCAGTGTGAGACTTCCCTCAGGAAAAGTCTACATAGCCAAATCTTGATAAATATATGAAAGGATAAGATGGGATAGATCTTCCTATCATCAAGTTGCTTCTCTGAAGAAGAATGGTGACGTGTTTCCCTGTAAAGATAACACTTTGAAATATGTGAAACATTCTACAGAGTGCATGATACTTCCTTTCATAACTGATGATGACCCATTTAACCTTGAATTGTGAAATATATTTTCTAAGTTTTAGATGCTTCAAGGGCTAATGAGCTGTCATTACCTTTCTGATGCAAATCTGAAATAAAAAATGAAAGCCATCTTTAACAGGCTTCTGAATAAAGTTATTATCTATGTACAGAAGGAGCACATCAGTCTGACATATATTTGAACTTGGAGATTTTCTATTATTCCCAAGAAAGCTAAGAGCAAAAAAATTCTATAAAGCTGCAACGGCAAGGGAATTCACCTGGTTATCAATTACCATTAGAAAAAATAATTAGAACTATGGCCCATGAGAGAAGGAAAGAGCTGATGTATGAATTTCATATGGTACTATAATTATTTTTCTTTTAAGCCATTTTGTTATAAAACTAATAAATCACAAACTCTCTAGAAGATACAAGCCTATACTAACTTGTCCAGAACTAATTTATAAAGAAGGAAATTTACTTCTAGGGAAAAAAGTTTATGTTTATTTTGAAATGCCAACATCTGTTGTACCATAAAAGCAGCAGCCAAGCTGTTGTGCCAGCTCATACACTTAGCAGGAATAATTTAATGCAAAACTCTTTTGTATCTGCTTTTTGAAAAAGCTAATATGTGAAACGAGATACTTTCAGTAAAATTCAGAAATGAGTGCTCAAAACTTACTAATATATATTCTGAAACAAAAGCAATATGAAATCTTTGAAGTTGAGACCAAACACCCTAAATACATACACATCTATGGGCTTGTCTAGACACCAAGGATTCTATTTGCCTCTGGTGGAAATGAACCTGCTAATGCAGAGACTAGATTTACTATTGATTGACTACTTTCTTAATTTTGTTTTCAGACTGTTTGTTGCTACAATGTAGAAATACAATTGATTTTTTTATACTGGTCTTGTATCTTATGACCTTGCTCAACCAGAAATTTTTTTTTAAAGATTCCTTAAGATTTTCTAAGACAAGATCATGTAGTCTGCAAACGAAGACAATTTTCGTTCTTCCTTCCTATCTGTATCTTTCTTTTCCTTCAAATTTCATTTTTAAAAAATTATCTCTAAAGCAATTATTTGCTTAATTCTATACATACCTATTAATAATTGCTAGCATTAACAGCCAACATTAACTATATCCAGCATCCCCTGCCCACCTATACCTCTTCAATAAATTTTAGGAAAAAAATTACAAACAATCCTATAAACATTGGTAGTCACCAATGTTTAGCCATTCACTTAGAAATTTTGAAATACAGAGGTTTTTTCCCAAATACAACAACTGTATAAACATAAGTAGTCACCAATGTTTAGAAATTCCGTTAGAAATTCTGAAATATAGAAATATTTCCTTCCCAAATAAAACTATCCATAAAAATGTAAAACTTCAGGCCCTGATGAGTTTTCTTTTCTGCTCAATACTTTGGATTATGTAATACTGTAAGTCATCTTTTAATTTTTCTTGTAAAGGTTTTTGAAGAGATGTACTGTGCTACAGCAGAAAGAGCACAGGTCTTGGAAGCAAATAGAAGTGGAATTCTCAGAAAGACATGGGATTGGATTTCAGCTCCTTCACTTAACAAATGTAACGTCTCAGGCAAGCATTTTAAGCTTTCCTGGGGTTGCTTTCTCTTGCCCCTACAAATGTTTCCTGAGATACTGAAATAAACTGTGGAGAGGGAAAGAAAAATTTCTACCTTAAAAATAACAGAACGGGAGTATATGAAAATATTAACAATGCTTATTTCTGAGTAGTGGGATGTGAGTTTCATTTTCTTTCTTGTTTTTCAAATTCTTCTCTTTCCAACAGAGATATAAATGAACCACACACATAATCGTAACTTTTTAATACCCACATTTAAAAGTTTTTAAAAGCAGGTGAAATTAATTTGAATAATGCAGTTTACTTAATATGAGAGATCCAAAATATTAATTTTAGCATGGAATCAATACATAACAATAATTGACATATTTTACATTTTTTTTTTTGGCACTAAAGCTTCAAAATGCAGTGTTTATTTCACACTTGCAGTTCATCTCAATTCAGCTTGGACACTATGCAAGTGCTTGATGGCTACATTGGCTACTGGTTACCACACTGGACAGTGTAATGGGTGGACTGGGAAGGAACTTGGGTAAGTTTCAACATTTTACTGAGTCTTAGTTTTGTTCATAAAACCTGCAGTGAGAATTAGAAAAAACTTCCAGTATATGCCCCGTACACAGCAGGTACTAAATAAATAAGTTATTATTAGTTGTTTTCCTTAATAGGTTTGGGATTCTCAGGTACTCTTTGATTTTATTCTCTGTGTAGCTATATTAATTTTTTATTGCTAAGTAACAAATTACCATTTAATCTTAGCCAGTTAGAACAACAAATTTATGATCTTACAGTTTGCAGGGGTCAGGAAGGTCCAGGTCTGAGTTACTGGTCCTCTATTCAGGATCTTACCAGGTTGAAATCAAGGTGTCAGCTGAGCTGCAGTTCTCATCTAGAGTTTGGGGATTTCCTTGCAATTCATCCAGGTCGTTGGCAGAACTCACTTCCTTGCAGCTATGGGACTGAGGCCCTCAGGCCCTAGAGGCCACCTCTCTCTAACAGCAGCTTCATAACACAGCAGTTTGCTATTTTTTTTTTTTAGGCTAACTGGAAAGCATCTGCTGCTGCTTCTTATCTTTTTTAAGGGCTCTTTCAATTAGGTCTGGCCCACCCAAGATGATCTCCCACTAGATGAATGCAGAGTCAACTGATTAGGGACCTTAATTATGCTTACAAACCCCTTTCCCATATAACATAAGATACTCACTGGAGTGATATTCCATCATATTCACAGATCCCACTCACAGTCACGATTCATACAGAATGGGCGCACCCAGGGGTGGGAATCTTGGGGGCCATCTTGGAATTCTGCCTATCACAGTCACCTTCTATTATACTGTCTGGTGTTTCCTGATGATTTGAGTGTTTCCAGGGTGTACCTGATTCCAATAAGATTCCCAAAGACTTTTATTACTATGAGGTCCCAGGCACCATGAACACAGTAGACTCCTATGAATATGAATTGAAGGCTTCCAAGGCTTCAGAAACAAAAAGAACAAGAAAAAGAAAAGAGAAGGAAAAAGATCAAGAAAAAGAGGATCTAGGGAGTCTTCATCAAGTAGTGGTGTTGGTGAAGCAAGCAGAGGCAGCACTGTTTGGACATGTAGGGGACTATTTGTATTTGTTTCCAGGTAGATTAACGTGTGGTTTCACTCATGGTTATATACTTCTAAATTTGTTTTATATGCATTAGTAGAATTACAGCTTTTTCAGTGTACTATGAGTATTTGCAACACATTATTTTGAAATAATTGAAGATGAATGTTAAGTATAGGTATGCAAATAAGGTATAAAAATTGGCTAAACTTCAATCTCTTCTCCTAGAACCATACTATGTTGACTATTATCTATTATGTTAGAATGAACTTTGTTTGGCCGGGCGCGGTGGCTCACGCCTGTAATCCCAGCACTTTGGGAGGCCGAGGCGGGCGGATCACGAGGTCAGGAGATCGAGACCATCCTGGCTAACACGGTGAAACCCCGTCTCTACTAAAAATACAAAAAATTAGCCGGGCGTGGTAGCGGGCGCCTGTAGTCCCAGCTACTCGGGAGGCTGAGGCAGGAGAATGGCGTGAACCCGGGAGGCGGAGCTTGCAGCGAGCCGAGATCGCACCACTGCACTCCAGCCTGGGCGACAGAGCGAGACTCCGTCTCAAAAAAAAAAAAAAAAAAAAAAGAATGAACTTTGTTTTTTTTTAAACCAAATAACAGACTACAGAAAAGAGGCCGAAGAGCCTGCTGAATTCTAGTGCTACCGTGAAGCTCTGAGACAACAATCACGACACTTCAGAAGCCTTTTCCCTACTTTTAGATTATGGTTTTGGCCGTTTCCATAAGCGTCTCCAACTATGTTTTTTATATTCTCGGCTGGGTTTGGACATATCTTTGCTTCTGGCTCCATAGTAAAAGTGATGAAAGAAGTTCTTTCAAAATGCAGAGTTTCTATTCCTTTATCTTTTTTTCTGTTGAAAATCTAAGAATCAGTCACAGGTCTCATATTTTATAATCCAATAGGAATTACCTGCCTTGAAATTCCTTATTTTTTTTCTTATATGAAATACACTCATTCTTCCTACTCCAAAGAGGATGTACCCCAGAGAAAACATGAACAACTCTCTGGTTTTTTTCATGTGATATACAATAATCCTACATTTTTTTTTTTTTTGAGACTGGGTCTTGCTCTGTTGCCCAAGCTGGAGTGCAGTGGCATGATCTCAGCTCACTGCAACCTCTGCCTCCTGGGTTCAAGCGATTCTCCTGTCTCAGCCTCCCATGTAGTTGGGACTACTGGTGTGTGCCATCACGCCCAGCTAATTTTTATATTTTTAGAGGAGATGGGGTTTCACCATGTTGGCCAGGCTAGTCTAGAACTCCTGACCTAAAGTGATCCACTCGCCTCAGCCTCCCAAAGTGCTGGGATTACAGGCATGAGCCATTACGCCTGGCCTTACAGGCATAATTCATCTGCTTACACGTTACAGACTTTATGAAATAATGGGAAAGTACAGCCAACTCTAAAAAAAATTCGTAATAACTTTGAAAAAGAACCCTAATAAAAAGTGTTTGGCCGTGAGGTAGGGAACTAATAAAGGCATTATAAAAGTACCATTGGGATTTAGCCAAAGCACCCTGGAACTTTCTGTTTTAAGCAAATCTGAGAGTAGTGCTTTCAGTAGATATAACCATGACAACCACAATACTACCAACTTACGTTTATACATTTGTTAACTTTTTAAAGGATTTCGACACTCATTATCTCATTGAATAATAATCAAAAGCCTGTGAGATAGAAGTACAGGTATTTCCCATTCAATTTAAAGATGAGATTGACTTATTTGATGTTTTGCAGAATGAATAGTTCCTAACTCACAGTCCAGTGCTATTTCTACTCACTCACATTAATTAACCACTGCATTCTCCCACAACAAATTATGTGGGGATTTTTAGTCAACTCTCTGCCTAGGGTCACAGCTGACCAATGGCATGGTTAAATTTGTGATAAAATAGCATCATGTTAAGACTTTTGCATTGACATGCTCTTCTCCTGGACTCAACAATAAACTTTTTGCTGTAGCATAACCACGCTATGACTTGAAATTGCAGATTAATGTAGGGTGAAAATGTGGTCATTATAGAGCTGCTTCTTAGAGCTGTGTGTGGAATCACAAGGTTTTCTAATGTAAAATGTGAAAAGTTTATGTAGCAGATTCTATTTAAACCTTTTAAATGGGTATTAGACTTTTACTGTATCACAGACATCACAAACTCATAGAATTGTAAATAACTTACAGTAGTAATTTATTCCATTTCTCTTAGGTGACTGATTCTAAATCATCCAAAATATGTATTAAAAATATGTATTACAGAAGTCTCCTCTCCTTACATTAAACCTCATCCTTCTGCTTAAGGAGGTTGATATTAAGTCTCTCCAAACTAATTTACACCTAAGAAATATTATATACAGTAATTAATAAAATACATATTGTGTACATATGTACATACATTTATGTATTCATATATATATACAACAGACTACTTTTTCATCTTTCTAATCTAGGGCTACAGTTATTAGATGATTCTTGCTATCAGTTTCTAGGCTGTCCATTTCTAAGCTAAATAACTGAAATGGCTGTAATCTTATTTTAATTGTTCCTACTGTTTTTCCACCTGTTCATCACTCTCATCTATTTTTTTCAAAAAAATTCAGCAAACAATTATTCTGTCTTTAACATGCATCCTTGACAAACCACCCTGTTCCAAAGTTTTCACTTGGATTTTTTCTGCGCCTCACTTAGTGACTGTCACCCACATCAATATATTTTCCCTTTAAGGCCAAACTCTCTGAAAAAGCAGTCTAACTTCTTTGCCTCACTTTCCTCACTTCCGATTCATTTTTCCCACCCATTGCAACCTATTCTCCCCCAGAACACTACTGAAATTGCTTTTTCACTTATCATCAGTGACGGCTTAAATGATAAATTGTCTTCTTAGTCTGGATAAAAAATTATTGTGCATTATTGGCATTTGACACTGCTGATTATTCCCTCTTTGAAATGTTCTCCTTTCTTGGTTTCTCAATATTAATTGACTGAGTCTACTATTAGGATGTACTATTGTTTCTCACTCTCTCTTGCTGCTTCCTCTCTCTCTGTAAGCTTTAAAAATTTTAAATGCTTGGTATTCTATGGAGCAATAATCTGGGCAATTTTCTTGATCTGCATCTCAGCCCCTAGAAAATATCCCATAGCTTAAACTAACATCTGTATATTTATGACTTCTAAATCTCTCCAAGTCTGAGTTTTTTTTTAATGCTCCAGATCAGTGTTTTCCAAAGAGTGAGTTGTGCCCTTTTAGTAGTTCATGAACTCAATTTAGTGGCTTACAGCACACACAAAAAATGAAACAAAATGAATGGCACAGACAGAAACTATCAGACTACATCACACTAAGAAAGGCGTATTGTTCTGTGAAATATGAAATCATATCTTCATATAGGGCCGGATGTAAAATGGACTTGTTGCTGTGTTTCATAGTCATAAAAGTTTCAAAACCACTGTTCAGGACACATCTTCATAACTGCTCACTAGATATTTCTACATGGATGTCTTTCAGGCACCTAAACTCTGCAGGTTCCAAATCGAATTTATTATCTTTCCCCTTTGAAACCTCTTTTTCTTAGTCTGTTTTCTCACAGTTAATACTGTCAAGCTAGAAATCTGTCAGTAGTCATCTGCTCCTTCCATTTCCCTACTCTTCATATCCTAACACCATCAAAAACCTGTAATTCTCACTCCTACACATCTCTGAATGTTTCTCCTCATCCCCATTTTCACTGCTTTCATTTAGGCGCACAACATTTAGTTTAAAAATATAGTGTACTAGTGGAAGCTCTGAGGTGTAGTAAGGCCAGCAGAGTAGAAGGTGACTGCCACTGACAATACAGCTTGTTACTCACGGTTCCCAAGAGGAGGGGGCATGCCGCCCCAACAGGGCCACAAAAAGAAGCATCAGGGTTGGTTAGGAGGCAGAGGGAGAGAGGGGAAACCCTAAACAAGCCTTTATTGTGGTTTCCTTGGGAAGAAATGGGCAAAACAGAGTAAAAAGCATTAGGATTGGTAGTTTAGATATTTTCAATTGGCTCTGAGGCACAAGAGCTCTCTGTACCTGGCCCTGGGGTGATCAGGGCAGGTGGATAATGGACCAGAGTGTGAAAGCCCACTAAAGGAGATGGTTGAGGTGTGCGCTCTGGGTTGATTCATTTGTTTTGGAAAAGTGCACTTGTGGGCGAGTTATTTATTATCTCTAGAACTGGCAAACACTAGGAGGGGCAGTCCCTCCAGGGTCAGCAAGGCCCCAGATGTCACAGCAACAAAACGCAGGAAATAAGAAACACAGTTCCTCCACATCTGTCACCTGAATTATTGCAGTAATATTCTAATCCATCTCCCTATTACTAACTCTCTTACTACAAATTATCTTTCTAAAAGCCAGATTTAATCCCAGATCTATTTTTTAAAAACCTTACAAAATGAAACACAAAGGTTTTTTTTTTTTTCATTCAGGATCTTTAAATAGGTAGCCTATGTTCTTTTCCAGCTTCTTCTCCCATCTTGTTTGCAAATGCAACTGAAAGAAAAAAATAATTCCATAATCCTATCACTAATATATCAAACTGTTTTCCATTTTCTATGTATGTTTCCTTCTAATTCTTTACTGAGTATACATTTAATTTTTCCAGGCTTTTAGTAAAGATGTAGCTGTTTTGTATTTTATGCTTCTGATAGTTTTCTAGTATAAACTTTCACCGTACGAATATGGTTTTTCTTACTTGCCTTTTAATAGCAGGAAAACTTTGCAGCAAGTGAAGTTTATGAAAATTTACCAAATTACTCCACTGTAGTTAAACACTGAGACTATTTCCAAAGGTTGAAATGAGGCTTCTGCAACCCTATCCTATCCTCACTTCTTCCTTCCCATGGATTATTCATAAATATCCTAAGCATTAATACTGGGACAACAAGAATATATATATTTATGGCTTTTGACTCAAAATGCCAAAACGTTTTCTAAAAGGATATCATGTCCTATTCCACCAAAAATTCATTCAATATTTACTGACACTTCTTATGTGCTAAAACAGTACCAGTATAGACGTATAAACTGGACACTATTTTGATCTTCAAGGAGTATACAAACTACTGTGTTTCTGTATACTCTTAGCCTATAGCAATTTTACTGCCACCCTAAAGAGGTTAGATTGTTTCATGTTACACATTAGGAGAGGGAGGCTCAGAGGGATTAAGTCATTTGCCCCAGATTAAACAGAGGCAGTTCAAGGACCAGGTCACGACTATCTGGATATCACTCCCAATATGCTCTTATTTTCAGAGTGTTTTTTCTTCTTATAAAGCAATTACAATACTTTTCGTTCATATATTCAAGGTAATAATCAAATGTTTTAGAAGTCTCAAAAATAACTAATGTCATAATGATTTCATCAAATATTTAAAATCCTCTAATGCTCCTAGTAGTGACATTTGATCATACCCATCTATTTTGGTAAGGTAATGTGAGCTGTTTTAATAAATAAACCCTGAAATATTAGTGATGTAACATGACAAAAGCTTTTCTTTCTCATTCTAACCTTAGTCTAATGCTGGTGTTCAATGGGACAACTTTCCACGTGGTAACTCAGACGTGGGCTCTTCCCATCTGGTGACTCTGTCATCTTCTACGGTCCCTGAGGTCCTTTGCTTTTACCGTTTAGCAAATAAAAAGAGACCATGGAGAAGGCCCATTTTCGGCCTGGTACCTCACTTCCATTCACATTCCATTGTAGAGAACTAGCCACATGTCCATACCTACGTGCAAGGGAGTGGGGAGGGCTGGGAAATGTAGCCTTATCAAGGAAGACAGAAAAATAGGTTCTGGTAATATGAAATAGTCTCTTCCACATCCTCCTTTACTTTCACTATCCCAGGAGATGAGAGTTCCTGGTTAAGAACCATGCCTTTGATGAGAATGTCTGATCTACCTGGGTAGAGTCTTCTTTTGCTACTTACAGTATGAACTTGGGCTAGTTACCTAAATCTAATTAGTGTCATTTTCTAATAGTCTAGTTTATTCTTTTAATAATACTTAACTCTTAGATTATTGGCAGATTTAATGATATAATACATGTAAAGCACCTTAAAAGAACTTAGCACTTGCTAGTTAATCAATAAATATTAATTTTTTTCTACCCAGTCCTTCAGAGGTCATATGTCATTTATTTATATGATCCTAATTTTATCTTTTAAGGCCATAGTTTTAAAAAACCTAAACAAATTGAAAATTATGTTACTGATTTTTCTTCACATTTACAAATGCTACATTCTCAAAATTCCAGTGAGAATGAAATTTAAAAATGGAAAAAAGCAACACAACTGATGAAAGGAGAGAGAACACAGACTAAGGTAGATAACTAAATAAGACACTAAATTTTACACTGAAGTTCTCTTCAGAAACCTCTCAGAGGCAAGGTGAAGTTAAACATATTCTCTATTCATCTTTTTAGTTGAAGCAGACAAATCCAGCCAGTTTTAATATCTTAAGTCTTCTCAACATAATTCCAAGAAATTATCAATTTAATTACTCTTGCAGCTGCCATGATTCCATAAAAGCTAAGTTCTTCAAAGCATAATAAGTATACACTGACATCTAATTACATGTTCAGCATGTTCAGGATAGTGATATGCACAGTGGGTTGGTTTGAAAGGCTCAAAACACGTTTATTTTTATTAATTTATGGAACAGTTTCTATCTTCCATAAATGAGTATTAGTATAGTATTTGATTTTATCCTAATTACAGCCTACTACAGCCTCCTGCTGTCATAAATGGTGACACAAAACTCCTGGGTAAGGGGCAAAAACTCATGGCATAGCACAGCAAGCAGCATGAGTATTGGATTGTACGTTGGTCCCTTTGTTCCCCAACTCTGGCAGGCCCAAATGGATGCTATGCACACAATGGGCTTGTCACAGCTGAGGAACACTGAGCTTGGGGAATCCACTGTTTGACAGTAAGTAGTAACAAGCCTGCTCTTGGCTAATGCCTCATCTCTCAAGGTTTCTTGCTACAAACCATCCTGAGAAATCTCCTGGGTAAAGAGCAGTCAGGGACTTACATTTTTGGCAAGGCCAGCAAGGGTGTGCAGGATGCGCTCAGATCCCATGGAAGACTGCCTCTCCTAATAAGGATTTGATGTGGCTTACAAGAAGATAGAATATATAATAAGATTATAACATTAGAAAAAAATGTTGCAAAAAAGAAGCTTTATGGTTAAGACAATGCTATAGGGGAAGTTCATAGGCAGAAATACATGTCGAAGATTCTCTACAGTAACTAAAGACTGGCCGATAACTCAGCCCTGCACTTCCTAGTGGTAAGGACAAATAGGGAAATGTCATTGATTGTAAGATTCACATTATCCATAATATAATTAAATGCTACATGTATGTATAAGAGAACTTAACAGCATAGAATTGCCAATCAGAACTGGAATAACTAGAAAATTAATCAATTCTAGAGGTTAACCCTTAAAAGATAAAGAGGATTTCAAAACTAAGGATTATAGTGAGAAGTCTTTTAGGCAAGTGGGACATGACATAATCACATTGTAAAGGAGCTAACCAAAGCCAAGGGGTTTGTCTTCAGAGTAGAGAAAATAAGGCTAGAGGGCTAGAGGCGAGCTAGAGCAAAAAAGGCTTGCGCAGAAGAAAACAGGTAGTACTGATGGAGAGGAAATGAGGATACTTTTGTAGTTTTCTAAGAAACACAGTGATTGATAAAGCAATGTAAACTAGATTAATCTGGCCATTTTATTAGAAAACAAAACAAAAATAATCCAACTGAAGGGACTGAACTATGGTGGTAGCAGTAAACTGGAGGCTAAAACTTGGTGGAGAATTTGTTTTAATCTTACAGTATTTGGCAAAAACACAACTAAGATCTTAACTGACAGTGTGAATTTCTGTTTCAAATGTCTATCTTCTGGTTCAGGTTCAGAAATAATCTTAGATCTGAATTACAAACAATATACCTGTATCTCCCTACATTTTTTTTTTTTTTTTTTTTTGAGACAGAGTTTTGCTCTTGTTGTCCAGGTTGGAGTGCAATGGCGCAGTCTCGGCTCATGGCAACCTCTGCCTCCTGGGTTCAAGTGATTCTTTTGCCTCAGCCTCCCAAGTAGCTGGGATTACAGGCATGCGCCACCACCCCCAGCTAGTTTTGTATTTTTAGTAGAGATGGGGTTTCTCTATGTTGGTCAGGCTGGTCTTGAACT
This sequence comes from Homo sapiens, assembly GCF_000001405.40. Lineage (NCBI taxonomy): Eukaryota > Metazoa > Chordata > Mammalia > Primates > Hominidae > Homo > Homo sapiens. The sequence goes on along the minus strand of NC_000004.12, from coordinate 182,509,730 downwards.
CCCAACTTCAGGTGATCCGCCTGTCTTGGCCTCCCAAAGTGCTGGGATTACAGGTGTGAGCCACTGCGTCTGACCCATTTTTTACTTTCCATCCCCTCATTGATTTAATTCTATCCTTCTTGTTCTTAGACACGGCATTTGTTCAGAAGAGATACTCAATTCTTCTGGCAACATTATTGAAATAATTATATATGTGAAAGTAAAATTCTATGTAATATTGTCCTTCTAATATTCCAGAAAACTAGGAAATAATATTCTCAGTGATTTGTATATCATCACTTGAGCATCAAATAAATGTGCAAGAGAGAGTGAAGAATGAAAAAATATCACTGAAACGAAGCAAGCATTATATGGTGCTTACTATTTTTGTTAAGAAAGGAAAAACTGCTTAAAACAAATCTTGGAACTCCCACAAGAATCTATACCTAGAAGTTATAAACAACAAAGGTGGCCCCACTGAAATGGAGTTAAACACATCTGAGGATACAGTGACCATCTGTGTCTCAGGCTCACTGTCAGCAAAGGTAATTTTCATTAAATTCGGTTTGAAATCCATTTATACTAGACTGCAGGATGCGGACCTACATGCTTCACCAAAACACAAAGGATCCCTGCTAGATTATCACAGTCATTTTCATCCATGTGCATTAGAGTGAATATGTTAAAAATAACGGATAATTCCATTCAATTTAGTCACATCACAATTTACATGTGCATCAGAAGCAAACATTAGGGAATTAACAATAAATAATTATTGACTCTTACTTCATACTGCCACATTTTTACATGCAAAAGAAAATTTACTGGACGTTCATATCTCATTATAGCTGGCATGTAATTTATTTCTCTGTTGGAGTTGAGTTTATCAACTGTTTCTGTCCATGCAGAGAAAATATTCCTGCCTAAGAAACCAATACAAGAACACAGGTAGGAAGCTGGAAAGCTTAATTGAAAGTCTAAGTTAGGTTGTCACTGTGATTCAAAGGAAAGAAGAAAGGACCCATTTCATCATTTATTTAACTGCACAAAATCTTTCTCACTCAATTGCACAAAGTCTGACAGTTAATTGCACACTAATTAGTACCCTGCATATCATTATATCAGAATATACTAATATGCATCTATCAGAAGAAAGGGACCCCATTCTATCATTTATTACTCACCTATGTGATATCTAAGAGTATATCATTCTGATTAGATATAAGGAAAGATAAATATTTCATGGATTTCATGAAGTTGAAATAATGATGATAGTGATAATTATTGCAAAATGCTCTTTCAGTAGTTGTTGACAGCAGTTCAATTTAGATAGTTATACCTAATCTATGACTATCGTATTATTGGTACTCAATTGCCAAATGAGATTTATACAACCATAATCACAGCGGAGCATACTCTTATAGGAATAGTTACTTTAATGAAACCAAGGTTCACAGACCTTGCCCTACACAATATTTATAACTGAGAAAATTCAAGTGAGCCTTCCAAAAACCATCATCAATAACAACAATAATGATGGCTAACATTTATGGAGCATTTACTGTGAGCCAGGCATTGTCAATATTACATGTGGTATGTCTCATCCTTATAACAGCTCAACAAGATAGGTAGTATTTATCCCCATTTTACAAAGACGAGGCCTATCAGGGTTAAATGAACTGTTTCAGTCCACCCAGTTAGTTAGTGACAGAACTAGGATTCCATCCCAGGAAACCTGATACCAGAGCCTGAGTATGAACCACTCGGGGGACAGCAACCATCTGCTCCAGGACCCATGAAAGCACAAATCTCTATGACCAAACTAGAATTTAAGATACTAATATATTCATCACTTAAGTATGTGAAATAATTAGTGGATACTCTATAAGAATGTAACCTAAGGATATTAATATTCTAAGGTCTCTAAGATCTATTTCGTCTCTTTGGCATAACTTGCCAAAATAAAAGACAGTAACTATATAGAAGACATTTGAAGAAATGTGTTTGGAAGCCCTGTATTTCAAAAGTGGAAGACTTCCAGATATTTGACCAAATCTTTTGCAAAGAATCTCGTTCTCTAAGTTGAAAATTTATAAACCTCTGCTTTCAAAACTTCTCCCATAGAATGAGTACATACTGACAATTTAGTGTTCTCTCTTCAATGGGGAAAAAGCTTTAACAGCTTCCTGGACAAGACTGTATTAAGAAAATCCAATGCTTTCACACTGATTTATATAAAAAAAATTCTGACGGAATTGCCTATGAAAGAATGACTCCTGAAAAATCAAACTGAGGGGTTAGTTCTGTTTTGAAATAGGTAACTCCACAGTAACTGATTTTTAAAGACACTTGGCAATGAGTTTCTGACAAGAGTAATGGCATAAGGGCAGATGTACTTGGAACAGAAAGAAAAAGAAAACAGTAAAGCTGGTAAATTCTCAGAGATTATGGGACCTAATGTTATTTAGACTAACTTCAATCTTTAGACATAATGATGGAAGAAAAAGGGCAAAAGAAAAATGTTAGCATTCATTCTAAGGTCTTTACATTTTGAATAACTCGGGCTTCTTTTACTTCATCTAATTTTAGTGTGCTTTTTTTTTCCTTAGTGATAACCTAAAAACTTAATACGAATGGAGAATAGCTTTTCAATTTCAGATGTTGATTCCAGTGTCTCTCTTAGGACTGTGACCTACTTTAGAGCTCTACTTTTTTGCAGTATGCAACCTGACTTCAAAAGAGGCTTCACGGATCATGAATATGACAGATAAAGATGTTCCATAGTATGTGCCTATGAAGATTAAACACAGATAAGATAACCTTAACATGCTTATATTCACTACTATCAGGATAATAAAGGCCAGTGATCTTTAAGGTATGAAGAACCATCGAATTGACCGTTTAAGTACTATCAAAACAGAGTTAAGGAAGTTCAAAAAGATGTCTCGAGCTCTTCCATGGAAGGTTTTCGTATACAGCGCCAAGTTCACCTACTCCATACTCCTTACAACCTGATCATTCTTTCACTTTAATCTTTTATGTACAATATCTATTAGTTCATTTAATAAAACCTACTCTGTAAATATATTTGGAGTACATGTACTTATGTTACATCCCAACCAGAATTTAAAATATTTGAGACCAGGCATTCAGCTTTTGACTATTTTTTAATTTTAATACAGTATATAAGATCAAGATGTACAAATTATAATACACATACCAGACAAATTTTATTAAATAATAAAGAAGGGAGAGAGAAAGAGCAAGACACTTTTTAAGCACCATGTGCCAGGCCAGTGCTTGAATCTCTTCCTACGTTACTTCTCCTTATTATTTAATCGTTATTTAAATGTTACTACTCCCATTTTACAGATGGAGAAATTTAGCTTAAGGTAATGACAAGATTGAACTTCAAGTTTTCTGACTCCAAAATATGCCCTCTTTCGACCACACCGTATTATCTCTAAATATGGAAAACATTTCAAAAGTAGCAAGCGTCTTCAGAACAAAAACAAAAACAATCAAAGGGGCTTACACATTATAAACATGGTTTCGGGGTCATATGCACAGGGCTAAAGTGAAGCCGATGGTAAGTAACTATTAAGCAACACACTGTTCATGCTCAGTCAGAATTTTTCCTTGACTCCGTCTTGCTGAGCTCTTAATAATTTGTGCCTCCTTCTAGACCACAGCTGTTGCATTTATCTTTATTTGCAATCATCTTAGGTCCCCTCCACTTGTAACATTCTGGGATTTTATATGTGATGCATCCTCTTTTAAGTTTATTTCACACTCAACATCTACCTTTCCTTAGAGAAAATTAATGCTTTGCTTTAACAGGAAGAAATCCGAAGCCTGTCTCTTTCTACCTTGTTATGTAGGGCATGTTTCAGTAAGCACATGATGACAATGTCAACAAAGGAATGATTTATATCAAGGTGGTGACAATGTCATGAGGAAACTGAATCTAAGATTTGGGTTTGAAAAAGAAAAGCAGGCCGGGTGTGGTGGCTCACGCCTGTAATCCCAGCACCTTGGAAGGCCAAGAGTTTGAGACCAGCCTGGCCAACATGGTGAAACCCCGTCTCTACTGAAAATAAAAAAAAATAGCCGGGCGTGGTAGTGGGTGCCTGTAATCCCAGCTACTCGGGAGGCTGAGGCAGGAGAATCGCTTGAACCTGGGAGGTGGAGGTTGCAGTGAGCTGAGGTTGCGCCATTGCACTCCAGCCTGGGCAATAAGGGTGAAACTCTGTCTCAAAAAAATAATAGTAATAGTAAAATAAAATAAAATAAAAGGAAAAGCAGAGGAAGCAGTAAGAATTACAGCAATAAAGAAATCTTTAAAAAAATGTATAATAATTTAGACATTTAATTATTTTCCTTCCAAAGTAAGCACTTTGGAATGCTATCTGGCAGTTTTAAGATCTGTATTGCACAATTTTAGGTGTGATACAGATTTTCATCTTTGCAGAATGAAATTTATTTTGGGAAATAAACATTATTTGGAGTAAAAAAATGCTAGGGTATATAGACATTCATACTAAATTAACATAGAACTAAGAGTCTGGTATATAATCATAAGACCATTGTAATGTGGCTTGTAAGCTGACTCTAATTCTACAGGAGGAGTTTCAAAGTGTTTCCATCAATATTGATTATACTGATACAAATTTATGGCTCCCTCAGAGTCCTGATGAGTTTGTCAGCAAATAAGTATTATGATGTAATAAAAAATGAAAAACAAGTTTCATCAATCTCCCATATGAAAAACAGGAATAAGATCACCCTCCCAATATCACCATGCTGAGTTGGAAAAGAATATATAACATCATGATACCCAAGTATCTGTTGTATTATGACCTGGGCTGGGGAGATAATAAGTAGTGAGGGCAGTAAACAATGCAGAACAATTTACTGAAACAAAGTCTAAGACTATGAATAACTGATGGGAAATAACTGTAGTTGACAGACCAGGCTGGCATATTGCTATAAGAAGTGGAGCTGCTTTTTGCATTTATGAGGTTGGAAGCCATGCCAAAAATAGCAAACAGGTCTTTGAATACAAATTACGAACGCCATATGTATTCAGTAATAGAAAATGCTTTTAATCCCACCTAGGCCTCTTCATTCGCATGCGAATAAGAACTAATTCGCTTTCAAGTAGGTTGACTATTATGTTACTTTTTCAAATGAAGGACAAACAAGAAATCACCTATTCACAGAGGGTGGCATCACCAACCAAAACATATCTTGTATAGCTATTATGCTAAGTAATTCATTTACTCCAACACTTTTACAGAGGACTTAACTCTGGAGAAACATCCCAATCAAATCTGTATTTGGTAATTTGTATGAAAGCCAGCACATTAAATCAAGAGTCTTTCTTTATTTAATAAATATTTAAGAAGTCAGATTTGTAGTTAAGAATGGCTAATTTGATAAAAAGCATTTACGTCTCTCTCTGCACAGAGCCTTTAATAATAGTGAAGGTATAAACCACAAAAACCAAAGAAAATGGATGCAGATTCATCAGGGGATGAGTGATTTTAAAATTTAAGAAAAAAAAAAAAGTTCCATGGGAAGGAAGGGATATTTAGATATGTTTGAGCAGTTTCCGGGCGTCAGGCACTATTCTGGGTACTGAGTACACAGTAATAAACAAAAACCAACATCTCTGGGCTTGTGGTGCTTACAAATATTCTAGTTGGGAAAGGCAGTAAATAAAATAAAAATATATATATATGTAAATTAGATAATATGTCAGATAGTATGAAGTGTTAGGAACAAAAATAAATCAGGGAAGGGAAACAGAAAATAGAAGAGTAATAAAACTTTAAATAGGGTGGAATTAGGGAGGGCATCACAGAGATGGTGATATTAGAACAAAGATTTGAAGGAAGTAAGGAGTAAGTCTCGTGGATATCTGGGGTGTAGTAGGTTGAATTACTCATTATTTTTTCTTTCCTCATCATATTTCCCATGCAATTTGTCTTGACCTATGGAATATGGGCTCACAGGGTGTGTCACAGCTACACAGAAGCTTTAAGTGCATTGGCTAAATTTGGCTCTGTCCTCCCTTGAGTTTCTGCCCTCTACCGTGAAAACCATCTAATCCAGAAAAATTACCTGGATCTTGAAATGAGATGTGTGGACCTGAGCCTGCCAATCCCAGGAATGCCACTGCCAACCTGCAATCCTTAAGTAATACAAATTCTTCAGATTTGGGGATTGTTACTTGGGGCAGAAAAAAATGAGTATATATGTAGTAAGTGCATTTCATGAATGCAAAGACCCTGCAGCAGAAGTATGTCTAACCTATACACACAAATAAGCAAGGGGCCAGCAAAACTGGAGAGGAATAACTGAGGGGCAGAGTCTGCCAACTGAACCCACTGAAGCAATGAGAAGAAACCTGAGTCCCTGGAGACGCTAAAGACTGAATGTCCCTGTAAGACAAATGGCAGAAGAGAAGTTTGGGACAGGTTGAAAGTCTAAATATAAAACCATGCCCATCTAAATGTAAAGAATTCCAGCAGCCACATGTATACACTCTCCCCAGTCCTCACCCAAAGCAAGAAACCACTGGTGTATTTGCTGGAGAAAAAGAATGAGGGAGATTTGGGGACTTACTGGAAGGCAGAGGTGAAATGAACTGTAGCTTGAAATAAGGAATAGTTGAACCAATAATTCCCTTTCTCAATCTCATTAGCAGATGGATTGTCTAAACTTTGGACAAGAGAGCAGAAGATTATTTTAAGAAGAAATAAACCAGTTTCAGATAAAGGACATTCACATACAGACATATGCAGGTAAGTAAAAAAAAAAAAAAAAAAAAAAAAAAGGCTGACTTCATCCAATCACAAAACAGTGAAGCCCACCAATTAAAAGCTCCAACCCATGCCCACAGAGCTACAAATTAACCCTTAGCATCCCACAATTTAATACACATGAATAACCAAGGATCATCTGACATATGAGGAAAGAAAATATTGGCATAAAAGAGACCAAAAATAGATGGATAATGCAGGGAACAGAAAAACTTAAATTGAAGAACCAAAAATGGTAACATTCTCAGAGTTAAAAGAGGATACGGTATCCAAGTACAAAACCAGCATGTTATGACAAATAAATAATAAAAAAAGAGGTCTTGAAAATTAAAAACATCATGTCAAAATAAAAGAAAATTCAGTAAAAATCAGAAACAAAAGATGAGTGATCTCTGAGAATGTACAATGAAAACTTGAAAAGGAGAAAATGTGAAAGAAGAAAACTGTAAACTGGAGAATCAACAAAGGGAGTCCAATATCCAATGAATGTGAGGTCCAGAAAGAGAAAACTGCAAAATAGAAGGAAAAAATTACCAACGAAATACTCTAAGAAAATTTACCATAACAGAGGGTGTGAGTTTCCAACTTTAAAACACCCACAGAGTACTCAGCACAATGAATGAAGTACACAGCACCGCCTCTGCCGCCCCCAGCATCCTCATGAAAGGCCACAACTCCTGGAACAAAGTCGCCATCCTAAACGCTTCCTTGAGGTGCAGGGTGGTAGGGTTTAAGCAGAATATAATCAAGGAAGAATGACAATGGCAGTAGACATTTCAACAACAGTAGCAGACAGTAAAAGACAATGGAGCAGTGCCTTCACAATTCTGAGAGCAAATGATTTTCAGACAAGTGAGTTTCCATACAAGTGATTTCCACAGTTCACAATTCTGACAGCAAATGATTTCACACAAGTGGTTTCCATACAAGTGATCCAACAAATGTAGGGGCAGAAAAAAAGTTTACTTTAGATACTTAAGGACTCAGAAAATTTACTTCCCTTAGAGGAAGTAAATTAAGACTCAAGAACATGCTCAAGTAAAAGAAGAAAAATCAAAGAGCTGAATGAAAAGAATAAATACAATTTGAGTACAATCTATGGCTTTAAAGTTAACAATATACACTTAATGACTAAAAAAAGTCATATAACTATATCGCCAGAATGGAGAAAAGTATGCAGACAAGCTTATAATAAAGATGGGTCCTCATGTTACAAGATGTCAACAGATAATATTTAAAATGAAACATTAAGAAATAATGATATATCTTCAGGTAAAATGGATGTAACTATCAAATGAACAGCTAAAATTGCTGAGTAGTTGCTTCTGGATAAGGAAATGGGATGGGGTGACAGTACATTCTTCCTGATGGACCTTTCAATGCTATTTGATTTACTATGTATCCAAATGACTTTAATTTTTAAAAATTTATGAAAAAACAAATACTCTAAAATATGACTCAACTCAGGATATTTATAAATTCTGGATAAAACACTGTTAATATACCTAAGATGTCATGTAGTAATAAGATTAATTGCCAACCCCCCCCCCCACTTTTAGACATAGCTTTAACTATTTTTTTAACCTCAAGAGCACTTTTGAACTCTAAATTTTTCTCTTTTCATTTTACATTTCTTATTGCCTGTTTATGGATTGATTTCATGTTATCAGGATGACTGTGCTAATTAAGCACTCTACTGAACACAGAAGGTGCCGCTGTTGAACTAAAGATACCTGTATTATTTGGCTCTTACTACCCAAGCAAGACAAGTATTTGTTTGATATAACTTTTTCTAGAATTTTAAGAGTGGATTAAATCATTCGATGACCAATGCTGTGTGGCTTTCTCCTCACTTTGTACATACATAAGACATGCTCACCATTCTAGAAAAGTTAGAAGAGTCAAAGAAATCAAGACTAAATAAAGAAATAAAGGAAATCTCTCCAACTCTCTCCACCCAGAAATATTAGGTTGTACTTTTTCCACTCAAATATGCAGAGTATATATTAAATAAAAACATCTCCTATAACCAATTTTTCTTCTTAATATACCCTAAATTATCTTAATAATTATTAGAGATCATATAAATCTATATCAGAACTTTCTAGGATTATCATGTGAAACCGTGTACTTTATTTAATCAATCCTCTATCCTGTTGGCCATTGAGATTTTCTTTTTTTGGCAATTACAAACAGTGCTGATAAATGTTCTCATGTGTTTGCATGTATGCATTTCTCTCCCCATACATTTGTCTCTCTTACAATATGTTTGTGTACACGTTTTCTAATTATTTACTTAAATTCCTGAATTTCAAATACAAATTCCTAAGTCAGATGATATATTCTTGCTTTAAAAAATTTTAAACATATACTGCTAAATTGTGCTTAAAGCATTCACCAGTAAACAAATCCCATCAGAAGCATATGACAGTGATGTTAGCAATCTTTTAAAATCTTTGGCAATGTGAAAAATGAAATATATCTCACTGCTCTTCAATTTCATTAATCATTAATAATGCTGACCATTTTTCTCGTTGTTAGCTATCCATGTCCCTTACAAATTCCTCATTTTTCTATTGTCCCTTTTTAAATTTACTGATCTGTAAGAGCTCTTTATATATTAAGAATACTGACCCTCTCTCATACTTACCATGAACTCATTTACTTGTCTCTTTCTAAAGCTTCTTTTTAAAGCTCTTCTTTGTCAAGTTATCGTGTATTTTCTCAGTATTTCTCAATTAATTCATTGATCAATCCCAAAAATTTACTTGGGCCCATTATGCCTTAGCTACTTGAGTATTTGCTTCTGGGATCCCATGCTTCAGACACACAGCAGAACAACTTCTAACACTTAGAAGCAATATTTTGATGGTTATATAAACCAGAAGTCGTATAAGTGTCTTAAACAATTACTTTTCACTCGTTTGGATTTTGGCCCTATTGCTAATTCAGGAGGTACATGATGGAAAAAGCTTTTGTACATTTCCCCTTAAAATCACATAAATACTTTATGATGACATTTACTACTCAATGTTTATGTATACAGCATTATTATAGTCTGTAAATGTTATAAAGAAAAAATAGATTTTGGGAGAAGGGTAGTGGAGATTTTAGTAGCTGGGAATCTGGCTTGTGGTTGGGTTTATTCAATTTTCAGTTCGTTAGAAAATGCTATTAAACTTCATATTCTGTCATCAGTTGTCTATTTCTTTTAGTTCTTAGGTGCTGTGAGCAATGAAAGTACTAGAACTTTTTAATTTGCTATGAGTTTAGGACAAGTAATGAAGATGATGGGAAATTAATCTGGTGGTAGGCTGTGATGCAAGGGACTCACAAAAAAGGAACAGGAAAAGAGGCAGGAGGGGAAGGGTTTCTCTTTCTCAGTATTTCTTCTTTGTCTTTATACTGCCAGCCAAACCCATGGGCTCTAATAGAGTTGGGTAGGCAGCTTTTCACTGAAAGCCTCTGCAGTGACATAAACCTGGGTTCAAATACCAGACAGTCTCCTTCTCAGTTCTGTGTTGTTGGGGAAGGCCTCTGCTAGAACTCCTGTGAGACTAAGCTAAGCCATCTGCAAAGTGGGACCAACACTTCAGAGCGTAATTGTAAAAATTACATGTTCAGGTATCTTTTGCAATTGAGGCTGTAATTTATTTTCTTTTTTGTTACCCTAAATATTGAGTTCTTTAACCTCCAATTTTAGTGACATTGTTCAGATCACCCTGGATTAGATAACCTCATTCACTTCTTCCTTACCAGAGGAATGTTTCTACTACCAAATCAAATCATTTCACAGTCCTACCACTGTTGAAGTACATTGAATGACCACAAACTGTGCAAAGTAAAAACTCTATGCCTTTATTTTCAGGCTTCTACCAGAATTATACTACTGAGCACCTCCAAGTTTTGGCAAATACTTGATATAACTTAAGACTCCTGAGATCTCTTTAGAAACTTGCCTAATGGCAAACTTTTCACAAATGCTGCTTTATAAACCATCCTGTGCACTGAAGTCTAGAAGTATTTTAAAACTGACTCTTAATAAGACGCTGAGAATTTTTTTTTTTTTTAGATGGAGTTTCACTCTTGCTGCCTAAGATGGAGTGCAATGGCACAATCTCAACTCACTGCAACCTCCGCCTCCAGGGTTCGAGCAACTCTCCTGCCTCAGCCTCTGGAGTAGCTGGGATTACAGGCACACGCCACCACGCCCGGCTAATTTTCTGTATTTTTAGTAGAGACGGGGTTTCACCATGTTTGCCAGGCTGGTCTCAAACTCCTGACCTCAGGTGATCTGCCTGCCTCGGCCTCACAAAGTGCTGGGATTACAGGCGTGAGACACCACGCCCGGCCAAGATCCTGAGAAAAATTTTAATAGAATCTGAGGGTACATAGGAAGCCACTGAAAAAGCTAATGGAAGAAAAGTGTTCACAAAACTGCCCAATTGGGTACCATCTCGGTGAAACCTAATTAGAGTGATGGGAATGGATCGTGACACTATTAACTGAACATGGAGAACAGCATAAATATTCCACAATGTACACAAATTTCTCAAGAGGTGAAGACGAATGATGAAGTGCAGTTTTCCTAATAGGCCTTAATTTCTGAGCTAAATTTAGTGTGTGTCAATTATCATTACCAACATCAAAACACTTACATCTGGGTGTTTCACTAGGTGTTAAAGAAATTACGAGTCAGCCTTCCTTCCAAGAAGCCTATGTCTTAGATATATTTTGGTCCCACAAACTCTGGACTGAGAACGTCAACTCTTTTTTAACTATGAGGCATCTATATGCTAATGAAGATAACCACTCTCCATCTTCCACAAAAATGCTTTCTCTACTTAATTTTGAATAGGAAAAGCATCATATGCACTGATGCCCCAAATCACCTTCTAACAATTCTTACTTTTCATGATCCTGAGTTTTCATTACTCAACAACTGATATCTAAGTATTCTTACCAAGACTCATTTTCTGGAGGAGTTACATGTACAAGGCTTTGTGAAATTCCTATCTAATCTATATACATCTAGGTTGAGATATATATATATATATATATATATATATATATATATGTATTTTTAGTAGAGATGGGGTATATGCTACATATATATATACATCACGTGTCTACATAATCTATGTTTAAATGTCTACCTCTGATTGCTTTTTATGAAGAAGAATAAAACTTGACAGCTAATGGACTGATATGATTGGTAACTGTATCTAATTGTATCGGAAGCATAAAATTGTTGCCTGTTTTTAAAAAGTTAGGTTGCCTATGATTAGTCCTCTAATATTAGAAATGTAGTTTCATCCAAAGCTCACTGCCTGTTTGAATTGATGAGGAAAACTGCCAGTTGTATGAACATTCAATTTCATAACTTTAACCACTAAAGTGATATGTGTAAAATGTTCCATATTTTTAGAAAACTAGTTTTAAAAGATATTAAAAGACACACTATACTTAAATTCAAGTTTTCTAGAATTGTTGTTTTGTTATTTAGTATAGCACACTAAAAGTAAATTTCTGGAATTTAGTATGGTTGAAAATATTTTTAAAAGCTGTAAGTGAGGCCGGGTGCCGTGGCTCACGCCTGTAATCCCAGCACTTTTGGAGGTAGAGGCGGACAGATCACTAGGTCAGGAGATCAAGGCCATCTTGGCCAACATGGTGAAACCCCGTCTACTAAAATAAAAAAAAAATTGGCCGGGCATGGTGGCGCGTGCCTGAGTCCCAGCTACTTGGGAGGCTGAGGCAGGGGAATCGCTTGAACCCGGGAGGCGGAGGTTACAGTGAGCTGAGATCGTGCCACTGCATTCCAGCCTGGCGACAGAGCAAGACTCCGTCTCAAAAAAAAAAAAAGCTGTAAGTGGATGGCTCCCAGTATACTTAGTATAACATGGAATTGCTTTGGAAACCCCAGAGCCCAAAACCACTTGTTAATTATTTATGCTACTAAGTCTACATTTTTCACGTTATTCTGGTGTATTCTACAATATGTCTCATTAGAAAATCCAGAAAACATTCAGGGTATGTTTTGACTGAAGTCTCAAAATCAATCATTTTAGCTACTTCTTTTGCATAATAGAAATCTCTTCTAGTGATCCCAGGGACGGCTTCATTTCCTAGCACATCCAGCCTCAATTTGTCCTTACAGGTTTTTATGATAAATCGTAAAGCACACTCAGCAGGAGCTGTTCTATGGAAATAAGTAGTTACGCTTACATTTTTAAGAGTTTCCACTGTGAACAGATAAGAGATTTTTAATGAAGCTACAATTGACAAAGAAAACAAAGTAAATAAAAGCAAGTAGCTATGCATGGCACTAAAATTTACAATGACTATAACAAGCAGAAATCAATCAAATCTCCCACCAGAACAATCCGTTTTCTTATAAAGCACAAAAATCACTTGAGCTGAACAGACAACAAATACTAACCCAAGACACACACATCAACTAATTAAAGGCTGATTTTCCAGAACAGGGAAATGCCGTTCCAGTTTATTGATGTCTAAAGGCATTTTTTTTTTCCTCTCAGGAAAATGTATGCTTAAAGTGGTTTGAATAAATTCTGATATATCATTTCTGTAAAAGGAAGTGAGGAGAAGGTAGGGAAAATAACATTCCTACTCCCTAAATAAATTAGCTCTGTTTAAAAGGGCAAGATGAATTCACTACTTTAATGGTGACTTCCATTAAGGTGGAATAGTAATACTAACCCACTTCAAACTACTGGCAGAATATGAGTAAACCAAGAACAGTGAGACTGGCCCCTTTAAAAAGGGGTCCGGACATATACACAAACTTTAATTCTATCATGCAATAAGAAAATGCTGAATAAATTAACTTTTCAAAGGGCTACTATACCTTAGTTCCTCATTACAGATCTCATTACAGGCTGTCTTTATAATGCTCACCTGACAATATCATGTAAAATGCTTAGCTTCCAAGGTCAGTCTAAATAAGAGAACAATTCTCCTATTTATAGCAAAGGATGAACTTTTCTCATTTAGACGTTTAAGCAGCTAACCCCTGAGTTTAATGTAATTAGGGACGGGATATTCAATTTACAGTATCCACAAGTAATGATAATTAAATTGATCCAAAAAAGCTGTTGGTAAGCATAAGATACCTTTGTAATTACATCCCGTTTTCAAAATGACTTTAGTACTGTGAACTTGAAGCATTTCAGCAAATGAAGGCCAATACACATAAAACGAAAACTACAGTAGCTAAAAGCTAGACTGTTTAACATAATGAGCAGCACTACGGGGGGAAATCTTGAAAACATTCTATAGCTTACCACAACAGCCTATGCTTTCTCCTTTCCTCTCACAAATATCCATTAAAAATATGCAAGAGAGTCTTCATTTTTCACCAAATAAATTCTTCATTCATACAGTCATTTTTTTTTTCACTTTTAAAGGAAACTAAAGAAACAGTCCCTCTTATTTTTCTGTTACTCAACGTCACAAGCTTCAGTTTTGTGTTTATTTGAAAGAAAAGATGAGAGCTATGAATCTGAAACCATTTTCCCTGTGAGTCCTGAAGATTGGCTAGGTCAGCATTCCACCAGGACCAAGGTGAAAAATAAACAAATAACCATGTTCACAGCAGCTGCAGAGATCAGTCTCTGGAAAATTATTCAGGCATTATGAGAAAGGCAATATTAAATGCTGCCACTTGCAGCTTCACGGCTCTCTGAATATTCGCATCAGAAAGAGAAGAGCACTTAAGGGGTATCATCAGAGAGCTCGCGCATCTGAGCATCTTCCATTAAGTTTTTGTCTTAAAGGAGGAAGGCGGGAACCTCTGCTTGACAGGCAAAAGGCTTGTCATAATTCATTAATATCACAGCCTTGCCCAGGTTTCCTTCAATGAGCCAGGCAAGATGCCTATGAAAAAGTGCTGAGCATACAACATCTCCAAAGATGCTGCTGTAATGAACTTGGTACCACTTGGTGCTACTGCACTAGAGGCTAAAGACCTCCAATAGTACTTCCCATGTGAAAGGTGATCTAATAAACGTCATCTCACTATTGCATAGACCAATAATTTCTGCATCAAATTCCAAAAGGATAGGTAAAAGAAATAATTTAAAACATTGCCAAACTATGAAAGTTTAGAAGTTCCTGGTACTATTAAGGCATACCTTCGAGTAAAACACAAATATAATATATTCAATCAGGGAAAAAATGACTGGTCTTAATAAATGACAGAAATCTGAAATTACAGAAGTCTTTATACTGCTGTTTCTTTTGACAAAATTATTTCAAGGGAATGTACAGAAACATCAATTCTGCATGATTCCAATTAAACAAGCAATTTAATATAAAATAGATTACATTAGTCGCCCCTTATTTGCAAGAAATACCTTCCAAGACCCCCAGTGGATACCTGAAACTGAACGCTATATATACTTGCTTTGTCCTTAAATACACCTAGGAAAGGTTTGATTTATAAATTAGGCAGTAAGAGATGAACAACAATAACCAGTAATAAAATAGAACAATTATAACAGTATAACTAACAAAAGTTATGTGAATGTGGTTTCTCTCTCACAAAGTACCTCACTGTACTGTATGCACTTTATTTTCAAACCGTGGTTTACCATGGGTAACTGAAACTGCCAAAAGTGATCAGGGGGGACTACTGTATATACCAAAACACATCTGGTCCCTAGTAATATTCATCTACGTTTCCAGAACAGAATATCATACACTGATGTCTTTTCATTTTCCTTTCCCAGTTTCTTGCTTAACACACTCAAGAAAAAGGATTTTGGTTAGGTATTTACTCTTTTTTCATTTACTTGGCAAAAAATAGGAAATTAGAAAATGCACGAAACCCATCTGCAAATCAGCAGAAAATAATACAACTAGTTATAAAAACAGTAGCAGTAAGAGGGGAATACTACATAGACCTGCATACTAGTTTTATTAATTTTACTTTATTAATTTAAGAAATAAAAGTCATCTGTTCTATTTAGCAAATACACTGAAGATGGTTATAAATTTTTAAAAAACCAATATTATTTTTACAGTTCTAGGTCAACATGATCTTGGGTTAGTGAATCAATGACAATTTCTTTTTAATAATTGTCATTAACTTTATTTTAAACTCCAAATACAATATCTATTTGTTTAAAGTGCATGAAATCAAGTCTTAGCATTAATGTATATAGCGATCATTAAATGAAGGTACAATCTAACTGAACAGAAATCAATAACTGTATTTAATGACTTCATAAGAAAAATAAATGACCCTCACACCCTTAATGGATTAGTGTCAGTTATGAGCAACACAACATCACATAATGCTGACACAGTCTCACTCAAAGTGGTATCACTTTTCATATGAGTGCCGTAAAGCCTTATCAAAGGAAATTGTGTTTTAATGCTATTTTGGATGTCATTTTTGAGAGGATTTTTACAATCCCATTTCATAAGGCATAAAGCATGCTCTGAATTGTTCCAAGGAGCTTTTGTCATTGGCACACGTACTGGGTCACCCTTTGAAAGCTTTCCAACAAAATGAAATCCTAAATATCTAAAAAGGATAACAATTTATAATATTACTTAAACAACTAGTTTATTGCAGCTTGTCTCCTTTGAATACATATTCCCTCAATGGTACTCTCAGAATGCTTTTTTTCTGGAAGAAGCCCATGCTACATATATGCACTGTGGCCTGCTCCACACATGCAACACATGTGCTTCAAAAACACTTAGAAACTGCTTGATGATCAAAGCTCACACAAAAGAAGGCCACAAGAGTAGAAAGTTGATATGCAGCTAGGAATTTATCAACTCACTAAATTTTCTAGGAAGTTTATATAAGAATGCATTTTTCTTTCCTTCTAAGAACTAATTGTCCTTCTTAAGATGGAAAATTGTCACGTCTCATGGCATAAAATTATAGAAAAATATAAACCACTCCTTCCTTTCACTTCTTGAAAAGATGCTAAAAATACCTATCCTTGTAATATCCTTTGCTGACAATTTGGCTTTTGACTGTAAAAAAAAAAAAATGTTGACATGATGAAATAAAACTTTAGTAAATATGCAATAGTCTGGGTATTTAAATCCTATCAAGTGATGAAACCAGTATCAACAGAAATAACAATGATATCTTGATGCTGTAACTCAGTTTATTGTTATTTTCTCCTGCATAATTTAAAATTCACTTCTGACTGATTCAGCAGTCATCGAGCAAAACTTCCAGTAACCTCTCTGAAGATTTGGCACAGATAAGAAGTTCAGAATAGGAACAAATGTGCAGTGATACACAGAAGCTACTACAGTATTTCTAAAAATAGCAGGGTTTCAGGCTTTCAGTGGCTTAGGATTCTCATGAAACGAAACTGAAAAATTCTTAAGATAGAACCAGGAAACTGTAGCTAAAGATTCCTGACTGACATGAATATTACTTCCTTTATCCCAAAGGATATAGTAACTCCTCGAGCAAATGTAGCATCATAATTAGTTATAATTGACTTTGTCTTTTAATTTTTAAGCCAATCTATAAATTATGGATTATTGTGTCAACTGGAAGACAGTTTCTGACACCATCCCGTATATCTCATTACTGTAATCAAAACCAAGTTCCTTATCAGGATAACTTTGCAGTCTGCCAGATTTTTAAATCATTTCAGGAAATGTTAGCTTATATTACTGAACCACTTGCACAATTTTAACATATGCTGTCATAATTCTAACGTGGCTTCAAATACTATTAAAATGTATAGTGCCACTAGGAATTAGAGGAGGATAAATTCAAGCTTATAAGGAGAGATCCTACCCTTATTGTCTCTTATTTTGAGAACCACCCTATCTGGGCTACCTGCTTTCTTTTCTATACTCTGTCCCCATCCATCTTCTTCCTTCAGCTCAGCACACCTGCTGGGTAGATGCAGTCCACTGCCATTCCTCTGAAATTAATGGAGGGCTAGCATGTACCTGTTCTTCTCAGGCACTCAGCAGGTGCACTTTACCTGGAACATTGGGAATCAGTGAAGCAACTGAAAGAGAAGGATTTATTTCTCTCTTTCCAATTACTGTTCTGCATCCCAATCCCTTCCTTCTTACTTTACACCAATGTCCATGGCAGCACCTGCTGACAGTGTAATGCAATACTATTGCAACCTGCCCCATGTCAAAAGTGGATTCTGTAGGTGTCCCACATTAACATCTATGGTGAACAGTTTAAAGCTAGTAAAAAGTACTTCCTTGGGACTTCTTATAATCAACTGAATATAATTCACCTTTAAAAGAAAAGACTGGAAAAAATGCAATTTTCACTACCATGTTTCAAGAATTTCAACGCAATCCTTCAACAAATTTGAAAACACTATCCGCCACTACCATTTGAACATTAATGAAATATACTGACAAAAATATAAATATAAATATTCTACATACCAAAACTACCACAGTATCATGTTTATATAAATTAATCAAAAACATTTATGGCTAGTGAGTTTGATCGTAAATTGTAATAACTTTTCTACAAAAGACACACACACACACACATAAATTTCACTGCAATTTTTAAAGTAATGGAATTAAGCAGGTAGAGTATTGTTTAACAATATTCAGTGACATACATTAGGGAAATTTATTCACTAACCTGACAAACATCCTATGTGCCCCAAGCCGAACCACGATTAATAAACATCTCCTAAGGTTTACATAAAATATTTGTCTGTTAATGGTTTTGTGGAGGTAGTTTTTTGCCTTAACGTTTACTTTATTAATTAAAAAGTACTGACCACACTGTATTCAGAGAAAAACCTCATTATACATTTTTGTTTGCAAAACACAGTATTTAAAAACCAGGAGCAGGCTGACTGCCTCAAAACTGAGTTCAGGAAAATAATTTAAAGTTCTTGATTTGCTACAGTGTTCTGAAATAGTAGATATGAAGTACTATGTACATCTGTGTAGGTTAAATTACCTTTTTATTCTCAAAAATGTTCCTGTATCTACTATGTGCCCTATCCTGGGAAGGCAAGAGGCAAGGTAACAAAAACACAAGCAGGCATGAAACACAACTGCAGCGGCTGGGAGAGGTCATGAAATGACAAGTGTGCAGTTCAGCATCCAGTGTGAGCTGGTGCTCCCCAGGCCAAGAGTTAGCAAGTTTAAGCTTGATACGATGCCTAAGATACCACCAAGGTTGCCAAGTCCCTTCATAAGGTACCATCTCAGAAACTCTGTCATTCACAACGTCACTTTAAATGTATTTTTCATGCAATTTTTCGCACAACTAACATAGATAACGGGGTATTTTACGTCATGCAACACTTTGAGCACTCCATCCCATTCACTTTTCCATGAAGTCAAAAATTATAACCATTTTTTCCCCTGGAATCTGACATCTGTATGCACGCACTACAATATGATTTATTGTTTGGTGAGCTCCTGACTCACAACGCCCAGCAGAGGAGAGCACTGAGGATACTGTCACCCAGCACTGTCCCTCATCAAGGCAAAAAAGGGCAGAATTTTAAAGATAGTACCAATGACCTCATATGATTCCACATCCAAAAATTGATCACAGGATAACCTAAGTAACTCCTGTCAATCTCAGCTGGTTATCATGGCTAGTTAAACATGACAAAAACAAAGCTATAGCTCATCTTTGAGAAACACTCTTATTTATTACTGAAATATTTGAATACCTATGGTTATTCAAAAGGCCAAGTATCTCACGTAACAACATCATCATTACAAAGATACAGCCCTCGCTATTAACAATTTATAATACTACATTGTCCGAACGGTGGTCATGAGTTTCTAGAGGAATATAGTGAGAATTAAGACATTCACACCTTTGAAATGTGTCTCTACTAAAGCCCTTCCTAATCTTCCCAGCTGAGAGTTTCTGCTTTCTCCAACAGAATTTGGTCTTTACTCCTCTTACACATTTTATCATTTTCTACCTTGTATAATATTTTTTACAT
The DNA here is from genome assembly GCF_000001405.40 of Homo sapiens. Lineage (NCBI taxonomy): Eukaryota > Metazoa > Chordata > Mammalia > Primates > Hominidae > Homo > Homo sapiens. The sequence continues at coordinate 182,489,956 of NC_000004.12, read as the reverse complement.
GTTTTGAGTTTCTCTAGTAGACTGTTATTTCTATTAAGGCAACATCCCAGAAGGGGGAGAGAGGAGGAAAGAAAGAGGAAGGGAGGAAGGGAGGAAGGGAAGAAAAGGAAGGAGGGAGGAAGAAAGGAAGGGAGGGAGGGAAGGAACAGGGCGAGAGGAGGAGAGGGGAATGGAAGGAATAAGGAGGGAAGGGAAGGAGTAAGGAAGAAAGAGGAGAAAAGAAAAGAAATAGGCAATGTTTTGCTTAAGGAGCACATACTGTTAGCTTTACTGCAAAAGAATTTTGGATAATTTGTAAGCGGTAAGCAAAGGTTTCATGAAATTATGTTAGTCTGTTACATGTGATGAGAAAACCATCAATCATTTCAACAGTATGGTGTTTTTATAACTCAATACAGGTTGGTTTTTCTTTCTATTAAAGTCTAAATATTTTACACATGCCCACTATGTGACTTGGCATGTTTACCCCCGTCCTATAAATCCACACAAACCCTGAATATTTAATTTACTACTAAAATAACCAAAGGTTATTTCACTGTTCCTAAAAAGATACTAAACTGGTTTGGAAATTTCTACTCTAAATCATTTTAGGTCAGAGTAATATTTGTCTGGTAAGAATAATTATAAAACTGTAGCTTTAGAGATCACATATACATAAAAAATTAGAGAAGAAATTCAATTATTTTGAGAGGACACATTTTCCCTTTATTAGAGCACATTATAAAATGTACTATTTCTCATAAGGCTTCATGCGTTCAAAATAAAATTCTGGCTCCAAAAGTGAATATGTTTACTTAACAATTTAAGAGTCTCCCTTAACGATCAAATTCTTTCCACTGCACAAATAAAAACCTGTCAAGACTGCCAAGTATCTTATGTCCAGAAAAGCATGTATACTCACTTTTCAAGAAAGTAATAAAATCATTTAAAAATGAAGAGTAGAAAGTCATCTTTTAACTCTTGAATAACATTATGTAATTACTCATTTAAGAGTGAAAATGAATCATTTTTTTCAGCAGCTGCAAATGACTGTTAGGCCCAGGTCCTTCAGTTCCTCACCCCTTGCTACCTCCGCTTCCCACCTCCACTGGCTTCTGTCCCAGCATTCTCCTAGAACTTTTAAATTACTAATGCGTTCTGGTTTCATAAACACACGTAAATTACATTACCTATTACATAATTTTATATAGTCTTCATTCTAGATCCCTCAACTAAAATGAAAACCTTCCTCTTGAAATTGTTTCTATCTTAGTATTCGATGACATTAGGCTTTCAGTTGTCCTGTCTCTGACTTCTTTCCGTGGTATTCATTAACTACCAGCTTCTTATTTCCCCTTGAACTGATGATTTTCTTCCTTTGTTTTCTTGGCTTGACTCCTTATATGGCTTTCTATACAAGATATAAGTAAAAGAACAAAATGAAATTGACATTCCCAGGTTTGGCCATGCTCTCCAGCACTATGTTTAATATCTCTATTTGTATGCAGAACAAAATTATATAGATAACTTAGCAAGTCTTAATTTCAAAGCTCTTTATTTCCTGCTATATTTAGTCACTCATCTCCCCCTCCTCAGTGACACCATCTAAAAGAACTCCTTCTTGGAAATTAAATACATCACCAAATCATGATACTTTGTTTTTTTCTGCTGGTATGTATTTTTTAGAACCCTCTTTCGATTTGGACAGCCACTATGCTAATTGCTTCAAGCCTAGACTCCTTTCCTGCCTCTCTGATTCTGGTCTCTCAAACCAAACTGTTTCAACAATGACCCCCTTCAAGTGGCAAATCCTATTCCTTTGTGCTTGTCAGCACCGTCTTGCCCATCATTATCCACTTGTGTTGCAGATGTTTGTCATCACTTGCAAGCAATTAATCATTATTTTTATGTCCTTGCTTTTGCCATCTTATCCAAAATACATGCACTTCCTCATCATCTGTATAAATGTTTATCTCTACTTCTTGCAAACCTGGTTTAAAACTCATTATTGCCATACATAACTTCCTATTTTAACCCACCATATTCTAGAATTCCTGTTATAATTTGCCCAACCATTTAAAGGCTCTGTTTGCACTACAAAAACTGCTTCACTGCATTTAATAAATATTTATGAGATACGTACTATGTTCACCCACTGGACCTGAGAATAAATGTTTGAATGAATCCCTTAAATTTTATTTAGGTCTCATTTTAAAGATATCGCAAGCATCTATCATGTGATTATGTTACCTGCATCAACTCCTTGAGGGTAGAGAAAAATCATATTTTACATTTTGTAAAATATGAACATCTAGCCAGCATGCTTAGCGTTAAAAGGGCACTTATTAAACTGCACTGGCCAGAGTAGCCTAAGTAGCTCAGTTGGGAGAGTGTTAGACTGAAGACCTAAACTGCACTGGCCCATCAAAATTATTTTCAGTGGTATACTTAATACACCAAGGTTCCAAATAATGAAACCAGAACTGGGTTTATTAATTCTACCGCCCTAACCAAATGCACATTATTTTGCATTATGAAAATGAAATTACTCTATTATTCTTTTTCAAAAATTTTAATTTGTAATCTACACAACCTTGATATGCGATAGTTAAATACAGTTAATCTGTTATCTATAGTAATTCAACGATAAAGAGACAAGTACACAAAATAATAGTAACCATAATAATCACCAGTTTCACACTTCATCCCGGGCTTTCCATACAGGTAACTTTGGTATCAGATAAGAGGAACATAAAACTATATTACAACACTAGTTTGCAGCAGTCATAAAAAGGGCTAGCTATGGCTGTTTCTCTTCCACATTGTATCCCACACTCTGGTGACTCACCAAATTCTAGAAACCACGTGCAAGAATTAGCGGGTTAAAGGAAATGTCCGCTGTGGAGCTCCTTTAACACTGCTGACATTCAGAACAAAGTTATGATACCGAGTGAGATGTGGTACTAGATGACTCACATAGAGGAAGAGAAAAGAGAAAACAGGGGGTCTCGTCATGTAATACAATGCTTTGTTCCGTTTCTTTTGCCAGGAACTGGATGTCTTTCTAGCTTAGATAACTAACATCATCTGGAAGACCCCCAAGGGACTAGACTCATCTTAAAACCATTTTAGAAATTTCAGTTTCCTTAAGGCCAAGGCAGTGTATATTGAGGGTTATCTATATTAAGCTTAGCCCTTTACAATAAGACAATCTGGACCACAACTGGATCACCCTCATGCCCTTGTCTGAGAAGGTAAGACACAGTCCAGATGGAAACTCTTCAGGCTCTCCTGCAATAAAAGTGCAGCATATGGGGGTTCTAGCTCTGCATTTTTCTGTGGCTTTTGTGATCCTGGACCTTACATAAAATTTCTATTACCAAGATTTTTGTTGATTTACTTTGATCAGCTTAATTCTTTTTGCAAGTAACTGTTCATTATATGAGAACAGCATTGACTATTTTAGGTAACTAGTTGTGTCAGTGATTGGCAGCTATAAACTGTTAATAAAATCATGCTCCCCATTCCTACAAAGGAGGTGTCTCTGGGATGTGGCCATCCAGCCAGTTAATATAGTTCCTTGTTTCCCTATATTTTAAAGTTTATTTATTATAGTAGCTCATATTTCCCATAGGGATGACCACCCACCCACCCTCCCCCCCACACACAATTAAAATACTTCTTAAGAATGAAAGGTAACAAAGTAGAACCTTTTTCTTTTTTAAATCTTTTTAAAAGTTTATTTAAAAGGGTTTTTAAAAGCCTGGATGCTTAAAAATCTTCCAGTGGCTTTCCATCTACTTCCAGATAAAGTCCAAATATCTCAGTTTGGTTTCCATCTTTATGGTTATTCTTCCACACCTGCACTCTGATGGTTTTAATCTATGTGCAGCTCCCTGACACTGTCTTCCGGCTCCAGCTTTGGACATGCTACCTACTCTGCAAAACCGACACCACATATGTCCCTAGCTCAGCTTTCCTTCTCTTCATTGCTCAGGTATCAGCTTAAACGTGATTTCCTCCAGTAGGTCTCTATAGAATCCCCTAAGGTGGGTTAGCTGCCCATCTTCTGTGCTACCATTGAATCCTGTACATAAAACTGTATAAAACCAGTGTCATACTCTACAATCTCCTGTTTCCTTGACTGCATTTCTGAATCGACTATAAACACCTTGAGAACAGGGATGCTGTCTTTCTCAGCATTGGATCCCAACAGCTCACATGGTACACCTAACACCAGCATTTGCTCAATAAAATATTACCGAAATACTGGTTTTTCAGATTTTAGTTTAAAATACCAAATTCCAGAAACCCACAGATAAATCATATCAAACTCCATCACACTTTTTTGCTTCTATGTTCACTATTTACCTCTAAAGCAAAGTATCAAATATTGAAAAATTTAGTGAGACTCCAGTATGTATTTATAAACATACTGTATGTATGCATATATGTGTCACATACAGTATGTGAGACAAATGTATTTATAGTTACTTGGTTAAATTTATTGATTGCTTGGTCAGGATTGAAATTGGGTATAATTGCATGTTACTGGATGAGGATGATAAATTGATATATAATATCCTTTGTTTTGGAGTCTGAAAAAAAAATTTGTGAAGTCATCTGAAATGTTCATTTCCATAAAGTTGCCATTAGACAAAGGGATCTCTGTCACTCTTTTAAAATTAACCAGTTAATACTCTTACAACTCCAGTATCAGCAGTTTTGCTGATGCATTTGTAATGAAGGGGAAAATGTTATATATACACTTATGTCACTCCTAAAAATACAAACGAGGACAGGGCTGTGAAAGCCATTTGCACATCCATTACCAGAAAATACTGATTTATATACCATACCACAATTTTTCAGTGCCTGCAAGGAACATGGTATACCTTTATTTATAGGAGGTATAAGATAAAATGTCTTCTTGAAAGTTTTTGAATTATTAATAAACTATGAAAAACAGATTTATAATAAAGGTACTATGTATCTTTCTAAGTTAAAATGAAACATCATAAAATGTCTAACATGGCTTAAAACACGGAGTATCTGTGGCCATTAGAGAACTATTAATTTAGTAGTGTATATTAAATGATAATATTTGCATTATCTACTGTACTGAATTTTTTAACAAGTTAATTTTGTCTTATAATTCCATAAATAAATTAATTCAGACATAGTATCAACTCAAGTAGCTTTCATGATCATTAACAGTAAATCACACAATTATCAGTAACTCTAAGAAGGACCAATTTGCATAACTTTTAATACATTTTGAAATGGGTACTCCAGTTCAGAAATAACACGACAGCTTTTCTTTATCATTAATTTATTTAATATTAATATTCCTGAATCTTTCCTGACATACAAAATTTTAACAAACAATTCTCATAGGTAGGCACACAATCATTCAAAATTAATCGTATTCAAAGGGTAATTCATATCAACCAACTTCTAAAACTTTCTCGTTTTCCCCATGTATTAAAAATAACCACATGGAACAAATAAGGTAAAGTATTACCACTGTTCTGTCAGCTGTGAAAGGGAAAACAAGGAAACAGAGCCTATAAAATTGATTGGTAATAGTGCACTCTATACACATGAGAAGTATGGTAATGATTCGGAGCATTAAGTGTTAAGCCACACTGCCTGGGTTCAAATCCTAGCTCCACAACTGACTAGCTGCATGACCTCAGGCCAGTTACTTCATCTCTTTTTCACCTCATTTCTTGTAAAATGGGTGGTAAAAATAGTACCTATTTTATCGGATTGGTGTAAGGATTAAATACACTCATCTATGCAGAGTACTTAGAACAGTACCTGGCACTTGATGTTTGCTGCTATCATCACTTATTTGCTACTGTGTGGGTGTCTAGTCATTGTCATAAATGCTAGAAATAACTTGATAGTAAGAAAGCATGAGTCCCGCTCTCATGAAAGTAACAGGCCGATGTGGTTCGGGTTTGTGTCCCCACACAGATCTCATGCAGAATTGTAACCCTGAGTGCTGGAGGAGAAGCCTAGTGGGAGGTGACTGGCTCATGGGGGAGGACTTCCTTGTCGTTCTTGTGATAGTGAGTGAGTTCTCGCGAGATCTGGTTAAGAATGGGTAGCACTTCTCCCTTCACTCTCTTCCTCCTGCTCTGGCTATGTAAGACATGCCTCATTCCTCTTTGCCTCCTACCATGATTCTAAGTCTCTTGAGGCCTCCCCAGCCATACTTCCTGTACAGCCTGTGGAACTGTGAGCCAATGAAACCCCTTTTCTTTATAAAGAAAAACTACCAGTATCAGGTAGTTTTTTTATAGCAATGTGAGAACAGACTAATACACAGACATACTAATGGATATACTGACAATCTTGTTATATTGCTATACCTTCCTAGACATACCTCATTGTTGAGATATATGGGATCACACATTGCTCCTTTTGTTATTAGTATAGTAGTTCCATTTCTAATTTCTAGAAACAATGGTTAAATCACATCTAGGAGAACTGGTATCAAATGACCCTAATATTTGAGAAGCTGAGTTGCTTGATCCTTTAGGCTCTTACATTAACTATGTGACTACAAACTAGCATCAAGTCATTGGCTTGCAACTGTCCTTCAATATGGCATAAAGTGCTGGTATTAAATGATAGCTCTGGAAAATGGTACTGTTACATAAACATAAACACACACCAGTGCACGTCTACTATTTATTCCAACCATCTACTATTTCTGCTACAGAGACACGTTGATAATGTGCCATAGAGACAAACACAATGTTGTTAGTCCAGCTAAAAATCTCAGCACTAGATAAAGCAAGAAAACAATTTTGTATTTTTGGCAACGCATATGAAACATGCATTAATGAGTTCTGCTTTAAAGCTTGAATATGAAATTGTGGTGATGATATGCTCCGTAAAGAAAAAAATAGCTGAAGAACAAACATGTTCTTTTTCTTTTCCTGTAAATATTCCTAAAGCAATATGAAAATTTGGGTAATATTCTTAATTTCAATGAAAACTTTAAGTATATGACATGTAGAGAGCTAAAACAAATCTAAAAGGAATCTGAAATCCAAAATTAATTCATATATTGAAGGTCTACACTCGTAACTGCTTCCTTGGATCTTTTTAATTTTAATGACCTCTTTTAAGTACACTGTGATATGTTACAAAGAAGGCATCTTATGGGAGAAGGCCATAAAAATAGACCATATTCCTGTGTAATACCTACCTACTGTTTCTGAAAAGAACTGACATGAATGCATACATCTCAAATAATGCAGGTGTGTCAGAGACAATGCTGTCTTGCCATGTACAAGACAATGCCTATGTGTAGACATTTTCACAGGTTAGCAAAATTATACTAAAATTGCAAAAGGTTAAGAAAGAAATTTTCTCATTTTATTTTCAATTTTTCTTGTATTCTAACCTACAGTGCAGTGAAGATTCTGTTCTGCAATGCCAAAATTTAATCATATTGATATATTCCACAATAATAGTTGCAGGATTACACTGAAGGGTAATTTTTTTAAAATCACAATTAGTGGTGGTACCTTCCACATTACATTCTGCCCATGTTATTAAAAGGCAAATAAAATCAATGTATGTATTATGTTCATAGGAACATACAAAAAATCTACAATATAGATATAAGCATATTAATAACTAGGTTTACTTTATCCTTATTTTGAAAGAAAAGGAACCATAAATTGAAAAGCATTATTGTAATTAAGCCAAACGTATTTATAGTAAAATAAGAGTTACCCTTCAAAACCTATTTTTCAGTGAGTGATTCTAGGTCAGCATGTCTCAATGAAAATCACTGAATTTACATTATTTTTATAAGTTATAGATACAATATTTAATAAAATTCAATGTATAATTGGTGGCTTTTGTTTTAGGTTCATAGGTAAAAACTGAAGTATAAGTTTAATTAACATTGCATTTAAATATACTCAATTAAGATACAGTATCTGCATTTACTTCAGTGTTGTGCACTGTCTAGAGAAATTTACTTCTTTGGTATGTCATATTTTGCCTTCCATTACAATAACCAGAAATGAAAGAAAGTAACAAAGAAAATATCACTTCTTAAATTTTGATATAAAGCAAAAAATCATTAAGTTATTGTTAGAAGTAAATTATAATTGTATTGTATTTTATTGTATTGAGTGAGTGATTGATTTTTGAGACAAGAGTCTCACTCTGTTGCCCAGGCTGCAGTGCAGTGGCACCATCTCGGCTCACTGAAACCCTTGCCTCCTGGGCTCAAACAATTCTCCTGCCTCAGCCTTCCCAGTAGCTGGGACTACAGGTGCACACAGCCATGCCTGGCTAATTTTGTGTATTTTAGTAGAGACGGGGTTTCACCGTGTTGCTCAGGCCGGTCGTGAACGCCTGAGCTCAGGCAATCCGTCTGCTTCGGCCTCCCAAAGTGCTGGGATTACAGGTGTGAGCCACCGTGCCCGGCCTATAATCATATTTTAAAGTAGAAAAATAATTTTAAAAAAATCTCAACGTAAGTGTAAAGGTGAGGATTTACCCTACTGAATAATGAATCTTTAAGCACAAAAGATTGTTTAAAACAGATAACTAACAGGAGCTATACTTATTTCATAAGAATTTCAGAAAAGTCAAGGTAAAGTAAAAGAGAAAATGAGGTGTCTTCTTTATTGTCACAAAGTTCAAGATAAAGAAAAGCGATTTAACTTTTAGGTTTATATCTGGACTTTCTCTTTAACTCCTTGTTTATTGTTACATTTAAATCTTGATTTAGAAATTAGTTTTTCAGTCTGTTTCTTTAAAAAATATATTTACGACTTGTTATAGAAACTCTCTTGGCCTCTCTCTGAATTATTTTTCAGAGTCTGTGTTACAAATTCTCAATTATTCACTTTGGCAAAATGCAATTTCTCAACTTCTAACCCCAAGCAATAGATAAGAGGATTATATTAAAAAAGAAAGAAAGAAAGAAAAGAAAACGACTCTTCAAATAGACTAGTATTTAACAGAAAAAAAGGAAACTCTCTCAACTACTTGTGCCTTTCAAACTCAATAAAATGACTCCGTATATCTCAAAATCAAATACCCAATTCTCTGTTCCCTGAAACAATTGCCTAAAAATATGTCAGTTCAGATTTGACATAATAAAACCATATTTTAGTCATTGACAGAAAATTCATATTGTGTCTAGAGATCCACCACATAAATTCAGAGTTAAAATACAAGAAGCCTAAGAAAATTTCATAAAATATCTATATGCTTTGATTTTTCAAAAAAAAGAAAAATTAAAATGATACAACCAATTGTTCATTAAATAGTACTGTTTTCAAAGATACAGAGTTCCAAATAGAATTAGAACCAAATTTTAACTTTTCATCTTTACGAAGACACTTTTTAAAATTAAATATATATGCATATATATGAATTTAAAGCAAATGTGTTAATATATTAGTTACTTAAGGCCTACAAGCAAACTTAAAAACTGTATTTCAAAAACAATTCTTTCACACTTTGGCAAAAGGAAATTGTGATTTTGAAAAACATCATTAGAAAACTGGCCTGCTGTGTTTCTAGGATATTTTAGCAAACAATTAACGATACCAAGAGCCTCCAGCAGCTATATTTGCAAAAGGCTTCAGTTTGAAAGACTGGGAGAGTGAAACTTAAGATATCTTGCTAAATTACTGTAAAATTCTAGACTCCACTCAAGATTTTACTTGTTAAATTATTATTATTGGTTTTATTTTTAGTGCCAATTTCACTAAGGAAGCTTAGCATGACCAAAATAAGTGAATCTTCCACACAGCTCAGAGAGATTAAAAATGTGATATCTGGAAAACCACTTTTAAAATTCTACAATAATATAGATCGTAATTCTCAAAACAGAATACTGTTGATACAATTTTTGAAACTATAATCAAATACTTCCTGTTGCTATCCATCATACCCAAGGAAGAATACAATATATTAATAGATTATGTGAAAAAAAATAACTATTCTTTACTTTTGTCTTTTCTAAATACATTTATTTTCTAAACGTGCAGGCAACACTTCAGGGAAAAAGACTTTATAATTCCATCCGTTTATTTGTTTTTACAGAATATCAATATCATAAAAAAGGTTCTTATATCTCAGAAATCCTAAATCAATATATATTGGGTTTTCCCTCACAAGAAAATTATACTCCATTAAGAGATCAAAAATATTTACTTCTAATTTTGAAGTTACGTAGAATTCTCCATAGAATGGAAAATGACAAAAAACAATTTATCAGTAGATCCTATGGTTATTTATAAAGAGTCAGAGTACTGTAAAAATAGTATTTTCAACACTACAAATGAGGATTATTACTTCAGTTTCTAAAGAAATGCCTCCCTCAATGCTTTCTTCAAACACTCAAATCCCAGCTTAATAAAAACAAATGGCATTCCTCATTTCTTCAAAATTACACATTCGATATCATAAGCCTTGCTGTTTTAACAAGATGCTACACTTTCCAATTTAGTAATTAAGTACTCATAAGCCTGAGTTTAGGCTGCAGTGTTCTGGGGATGATGGGCTGACTATAATAAATATATTTATAATCGTCAAATTCATGAATTTATTTATATTAAAATAAAATAAATAAAAAGGTAAGTTAATATAAAAACGTAGCCTGACTAATCCATAAAAGTGGTCTTTGGTATTTCATCACAGAACTAAATAAATTATAAACATGTATAGTATCATTAGAAAATTTTAACATTTCTATCCCTCAGTAATTCTACCCACTTCTGAAAATTACAGACTTTTAACTTGCCAAGCTAAAAGACTGTATTTTGTGTCTAACAGGAAACTAAACTGAACACTTAACTATATTGTTAAGGAAAATTATGACAAGTATTGGGTCCAAAGTATTTTACGTACTGAATCTTTTAGTTTCCAACTACAATTTTCAAAAAATTGAAAAACATTTTAAAAGACAAACATTCCTTCAAGTAAAATATACTAGTAAATAAAATGTACCAAATAAGAATCTATCCAATAAAATTTAGCCAACAACCATCAATCATAAAAGTCTTCCATTCCTAAAATAATCCCCACCCTAATAAAACAAAAGGAGTACTTTAAAACCATACATTTCTAGAAACTCTGCATGATTAAATAATATTTTATCTATAATATCATAACTAGTTTTAATATAACCAACACAAAATTTAAGTATAATCCATAAAGATTTGAAGATAAATTTACCCAGGTTTGTGTATTTCCTTTCTGGTTGAAGAGCAGACATCTAGATAAACTTTCCAGGGTTGATATTCTAGAACAATAGTACAAAAGCCTAAAAAAATGCTACAATGGTATATTTATTAACATATAAATTTTTTTACTGCCCTCTAGTGGCAAAGAGTCAAGTCACTGTATAAGGATGAAAGCCTGTGATTGGGAAGACTCACGGTGAGGGCTACAAAAAAATCTTGAAAAATAGTACAGCAAAATTTTACACCATATGGCACACTTCTTTACAGGAGATTAATTATTAAAAAAAAAACTCTACATATGAAACTCAAATTTTTTTCCTAAAAATATTATAAGAATGACATAAGCAGAATGAATATTAGCAAAGTACCGTACATCAACCATTAAATATTTTAACTGGCACTACAATGGCACTAATATTTCAAAAAATAAAATAGTCAATAAATTTTCACATGACATTAGAAAAAATTTGACTAATTCTTTAATTTTACTGGACTGGTTATTTTTAGTGTTTATTTTTAAAGAATGAGAGTAGTATGAAAATAATATTTTCAACACTACAAATGAGGATTATTACCTCAATTACAAAAGTTATTTTTAATTTTTTAAAATTCAAAATTCTAAAGAAAAGTGCAAAAGTGTTTAAGTTCCACAGAAACAAGTAAGCTAAATTAATATTCAGATTTGTTCCTGAAAGACATTTTACAGTTGAAACAGTTCTCACTATGTGTAAAATTGACAATTGGTATGATATAAAAGTATATATAATCTATAACTAAATTAACATTTGTTCTGCTTTGTACCAAATTAGTCACAGGTTCTCTCCAGGTATTTTCCAGAGCATCTGCATAATTTTATTCATTATTTTTTACTTTGTTTTTCAATATTCACTTTCTGTAATTAAAAATATGATTTAAAGACATAAAGTATGATTTTATTTGATTATTAAAAATAAGTATTAAAAAATAAAGTAGATGAACTGCTGTTTATCTGTGTATCTCAGATGTGATTTGTTGCATCTCAGATACAAAATGTATTAAACAGCTTGTGCTATGTAAAGAAAAGTATAATCCTGGAAACTTGGGTAATTTAATCATACAGCTTGTCTTAGGGGAAAATCATAGAATGCAATCAAGAAATAAAGAACGAAAAGACATTATAAACCTGACAGGAAAGTCACTGGAGGAGGGATTCAGGAGGCCGGTGGGAGGGCCCTATGCAGACCCATTCTGAAAGTTTTTAACCTTTAGGAACTCTGTGACCATAAAAAATAAATTTAGGCTTGATATTTGTGTTTACTTGTTTGCTTTCACATGGTGTAAACCATGCCTGGAAGCCAAGGCTGCCAGGGTCTTGCAGGGTCTCAATGAAGGTGGAACGCTGATGACGGCAAAAGACGGAAGACAGTGTCTTCACACTTCCTTCCGGGTAAAACTCAGAAAACAGTCACCCAGGATGCTCATACAAGGCTCTTTCTACCCAAGGTAACAATCCCTATACAACTCTCTAGTCATTTCAAAGGTTCTAGACTGTAAAGTGCTTGAAGGTTTTGATCAAATCGTAGATTTTGAAGAAAATGGACAGTGAAAAGTGCTGCCTCTAGCACACTGTACCAATATACACAGCAGCCAAGGTCACTACTAAAAACAAATTAAAATACTAACTGTGGCACAATCCTTGAAATAAATATTTGAAGTAAAAATATCTCACGGAAATAGTTCTGCCTCATCTTCATTCTGCTATAGATAGCGGCTGTCCTCTGGCATGGAGAACCTTATAAACAGTGTTGAACACAGACTCATTTCAATTGGGTTTAGAAGTAGAACAAGCCTGTTCAGACTAAACTTTAAGAAGTGGACAATAATAACCTTTCTGAAGATTCAAGTATGTCAAAACCAATGTCAGTAATGACCTCCTGTGAGACAACAGGAGAGATGGTATTCTTCAGCTTCTCCCATCGATAATAAGTTCTTATAACATTTACAGCAGCTGATCTTCAAGACCATGTACTTTATCCGTGGAAGTATTGTTCAGCTCACTGTCAGACCTAAAAGTTCACTTCTGCAGTTGATATAGAGGCTCCTAAGGAAAGCATGAGTAAATTCAGAGAATTACAGCAATAAAAACTTGAGAAATGAAATATATGTGTGTCCAAATATATAGATACATATACACACATGTATGTTTCTATATATAATATACATAAATCTTGAAAACATAGAATGGACTGCTGAAATTTTATGCTCTTAGTACCATTCTTTAAAAATAAACATTTTCTAACTCTTCAAAACATTGACAATAAAAATATACATTTCTCCAGCATCACAGAAATCATCAAGCCTGTCTTAAATACTTTAATATGCTATCAGGTTTTTCTTCTCTCCAAACCCAAACAATTAAAAGTCATACACATAACCACTGCCACAACATCTATCTGTTTTTACCAACAAGAGATGAAAAAAGAAATACATCTGTTTTCTGCCTCTGGATATAGAGGAAATAAAGGTTGGCTATAGACTAAAATGGGTTTAAATACAGACATTCATTTTAAACAGCCACTAAAAATCTCTGGGGAGTTTCAGCTATTAGATGAGACTTCACTTAATCAAGTGTAGGTCATTTTGGAATGAGTCAAGTAACACCACCAGGGACTTACTTTGGAATGGCAAATGCCATTTTTAAAAAGCAAAGAGGTTACACTTAGGGCTTCTCTACAAAATCTATTCTAAGTAATTTACACAAAATACTACTGTCCCATATATTCCACTTAAGCTGGAAAATATTCAAATGTACGAGAGAGACTGGAACACAGAGATCAAATTTTGAATATGATAGTACCTAGAAGCCTTGAATTCTCTTCTGGAATCCAATTATCATAGTCACTTGAGGGATACTGAATTATTATTTATCCAATAAAGACGAAGATGGACACATCTGAGTGATTGTTCAATACAGACAGACATTAAAACCATCTGTGACTACAGAAAGGTAAAATGTCTGATGAATTAGTCAGTGAAGATTAAATCCCGAGTGTGAGCTTGCTACTACTTGTCATTTTCACAAGTTAAATTTATGAACTGAATAAAGAAGTATGTATATGTATGCAGATAGATGTTCTGGTTTCTAATAATGCAAGCTACCAAAGTATCAATCTTTTAAGAGCTACAAAATGCTTTCTAAATTTCCTCTAGTATTATGGCATTTCAGTCTAACATTATTAGGCATATAAAAACACACCCCCGTCATCAATGATATGATTTGTTCACTACAACTTCCATCAAGTCATTCTGTTGAGTAAGTTACACTTTCACAAAACTGACCCAGAAAAAAAAAAATTGATCAGTTTTAAATAAGTAATATACACCAATAGTAGACACACCCATTCTCCATTCCACGACCAGTTTTGTATTTACATAATTTGATAATCACTGATATATTTTAAAAAGAATAATTTTTTAAAAAATAACCAACTTTCAAATAAGACGGCAACTTAGGCATAGGCATCTAACAGTCTTCCGTTCTAATATGAAATGAAACGACTTAAAGATACCAAACCAGGGGGTAACCTACCACTAAAGGAGTCCTCCTATTCCAGAAATAGTGAGGAATTTCTGCTGGATCCACAGCAGTTGTGACTAGTGGAAGGAAGGTACCTCCAATAAGTGTGCACTGCCCATCTTCAGAAGCCCTTGCAGTTCAGAGGACTTATATGGGGGAAATTTTAATGAAGCATGACTAACATCAACTCTTTTGAAGAGCTGAAGTGTGTAGATACGAGTAGGTCTCAGAGAGATGGGACAATGTGACTTGCAACCATTATGCACAAGAGGACAACAGCATTAGGGAGCAGCGATAATGGGAAGGTTAAATGCAAAGCTAGAGGCACACATAAACCAGGTAAGTTCAATTAAAAAGAAGGGGATACAATATTAATATCAAATAAAATAGAATTATGATAGAAGAAAGCATTCACTTAGATAAAAAAGGATATATATTAAGGTTACAGCCTACAATGAAAATATAATAGGCATGAACTCTATGTGTCAATAAAGCAAAACAGTAAGAAATATGCACACAAAGAACAGAAACAAAACAGTTTAACAGGTCTTTTAAACCTCTAAAGAAGCAAACAGGCTTAAAAAGGATGTTTGGGATTTATGTCGGTAATTTTCAATCTGGGACAGTTCTCATTGCCTGAGAATGTCTGGAAACGGGGTGTGAAGTTTTTGAGTTGCCACAATGTCTGTTAGCCTCTAAGGATACTTAGACTAAGTGATGTCCCTAAAATATAAGAGACAGTTTCTCAAAAAGAGGAATTATCCCATCCACAATGCTAAATAGTGCCCTAGCTGAATTACACTCACTCATCTAAATCATACATTTAAATATGGTTGAATGCATAGAGAGCAAATGCTGATGCCTACAAATAAGAATATTTTCAAGTGCATTAATAATCATAATATGATCATACATAAAAATGTACCATCTATTAGACCAGTGGTCTTCAAGCCATGGTATCTATAATCCTGTGAGTAAAAAATTTCTAAGGGGTAGGTAAGCCTGAACAGTTGCAAAGGAATTCATTTCAGGCCCTTATATTGACTTGGCTGATCTGGTACCTACAGAAGAGCTTCTTTTCTCATCTACCTAGAAACTTACCATGAGGCAATGCCCATTCTAGAGCAGCAAATCAAAGAGCCACGAACAATTATAATTACCACCTCATCTCATCAGGAGATACATTTCCAATACAATTTTATTTATTTATATTTAAAATTATTTTTGGAGACAGGGTCTCACTTTGTGGCCCAGGCTGGAGTGCAGTGGCACAATCATAGCTCACTGCAACCTTGAACTCCTGAGTTCAAGCTATCCTCCAGCCTCAGCCTCCAGAGTAGCTGGGACTACAGGTGGTGCCAACATACCTTGCTAATATTCTTATTTTTTGTAGAGACAGGGTCTCATATGTTGCCCAAACCCCTGGCCTTAAGCAATCCTCCCACCTCGGCCTCCAAAATTGCGGAGCCACAGTGCCTGGCCACAAATTTTTTATTTTATTTTATTTTTTTTTAGATGAAGTCTCGCTCTGTCGCCCAGGCTGGAGTGCAGCGGCGCGATCTCGGCTCACTGCAAGCTCCGCCTCCCTAGTTCACGCCATTCACTTGCCTCAGCCTCCCGAGTAGCTGGGACTACAGGCACCCGCCACCACGCCTGGCTAATTTTTTGTATTTTTAGTAGAGACGGGGTTTCACTGTGTTAGCCAGCATGGTCTCGATCTCCTGACTTCGTGATCCACCCGCCTTGGCCTCCCAAAGTGCTGGGATTACAGGCATGAGCCACGGCACCCGGCCAGTTTTTATAAACAATAATTTTTTATTAGAGCGTACATGTTTGGTTTTGGATCAAGTGTGTACAGATTATAACAGTATTTGGAACTCAAAGAAGAGCATTTGTTTCTGAAATTCAAAGAAGATCTTTGTTTCTATCTCTTAGGACCTTGAAGCCATAGACATTTTCCAAATATATATATGGCTGCATTTGTTGCAGAAGGGTACAGTAAGTTGAACAATAAAGGAATTTCAAGAATAAAGGTATATTATATTAAAATATTCCAGGAAATGTGGAATGAAAATACAAATTTCAAAGAGAAGAAATAATGTAAAATATTCTAGTGTTGAGGAGTTTCGTAAATTATTAATAAATACCTGATGGTGAGCATCCGATTGGAAGAGCATATAGTATTTGTTTATAATTATCAATGGACACTGAATAGTCATGATATAATAGAGGCCAGCAGTTCCAGACCAGCCTGAACAACATAGCAAGACTCTGTCTCCACAACAACAACAAAATGATACAATTAACCGGGCATGATGGCATGCACCTTTAGTCCTAGCTACTTGGGAGGCTGAGGTGAGAGGATAGCTTGATCCCAGGAGGTCAAAGCTGTAATGAGCTATGATCATGCCATTGCACTCCAGCCTAGCAACAGAACGAGACTCTCTTAAAAAAAAATTGTGATATAACAATTTATTTAAAATATCAATATTTGTCATACACTGGAAATTAATCCTTTGCAATTATTTTTACTTGTGATGAAAAGTATTTGACTTCAACTTTAAAATGTGTAGGAGGGTATTGAGTTCATCAAATTCTTTTAGTGAGTATGTAAGCAAAAAGTTTGAAGATCACTATGTAAGAGGCAAAGAAAACCCTTACAAATCTTTAAAAAGCTTACATATCCAAGCCACATTTTCTGTTATCAATGAATTAAACCTAGAAAGTTTTAAATAGTAAAAATCAAAATGTCTAGAAAATCAAATATTCAATCACAAAATGTACACAGAACAATTTTAAAAAGAACACCTACACATGGAATGGGGACAAAGTTGCATTTAGCAGCATATTAATAGCCATAATTATGTCTAAGAAAAAGAAGGGGATTAATAAAGATTAGAGTAGAAATTACAAATTAGTAAATTGAGAAAGTAAGGTTCAAAAAATATGTAAGACAGAGACCTCTTGCTAATCATGAAAGAAATATAGAGAACATAAATTTGCAAATTTTAAGATGAGAAAATGGAAGTTACAGTTACATTTAGGCAGAATAATAAAAAGTTCAAGGTCTAAAAAGAATGGAGAACTAATTTATAGCCTCTGCTCTATAATTTACTTGCAAGACAAAAATCCCTTGAAATTCAAGAGTCCACTCAACAAATTTCCCCCTAGGTATTTTTAGTAATTAAAATTAACTACTCTTGTAACTTTTAGAGAAATTCTAATTGGAAACAGTGACAGAGGGAGAGTCCAGAGAACTATAACTCACTAAAATGAAATGACACCATCTTAATTACCTTTGCTTATAAGGATGATTTAATGAGGTTTTAAAATAAAAGTTGACTTCTGAATACAATTTTTAAGAAAACAGGTGAATAAGACATATGATGTACTGTGCTATCCTAAGGAATAGTGCTTAAATAATCTATTCACCTCGGATTATTTCTTAAGTACACTATTTCATGACATGTTTATTTTATAATATAATTACTTTATAAGTAAAAGCATTTATACATGTTATAAACATATACTTACACACACACACACACACACACACAGAGGCATGTGCCACATAACATTTCAATGATGAACCACATATATGATGATGCTGGTCTCATAAGATTGTAATATTATATTTTTACTGTATCTTTTCTGCTTAGATACACCAATACATACCATTGTGCTACAACTGCCTAAGGTATTCAGTAGAGTACTCTGCTGTACAGGTTTGCAGCCTAGGAGTAACAGGCTATACCATACAGCCTAAGTATGCAGTAGGCTATACCATCTTGGTTTGTGTAAGTACACTCAGTGATCGTAGCACTACAATGACATCACCTAACAATGAGATTTTCTTAGACTGCATCCATGTCTTTAGGCAACACATGACTGTGTAAGAAAGTTCATCATACACACACAATTCATAGTGGCATACTTATGCTCCTAACACTGGAAGGCCATTTTTAAATGTGTTTAGATAATCTGAATGTTCTTGCATTATCCCTATTACAGTGAAGTGTGTATTATGCTGAGGATAATTAAACATGTTTTAGATTATCTTTATTTTCCTCTCCGTGGCCCAGCTTTTGGTCATTTCACTGCTCATTAAAATTTCCACAAGAAAATAGGCAGAAAAACAAATGCAAATAAAATTCGAGGCAAATATAATTGTATTCACATTGACGGACGTGGTAAACTCTGTTACTAGAAGATTTCTATACTAAAAAATAATACTGATCTTCATTTAAATCACTTAAAATATTGCAACAAATCTAATTTCCTGAACACCCGGTAATTGTTGTATTCAAATGGAAAAGTTTCAGAGCTATGCAACTAAATGTGTTGCAATTTACCTGGGAATCATGGAGAGTTTTGGTTTGAGGCTAGTTCTCTAATGACTTACAACATTGAAAAGGTCTCAGAACAGACCCATTCCCACATTCCCATGGTGAAGTTTTAGAGCTTTCTACATAATGGATACACCCTAACTGACACAAATGTCCTATGGCAAATCCTTGCCTGGTGTCTACAGGAGCTCAAAAGCATGGTGGTCCTTACAATGTGTTTTATTTTTATTTTTGGCAAAGAGTAACCAAGGATATGACCCTTTTCTCTTCTCTTAGCAGCCATTAATGTATGTTTTTCCCTCTCCTTTCCTCATTTTGAAATTCTACATACATCCTATTCTATGGTCTAGTGCAAGTGGTCAGGTTGAAGTCCAGATGCTTAACCAAAGGAGCTGTGTTCTTGGCATTCAGAACTAGAATTGAGAACAAGAATTTCGGGATGGTCCTTCTTATCATTCATATGTTAAACGGGGTTAAATAGAATGTATGGATTACCCTGGGAAACTAAGATATTGTGAGAAAATACTTTCTGAATTATAAACAAACTTCTAAAATACAGGTTTACATAAATTAGGGGTTGCCTTTCTCTGTTTACTATAGTTTTTGATCATCACATTTACAACAGAACACTTACATATTATTTTCACTAGTTAATAAATGACTTGCTTAGGACAGTACAAACAGATAAATGACTTTAGGGGCCCATTACGAAGCCAGTTTCTACAGCATATAAAATGGTTTCGTACTTTTTTAAATGATGACCTTACCCAAGGGACAAGTTAGCATTCACGGTCACTTGGGATTCTTTCTAACTCTATGATTTCATTACTCATTTCTAAAATGGCCCTGTCCCCGCTGGATATTTTGTAATTAAAAAACTAAAATTTATAGGAACTCTTCCAGATGTCCTGGGATATCTGAGACAACAGAAAAAAATATCATTAAAATCACTGTTTACATTTATGTTATAAAACAGGATTTTACATAGATATCACACAGACCAGAAAGCTACTTGAATTTCTCTAAAGCAAATGCCATTATTTTAACAAACTATTGGTATAATGGAGAGAATACTGGTTAAGCATCCAGAAAGCTGGCTTCCAGTTCTCTTTTTTTTTTTTTTTTGAGACAGAGTCTCGCTCTGTTGCCCAAGCTGGAGTGCAGTGGCATGATCTCTGCTCACTGCAACCTCCGCCTCCCAGGTTCAAGCAATTCTCTTGCCTCAGCCTCCTGAGTACCTGGGACTACAGGTGAGCGCCACCATGCCCGGCTCATTTTGCATTTTTAGTTGAGACAGGGTTTCGCCATGTTGGCCAGGCTGGTCTTGAACTCCTGACCTCAAGTGATATGCCTGCCTCAGCCTCCCAAAGTGTTGGGACTGCAAGCATGAGCCACCGTGCTTGGCCTAAATCTCTTCACTTCTTTGGGTCTTCATTTCCTCAAGATCTTGGTTAAGTCCTTCTCTATCTAGAGTTACAAATAACTCTTCTGAACTTTAATATATGAAATATGAATTACGTGAACTAAAAATGCAGCAATTAATGCTTTAATTTTATTACAATAAAATTATGAAATTGGGGCATATGATAGCAGAGACTAACACTAAAACAGAGACATTAAATCTCAGCTTGTTTTAGTTTTTCAAATTCATTCAGGCAGACATTCAGATGCTTATCAAGAATACTTAAGAATAAAAATAAACTAATCACAAATAATGTTTCCATTGGAGATGCACAAACAAACATAACTTTCAAAAATCAGTTGATGACCCTTCTGGCTAAGTAAAAAAGATCCTAAAATCATCTCATCGTCATTGATTTACTGATCTTTGTTTTAAATCCATATAGAGATTAATTTTTTCTTTAACTCAGAGTAACTGGCCAATAGTTCAAAATATAGATAAATTAGTGATTATTAGTATTGGAAAAAAGAAGACACGATGTTAATAGCCTAATCAACATGCACATACACACACACACACACACACACACACACACACACACACACACACACAAGCACACAGGATTTTTTTTATTTTCAATTTACTTGAAGACTCCTGAAAAATAATGAAAGAACTTATGGGTACAGAGCCTAACATAGTATTGAAGGAAAGTCTCCTAAAAGTAGTATGATGCCAAGCTGCTATTCTGCTAAACAAATCAACAGAACCAAAAAAGCAGATCATAACAAGGGAATGTTTTATTTTCATCATCAGGAACATTTCCAGGTAGTAGTAGACAAACAATACAATTCTGATCAATACTAACAGACACCTGAAATGCAGATGTTATGTGTTAGTTTAAATAAAAGGATAACGGAAGAATTTCAGAACTAAAAAAAATCCAAACCATTGCTTTTGAAGGTCTTTGAGGCGTCTGTTAGGGTTTTGTTATCCAGCCCAAGTCATGTAGTTGGTAGCTGAGCACAGATCAGGACTCATGTCTTCTGGCATCCAGCACAGCATATATACCTTACCTTGAGCTTAAACCACACAGCCCCACCCACAGCGGAAATCTGACCACTGTCAAATATACGGAGCATCCTAATTTTGTATAAAAACAAGTTAACAAAGTAACTTTTGTTATGTAATGCCTTTTTAATAGTTTGCATTTTTTTGTAGAGACAGTCTCCCCTACATTACCCAGGTTGGTCTCAAACTCCTGGGCTCAAGCGATCCTCCCACCTCAGACTCCCCAAGTGCTGGGATTACAGGCATGAGCCACCAGGCCCGGCCTAAAACATTTTTAAACTGGCAAAAGGTTTTCATAAATGTAATGCCTATTCATATTATTATGAATTTAAGTTTCATAGGTAAGATCATCACCCATTCTTTCTCCTCTTCCTGTGCAACCTGAGGAAAGGAGGACATTCTCTTATGCCTGAATGAGGAATCTCAGTAGATGACACCCATTTACAAACACTACAAAATATCAGATTGAAGTCCCTGATTTAGAACCCCTTCCCATCCTCCACCTCTATCCTGCTCCCCTAAAAAGGCATAAACCACTCTAACACTCTAATTACCAGATTGGATCTTTACAGGGTGCGTGTTCATAAAGATGGGTTTAAACTATATTCCATGTCATTATAGTTCATATATAGACTCTCCTACTGGCAGGGGTGACCCAAAGTGGAGTTGTAGGCCAGACACAGTGTGTGCCTGAGGCTCTTCTCTTCTCTGTGGCCTCCTTAAGTCCACTTCTCTGAAAGGGCTTTCCCATATCTAATTAACCAATAGCTGCTCTCAGAAAAGGATCTCATGCATCATTCCTCGGGAACATAACACTTTAGATCCCAGGATATCATTTATTGTCTTGAAAAATGATGACAAACCTCTTGAAATTCCTGGCCTAGATATCCCTTCATTCTTACAGATAAATACGTCATGTGTTTATCAAAATATGCTTTATGTATATTTATGGATATCAGTTTTGGTATTTATGGTATCAGTTTTGCCACTTAAAACTGAAAGCCAAAGATAATTTTCAAAATAAATTACAAATCAGCTTTGTTGACAATCATAAAGTTCACTTATATCATTTCTCTTTTACATTAAAAAGTTTGTAAGTTTAAACCTTAAAGAGAAATTGAGGCAACAGACCATACTCACATAAAGTTTATTATAACTAATGACTAGGATACTCTAAGATGCTTAATTTACCACCAGAAGGTTTATAACTACATTTTGAGTGCCACAACTAGAGTATGGCAGTCTCCAGAATTTTTGTTTCTAGTTTTTAAAATTCTGAAATAAAAAAAGCATAAAAACTAAATTTTAATTTCCCCTATGATTGAATAGCAAACATTCAAAATTCTATGGCTGGCTTACTAGCACTTCCCATAATGTGAGACTCTTGGGAGAAAAGAAACATAAGTCAGTTTTGGCAGATAAAATATCTTTAAAGAATAGGAGTGTGAAGGCAAGAATGCTCAATTCTAACGTATCTAAACCCCCTAAGGAATGGGAAAGGAAAAAAAAAAAAAACTGAAGACAGCAAAGAGAAGCATTTTTTTACCTTCTTGTATCCTTTTCCTCTGTAGTAAGTTGGAAAGCGTGCCCTCAAAATTCATGGCCACCAAGAAGCTCGGAATGTGACCTTATTTGGAAATATGGTCCTTGGCGTATAATTGGTTAAGATGAGGTCATTCTGGATTAGAGCAGCTCTAAATCCAAAGACAGGGTTCTTATAAGATAAATGGACACGCAGAGGCTGGAAACTGGCTCACACCTGTAATCCCAGCACTTTGGGAGGCCAAGGCAGGAGGATCGCTTGAGCCCAGGAGTCAAGACCAGCCTCAGCAATATAGGGAGACCCCACCTCCACAAAAAATATAAAAAAAATTAGCCAGGCATGGTGGCACACACCTGCAGTCCCAGCTACCTGGGAGGCTGAGGTGGGAGGATCACCTGAGCCTCACAGAGACACAGAAGAAAGAAGTCCACATGAAAATGGAGGTAAAATGATGCAGGTACAAGCCAAAGAATGTCTGGGCAACCAGAAGTTGGAAAAAGCAGGGGAGGATTCTTCCCTAGAGTATTCAGAGGAAGCATGGCTGTGTCAACACCTTGATTTTGGATGTCTAGCCTCTAAAACTGTGAGAGACTACAATTCTGTTGTTTTAAGCCACTCAGACTGAGCAATTCATTATGGGAGCCCTAGGGAACAATCATACCCTTAAATGCATAAAAACCCAGTGAATGAAGAATTACATCTTTCTTGCACCCATACAGTGCTTTTGTTTTGTCTTCATGTATTCTTTGGTGATTTACATTGAGGTTTAAACTAATCCATCAGCCTAACAGCCTAATAAACCATAACGTACTTTGGTTTCAGCCTTCAATAATAGTTCAGGTTTATCTATGTTTAGTCAAGCTTAATAGAGAAATGAGACTTGGGTGTACTTTGGCCTCTTATATTAAAAAAATAGAAGAAAACATTCTCAATAAAAATGTTAAAACTAAAAAAACTTTAAAGACATTTTATTTTATATGCAACTGGTCAATATTTATTAAATTATATGAGTTACAGTATTATAAAAACTGTTGCTTTTACTTTCTTACAACAGTGTATATGGTTAGTAGTGAATTTCCTGTATCTTATATTATTAATAATAAAGCACCGATGTCAGAAACATAGTAGGTACTCAGTAAATACTTATTAAATTGAATTGAAGACTCTAGCAGTATACTTTTTTTATAAATAGCTGGGGGGAGTATTCTAATTCCCTAAGACTTTGGTAAAATCATTTATTTATTTGCCCCATATTTTAGATCCGGCCGCTATAAAAAAAATTCCATAAACGGGGTGGGTTACAAACAACAGAAATTTTTATCTCACAGTTCTAACGGGCTGGAAATCCACGTTCAAGGTGCCAGGAGATTCAGTGTCTACTAAGGCATGTTTCCTCATTCAGACACAGCCGTGTGCTCCCTGAGTCTCCCTCCACACAGCAGCCGGGGCAAAGGAGCCTCCTTTTTCATCATGGACCAGTCCCCTTCCTGAAGTCCTCGGGACCTAATCACCTCCCAAGGTTCCAAGCTCCTCATACCCTCCCAGTGAGGATTAGGTTTCAACATACAAATTTTAGGAGGACACAAGCATTCTGACCATTTTAATGTTTGATCTTAGTAATTTATATAAACCCAGTGCAAATATTTATTTTACTGTGCTCAAACTCTTTCCTTAAGAAAGACATTACTAGAAACTAACTTCAATAGGTTGAGAAAATATTTTATGCAACTCTCCTAAGAGTTATTAATCAACATACCCTTCCCTTGCCCCACTCTGCAAAAAGTACCTCAATGACATTATCACAGAAGTTGTTTCTATAATATGCCAAAGAACCTTTAAAGACAAAAACCTGGTTAATTCAGCAGTAAACATCAAAAGAATGAACACAGGAAGGGAATACTGATCATTAGGGGGTGAGAAGGGACATATTTAAAAACCTTCTAATTGAATAAGCAAAAAAATTTTATTAGTCTTATTTATTATGTACAAAACAACAGTTTATAAGGTAATAGGTTATAAGTAAAAACCAGTACAATACAGAACTATGGTTCTCTCACAAAACCTATCTCACAGAAAACATAAACATATTTCTCTGATATCATCTCTTTCCATAGCATGAAAAGCCTAAAAATTTTTATTTTGTAACTTCATAACCTTTAAAATACTAAATCGATACCTTCTAGAACTACATATTACTGTCATATTTAATATAAACCTAGTTCATACTCTAGTATTTTTAATTCATTTTGAGATTAAAAGTATTGTAACAGGCCTGGCGTGGTGGCTCACGCCTGTAATCCCAGCACTTTGGGAGGCAGAGATGGGCGGATCACCTGAGGTCAGGAGTTGGAGACCAGGCTGGCCAACATGGTGAAACCCTGTCTCTACTAAAAATACAAAAATTAGCTGGACATGGCAGCAGGCGACTGTAATCCCAGCTACTCGGGAGGCTGAGTCAGGAGAATCACTTGAACCCGGGAGGCGGAGGTTGCAGTGAGCCAAGATTGCACCACTGCACTCTAGCCTGGGTGACAGAGTGAGATTCTGTCTCAAAAAAAGAAGTACTGTATAATTTTTTAATGTTAAATCTGATAAGTTATAATAATATCGACTTCTTTGACTCATAGCTGAATAGTTCATATTGTAGAGAAAGTCACTATATCATTAATACAGTATTTTTAGCTTTTCTCCTTTCAACTGTGAGGGAAACATCTCTAAATTTAAAGGTTAATGATTCATGAACAATTATATATGTTTATAAAAGTGTAGCAATTTCTTGGTCTATTTAAGAGCATTTATTCCTTACTATTGTATTAATCTTAATAAGAGCCTCTGTTACATTTAATGAATAGTTTTTTTTCAGGGAAAGAAATTATAACAAAATACACACAAAAGTGATACTACGGCTGGGCACGGTGGCTCACACCTGTAATCTCAGCACCTTGGGAGGCCGAGGCGGGTGGATCACCTGAGGTCGGAGTTCGAGACCAGCCTGACCAACATGGAGAAACCCCATATTTACTAAAAATACAAAATTAGCTGGGCATGGTGGCGCATGCCTGTAATCCCAGCTACTCGGAAGGCTGAGGCAGGAGAATCACTTGAACCCAGGAGGCCGAGGTTGCGGTGAGCCGAGATTGCGCCACTGCACTCCAGCCTGGGCAGCAAGAGCAAAACTCTGTCTCAAAAAAAAAAAAAAATTAGCCAGGCGCAGTGGCAGGCGCCTGTAATCCCAGCTACTTGATTCGAATCGCTTGAACTCGGGAGGTGGAGTTTGCAGTGAGCAGAGATCGCACCACTGCACTCCAGCCTGGGCGACAGAGTGAGATTCCATCTCAAGAAAAAAAAAAAAAGTGATACTACATGGTCTAAAGTATTGCACCCATTGCACTTTCCTACTGAAATAAAGCAACACACTGACTAATGATCTTACTAGGTAAAATCTACACAATAAATGACAGTGGCCATCTCACAGTTTTTGTAGTGGTTTCACACAATAGTTCTCATTACGTGGTATCTTATTTCAAGGTGATCTCACAGAATCAAACAGAGTAACACCGAGTTTTTTTTTTCTTTTAAGTTGCAAAATGATAAATAATTTAGGCTCACAAGACTATTACTTTCAGTAGAGAGCTTAAAAAAATTAAAATTTTCATTTTTCTATTTGTTTCAACTACGGTTGACCCTTGAACAACACAGGCTTGAACCAGCTGGGACCATGTACACGAGGATTGTTTCAACCAAACGCAGATCAAAATTATGGGATGCAGAACCTGCACACGGGGAGGGCTGACTAGATGTGGGTTGTGTAGGATGACTGCAGGCCTTTAGTATACATGGATTTTGGTGTAGGAGGAGGGGAGTCCTGGAACCAATGCCCTGCCTATACAGAGTGATCAGTATTACAAAATTATCAAGTAAATTTTTCCTTTTTTTTTTGAGATGGAGTCTCACCCTGTCACTCAGGCTGGAGTGCGGTGGTGCGGTCTCAGCTCACTGCAACCTCTGCCTCCCAGGTTCTAGTGATTCTCCTGCCTCAGCCTTCCAAGTAGCTGGGATCACAGGCGCCCACCACCACACCCAGCTAATTTTTGTATTTTTAGTAGAGTCAGGGTTTCACCATGTTGGCCAGCCTGGTCGCCAACTCCTGACCTCAGGTGATCCGTCCACCTGGCCATATCAAGTAAATTTAAGTGGTCCTTTACCAATCTGACAAAAACAGTTTTAACTACATATTTGTAATGCCATAAGAACTTGAACTAAAAGACAGACTTGGAGGCTGGGCAATCAGTCAACCAGCTTCTGCACTCAAAGGCGTTCTGAGTGCGGCTGTTCAGAGAGGAGGGCTGCTGAAAAATAAAACAAGCAGAAGACAGTCTCTGACCTGGGATTTACCATCTGAAAAAAGTAACAATAAACAATTCAACCCATTAAGTCTGTAGATAAAAGCAACCTATTAAGATCCTAGGCCGGGAGCAGTGGCTCATGCCTGTAATCCCAGCACTTTGGGAGGTTGAGGTGGGAGGATTGTTTGAGCCCAGGAGTTTGAGACCAGCCTTGGGCAACGTAGCGAGACTCAGTCTTTACTGAAAATTTAAAAATTGGCCAGGTGTGGCAATGTGTGGGCCAGACTGGAGGCTGAGGCAGGAGGATCATTACAGCCTGGAAGTTAAAGGTTACAGTAAGCTATGATTGCACCACTGTACTGCAGCCTGGATGACAGAGACCCTGTCTCAATTTGGAAAAAAAAAAAAAAAGCTCAGAGGAGGCTGTGATGAGTATGTAAGATATGAGGCAGTTTGCAATCACTTGCAAGAAGAGTTCAGAAGAATTTAGGGTAAGAGTTGACAAGAGTTGACAAAGAAAAAGCCACGCTAATAGTAATGACCTGTACGACAGCCTAGCATGTCAAGAAAACAGCAAACTGGGAGTGCAATTTTTAGGCCTGGATCTGTCCCTATCTTAGCTGTGTGAATTCAAAACAGTCACTTGGTCTTTCTGGGTCTCATTCATTCAATTCAACAAGTACCCGCTGAGCATCAACCAGTGCCAGGCACTGTTCTAGGCTCTGAAGATACCAGAGTGAACAGAAGTCCCCTGCCTTTGTGAAGTTTACTTTGGTAAACTGTTCTTAATAAGTTTAAGAAGAAGTCATGAATTGAAAGTAATAGTAGGAAGAGTCCAAATGGGTTTCTCTACTTCTATTAATACTACCTTGCTTTTATAATTCATCTAACAGCATCTACCAGAGAGATCTTCCCCCAAACACACCGTACTACTGTGTGATTGTTTTCTATGCTAAATTCCCAGGGATCTCAAAGGTACATTTAAACCTTTTGATCTGAAATTCATGGTCCTCCATGTTCTGGTTCCAACCCACTTTTCTAACCTTATCTTCCAAAATTCTCTTTCGTGAACTTCATGCTCGAAGTAGGTCATTTGATATTTTCTCCAATATACTTTTCATACCCCACCTTTTAAAACTTGCTCATGTGCCTCTCCACCTGAAAAGCCTTCTCCTGTCACTTGTCCATAAGCCTACCTGTACTTCAATCAGACTCAAGCATCTTCTTGATATGACACTGACTTTCTGAGCAGGGGAGAGAGAAGATCAGGTGATGCCCAAGCAAGATAATTTGCTTTTTTGGATTAAAGAGAAAAGTTTAAGGCAGGAAAGTGAATGAAGATATTATAAATTATGATTGTGATTGCATTATAATAAACAGATCCAAAAAATCTGGTTTTTAGAGTCAGTAGCTGTTGATTATGGATTGACTATGTAAGTGGAAAGAAATTAGTCTAAATGGACTCAAAATTATATGATTATGAATAGGATGATAAAGCGCTTACTAGGTAGCAAATAGTAGGTTTTCAACAAATGCTGCGTAAATTCCCTTTTTAAATTTATGAATTAATTTTCCTTAAGAAATTAGTAAGTTCCTAAAATAGACTGCAGTTAAATATTACATATTAATTCTTATTTTATAGAAAAACATTTTTACACTAATCATGACTAAGTACAACTAAAATTCAGTGATTACTGGGTTAAGCATCATTTTAAAAAGAAATAAAGTGCAATACTAGTTAATAACATCACCGAAATATATAAATGGGTTTGTGCTCTTACATTTATGAGAAGTAGCTGTTGTGTGTTAAATAGCATATGAAATAATGTCACAGACTGTTGTTTACATTAGATATCCTGCTTTATTTAAAAAAATAAAATTTAGAGACAGCTAAACACCACTATCACCCCTCTCTTGTCTCTCCTTCATTTTGTTTCTTTCCATCCTTTCACAGGCAACCGCTAGTGTATAGCTGGTATATATTTTCTCACTCACAGAACTCTAGTACATTTACTGTGTACTTCAGCTTGCCACCCCAAATGTTTTCCCCCATGATAGAAGCAGGTTTATTTTTGTGACGGACATATATTCTGGTACCATGTGAATCAGGCTCTGGGACATTGTCATGTTATCAGATTATGGCTAAGTCATATAAAATAAATTGTCTTAAACAGATAAGTCTAATATACATAGAATTATATTCTATGTGAGCTTAAGACATAGATAAATAATTCAATGTATTGTTTCAAATGTACCTTTCTTTATTCAATTTTTACGTCCTCTGTCCTAGGGTCATGATGATGATCTATTGTTTTATCAGAATGTAGAACTAGCTGTCTCGTTTCAGCGTGTTTTCACTTTCACACTGCAGAGGTTAATAAAACCTTCAAGTGGTCTCCTTCCAACAAGGTACCTCGTTAGAATTTAAAGTACACCACAGGCATTTAGAAGGAGACATCCCCTTATTGCTAATTGAGATATTCCTGGAAATGGGGGCTGGCGATGAATTTTACAAAAAATACACAAGGAGGTTATTTTTAACTGAAAAGATACTATCAACTTTTTTAATAAATATATTTTTGAAATCTTGAATATTTAATTCTATTCATTCTGCCTCAACTGAAGTGAGACAAATACTTTAAGTTTACAATTCTGATGCCCAACTCCTGAAAAACTCAAGTATTAATCAGTATTAATGACTAATATTAATAGATAAATAAGTATTTGAATAAATCGGGTGTTTATACTGATATCTCAGCATGAAAGCAAATAATTTTTTTTTCAATTTTTGAAAGACTTTGTACTTTGAATCTCCTATTCCTAACTGGAAGCACAGAAGTGAAGACTGAGCTTTGCCTTTGTATGAAATGTAATATGCATGAAATTTAAATATACTTTAAAGAAATCAAACATATTATCATACATTCACAGACCTTCATAGTTTAAAAAAGGCCACGAATCTTGTTTAAAACAAACAATTGCACATTAAAAATAACTAATGTATAAAGCCTTAGATTCTGAATTCCAAAATTTAATTGTTCTACCCATTAAAGACACCATTCTGGTTCAGCCCTTAATCATGACACGTGAAAGGGCTATAATGTATTGTCACTCAACTCTTAAAAACTCCAGAATTCACCGAGATGAATACTATTGCTTTCAAAGTGGTCAACACAGGAGTTGTTGCCTTTTTCAGAAGTCATTTCTCAATATAATACTGAGAAATTTCTCTTTTGAAAAGGCCTCACAGGCTTTTAGCATTATTTTTTTCTGAATATAATTAACTGTGGTAAATACTCTCTCGGGAATAGATCTAATTTTTTTGAAATGCTGGTTAGTCAAGCCTGTGAAGGAAGGCAAGCAATCAAACTAGTTAAATTGGTATTTCATCAAAATGAGGAATGCCTATAATAACAAGAACTATTTTTATCTGTGACTTGGAAATAAACGCAATTTCAAAAAAGTAGTTTCAAAAAAGTTTGGTGAATGGTACTATAACGGAACATTGGAAAAGTAACAATCTATTCATAATAAGGACAACCCCCTTCATTTTTAGAATCTCTATTACGACCAAATACCAAAAGTGGCAGGCATATGCAGTCCATAGCACAACCATTTCCCTGGAAGCTGGTGAGTAAGCACACTCCTTTTTTCCTAGGATTTCTCTGCAGAGGATGCTGTCACTTCTTATTCCTTAGGCAAGCTGCATTCACCAAAATACCACAAAAAGTACAAATACATACACAAAGAAAGCAGGACATGTATGGAAAAATAAACTAACCCAGTAGCAAATGTAAACATTTAGTATCTATTTTATTTGTTCACATTATGTTTTATTACCACTTTAGTTTGATTTTTTTTTAAGAATTCTGAATCAGAGAATTGAAGAAACTCTACAGAACTTCTACAAGAAGCTACGCTGTTCAAAATCATTGATCTGGTTCACTTCCCTCCTTTTACAGGTAGCAATCCAGAAAAGTCCAGCGACTTTTCCAAGGTCACACCACCAGATAAGTTTGCTAATTTACTCAACTTCCTAACCGGAAGGTTTTAGTTGACCAAAACCATAAAAAGACCACCAATAATTAGCCTTAGGCACAAAGGAGTAAACACAAACATAATCTATCATTTTGCCAGGTTCAATAAAAACCATTCTGATGTGTTAATAGCCTTTAATAGTAAAAACATTAGCCATCAATTAAATAAACAAGCCATTCAATGGGGAATAGAAATGTCAATAAAAGCATAATCTATTAATTTTCAAATCAATGATGCTAATCCTTGCTAGATATTAATCAGAGAGTGGACATTAGCTATACCATAGATGATCACACCTCATTTAAAAAATCTGAATTAAAAACAAAAACAGGAGAACAATACAAAACATATATTGCCTCAATAAGCACTTGATAAATTAAATGATTTGCCTTGAGCAAATATGAGAATGTTTGTAACATCCAATGGTTACAACGTTTATGAAAAGTTATAGACTGGTATCATATTTCTATTCTAGAATAGGAAATAGAACTTACATGTAAAGCAAAATTTAGGACTAAAATCAAAACAAAACCTAATTTGACAACTGCACTGGATGCAGAATTCAGTAATGAAGAAAGACAGGCCGGATGTGGTGGCTCGCGCCTGTAATCCAACACTTAGGAGGCCGAGGCAGGAGGACTGCGTGAGCCAAGGAGCTAGGAAACTAGTCTAGGCAATATGGTGGGACCCTTTTTCTACAAAACAATATTTAAAAAATTAGCTGGGCATGGTGGCACACACCTGTGGTCCCAACCATTGGCAAGGCTGAGGTGAGAGGATCACTTGTGCCTAGGAGTTGGAGGCTGTGGTGAGCCGTGTTCATGCCAATGCACTCCAGTCTAGGTATCGAGACAAGGTCTATCCTCAAAAAAAAAAAAAAAAAGATATACATGATTTAGGTATTTGCATGTCTGGGTTCAAACCTCTCACTAACAACCAACTTAACTGTTCTATGACTTAGTTTCCATATCTTTAAAATAGAGATCATAAAAGTATTTAATTTCATGAGTTGTTCTGAAGATGAGATGAAATCATATATAATGGGTTTAACACAGATGCTTATCTTTCAGTAAATAATAAATGTCAGCTATTATTAGGCCTTGGCTTCTCTTCTTAGAAAATGTCCAGTCTGGATTACATAATTTTGAAGATTATCTTCAGTTCTAAAAGTCTCTAATTCTATTCATTTTCTCAGGAAAAAGTAAAATTGGTTTTTAGAGTATTGTGGGGTTTTTGTTCTTTTTTTTTTTTTTTTGAGAGACAGAGTCTTGCTCTGTCACCCAGGTTGGAGTGCAGTGGCACAATCTCGGCTCACTGCAACCTCCGCCTCCCAGGTGCAAGAGATTCTCCTGCCTCAGCCTTCCGAGTAGCTGGGATTACAGGCGCATGTCACCACGCCCGGCTAATTTGTTCGTATTTTTAGTAAAGACCAGGTTTCTCCATGTTGGCCAGGCTGGTCTTGAACTCCTGACCTGAGGTGATCCACTTGCCTCGGCCTCCCAATGTGCTGGGATTACAGGCATGAGCCACCATGCCGGGCCCAGCTGTTTTTGTTCTTAAGGTAGATGAAGATGGAGCAAGAGAGCAGAAATACGGAGTTTCTTTTCCTCTTCTTCTAGTACTCCTCACCTGTAAATCTCTCGACGGCAAAACATTTGTCAGTCCTTCCAACATTCCTCACCTATTAATCTTCTGGTAACACAATCACGGAAGGTGTACTGATTCTTGTTCTAAATTATCATCTTAAAGATTATCTCTTCCCTACTTTAGTCATCCAAAGAGAGTTGCATTAGATATGATGTTTACCAGTTTTTAAAAAATTATAATCATGAGTATCTTTATCAATGTATATACATTTCAAGTTAACTGTACATGTAAGTTAACATTTTTTTCTTACTCAAACTTACTGTTAGGCTTCAATGAACTTCTTTTCATTGTGGAAATTAACATTTTGCTTCACCTAAACACCTAACACCTATCGGAACTTAGCTACCCCAAAATCTCACCCAACAGAAAATGCAAAGAAATGGAGGCATTAAGCCAAAAGGTCTTCAGAGAAGCCAAAACTAATGAAGTTAATGAAATTAGCTCTGAGTCTTTACTCAGAACCTTTCTGTTCTTATTTCATTCATACATTACAATAACAACAACAAAATAACCTGTGTTGTTTGATGACAGAGCAGTAGTAAGAAGTGAAAGCTGACAGCACGGACAGGCCAGTTAGACAGGGATACTCAGCCTTATCAGCTCCTATGTAAGCCATTATATTTTCACACAGAACAATAAAATAACTGATGTTTGTAATGACCTTCCATCACCACAAAATTAAATTATATTTAGTGTACTCATCCAATAAGCATTCGAGACTTATGGAATAACTATTTTCTTAGCATCATGCTTAGTGCTGGTATGTAAGGACGAATGAGACAAAGTGGTTTTCTGAAAGAACCTGTCCCCCTAGTGGGGGAGACAGAAATGTAAACAAATGACTACAGGATAATGTGTTAAGTGCTCACAGAAATAAGAATCAGGTGCTAAGGAAGCCCGAGAGGAGGAGGAGCCACAAGAAATGCTGTGCAAGGCCGGGTGCGGTGGCTCATGCCTATCATCCCAGCACTTTGGGAGGCTGAGGCGGGTGGATCACCTGAGGTCAGGAGTTCGAGACCAGCCTGGCCAACATGGTGAGACCCTGTCTCTACTAAAATACACAAAATTAGCTGGGTGTGTTGGTGCACGCCTGTAATCCCAGCTACTCGGGAGGCTGAGGCAGGAGAATCGCTTGAACCCGGGAGGCGGAGGCTGCAGTGAGGCGAGATCATGCCACTGCACTCCAGCCTGGTCAGCCTAGTGAGACTCGGTCTCAAAAAAAAAAAAAAAAAAAAAAAAAAGAAATACCATGCAAGTCAGCTCTTGGAAACTCTGTGAGATGCAAGGAAGGGGCACAGGCAGCACCGACCAGCGAAAATACTGGTGCGAAGGTGGGAGTGGAGGAGCAGTAGAGGGTGAGGTATGGTCACCAAGGGACTGATAAAACACAACTCAGAATGACAACTGTGACGACAGTGTGGAGGCTGGATTAAAGAAAAGACAGGCAGAAGGCAGGGCAACCCAAATGGAAAGCTTAGTCTAAGGAGAACTGAAGAGAGCTTGAATTTGGGCCCTGATGGTGGGAACAGAGTGGGGGAATGAGAGTTTATACTTCATTTTAAACACCTTTTGATCCAATTTGTTCTTTAAATAAATGATTCTTAAACAAATAAGTCCTTTCTGATCAAGAAAATGTGACTCTCTCCTGAACGAACTATTTTTGATGATCTTGAGTCCCTGAGATTTTAGTGTTACATAATTCATAGCATGATGATAAGGAGATATCTCCAATAAAGTATGAAATATTATTTTAGGTATTTTGGTAATGGGCCAGTTTTTTCTTTCATATGATAAAAAGATTCATACTCAGCTCCCATTAATTGTAACAAAAGAGAATTCAGTATAAAGTGAAGCATACGCTAAACTCCAATCAGTAATGTTTCACAGCTTTGCCTAGGAAAACAAAAATCTTGTATGCAGCACTTAATTGCTTTAACTGGAGTTTCCAAAAACGTTAGCTCTTGTACTGCGTTTAATAAAACTCTTCCTCTTATTGAACAATACTTGTTCAAACATATAAGCAAGAATGCCATTTTATTGGAGTTGATATAAAATACATCACAAGGAAAATCTTGGCCATAAAGTTAAGAAATATAAACTATAAATCTTATGACTTTGTTTTAATTTCGTAATGGAAGTGATGACTCCAGAACGGCAGCAATAGAACTACTAAAACTTGAATAACTTTCAAGTAAACATACTTAGGCACTTGTTAAAACAAACATTATTCCCACTGCTAAAATCGAGGTTGGCAAGTCTTTCCTCTTACTAGCTTAAAAACAGTTTGAAAAGTAGCAGAATTGCAGCTTCTTTGCAAAAAGACTAATCATCATCATTAAAAGACCCTTAAAAGCAAATACAGAATGGTTAGCTAACCTGATCACCTTCATTTTTAATGAAGGGGTATTTCCATATAAATCGATGTATGAAACACACTTATGAAAGAAACTCTAACTATCATTAAAAAGAAACTAATTTTAATTTTCACCTTCATTCTGACGATCTACAATCAGAGGAAATAATATTTGAAAACGAAAAGAAAGAATATGATAAAGCCATATGTAAAAATGTGTAAATGATAAAACAAGCAGGGGTGGCTGTCATAAAATAGCCAAATGGCTTTTTCCACCTCCATCAAGGTCACTTTACTGATGATGGGCTCAATAAGATGATAATGCATTTAACCACTTTCCTTGCATCTGACTTCGACCTCACAAATCCAAATGGCCTTGTTTAACTACCCTGGCCTTTCAGCATTTCCCTGAACAAAGATAATTAAGGAGATGTACTGCCCCCTACTATCACAGGAATTGAAAGCCAAATAAACTTTTAAGAGCTCAGCCAGGTGTCTACTCCGCTAATGTACAACTTTGAAGCAGAAGGTAAAATGAAATAATGGTTAAATAATTATAAAAGGTTACAACTTTGAAGCAGGAGGTAAAATGAAATAATGGTTAGATAATTATAAAAGGTTAACAATGTTAAACTTGTTATATAAGGTAATTTTGTTTTATTTAAAAGAAAAGGCATAAAAAGAGATCCAGATTACATTTTACAGGTCTCTAGACAGCAGGCCCCATCTCTCCCTGCAGTTTAAGGTTAAGGAAAAAAAGGCACTGTGCACAAACCAGGATGAAAACAACTCACTGAAACTTCCACACATCGTTTTAATTTTTTACAAATTTTAAGTTAATATATATAACCACAAAAGACTAAAGTGTTTTTTATGTTAGTCCCATATTAGTCATTTTGTTACATTTTGTAATATATTCTGCCTCCTCAATGTACAAACCAAGACATTTATGTCAAACACTATTTAATATTAAGTGAGGGGAATGATAACATTTAAGAGAGAAACTCTGTTTTTCTTTTAAATACTATAGTATGTCGTTTCCCAAATTTAACTATTATTTAAATGTGACATGCCCACAAATATTTGCGTGTACTTTTCAATTATTATTCCTCCCTTGTAAAATGAATTTACCATCGTACCAACATAACATCTGTGGCATAAACTGTTTCTGGGAGACCAAAAAGGTAGTGGTTTTCAACCTGCAAAACAACTGCCAATAGTAAAATTTTTACTTTCAACAGTAAAAATTAAGAGTAGACATTTCAAAACTTAAATACATAGGATTTCAACTGAAGAGCTGGGTCTGTAACAAAAATCAATGTATAAACAACAATCCTAAAACAACTGGTTTCTTAAATATGAAAATACCATCCTTTCAAACCTGCTATATATGTATGCATATATATATATATATACACATATAAAAATAATCTCTATAGTACACACATTGTTATTCTTTATAGGGAAAACCAAACTCGGACATATCAGAAGACAAGGTATTCCAAATACCCAACAAGAGAACTCAATTCAGGTCAAAAGGCCTTATGCAAAAATGAGTATTAGAATAACTTTTCATCTCAGACAAAACTCCAACAAGAGTTATACAACTTTTATTTATTGCACATTATCTATTGCTAGAACTATCTGTCATACCAAATTGATAAATCTAAGCATAATAAATTTCTAATGCAAAACATCTCTTTAGAATAAAGAAGTGTGTTACTTGGGCTTTAAAACAGTCAATGTTTCTGGATATGAATCACTTCACGTGATTATAGCCAAAATAGCACTTATCATTCATAACTTAAAATCCATATTTATATGCTTTAGATTTGTCTAGATCAAAGTGATCCAGCAAAAAATTTCACTAATGATCCTAATCTGAACCTTTGGGAACCCGCCTGCTCCTCTCTCCCACTCCTCTAATAGCCCTTATCCTTTCATTCCTTTCTCTCTGCCAGGAAGTTCCGCAGCTTGTATTTGTGACTGCAGTTGTGTTAGCTAAGAACCAGGCCACTGAAAGATCTAACCATTTGGCCACAACTACTTAGAAGTTCTGGTCTAACCCAGAAGGGTACAGTTTACTGGACACCCCCCCGCCCCCCGTCCCCTGCCAAAAAAAAAATCTAAAAAGAAAACTTCTGCTCCTAATAATTTATTTATTTACTTTCTTCACCAAACCATTCTATCTCCTTCATGGTACCATTTTCCCACAACATTCAAATATCCTTAAGGAAGAACATCCTATTTCTCAAGTGTTAGGTGCTAAAGCACTCACATCTATGATAAGATAGAATAATTACAGCCATCCTTTAATCTAAACTACATATGTCTGTATGTGTGCATGTATACATATAGATTTTCACAGAGTAAGAAATCCATAATAAAGCATTAATATATCATATTAGTGTGAAATTTAAACTTTCTTTAAATGAGGCAAAGTTACTATAAAATAACTCATTTTAATAAAAATTTAAAACAAATATATTGTCCTGTATTTAGCATTTACATCTGGATTGCTAGAAAGGTGGCTTGTTAAAAATCTTTATTCACAATTGTTTAAAGTAAAGCCTACCAAACGAAATAAATTATAAACATAAAGAACTGATGTTCCAAAGCCCAGTCTCTTAATTGCTGATCAGAGCTGAAAACAGATCTTTTTTCCCCACTAATTGAATGAGTCTTGTTAAATCTTTTGAAATGAACTTTAGAAAATGCAAGAATACAGCTTAGAACAGGTTCTTTAATTTGGGTCATTTTCTGTTACTTGCAGTAGTGACGGGTGCTTAGCAACGCTGTTCTGGTGGCCCTTTTAAGGGAATGAATACCTGAAATACAGCATTTTAATCTATTTTACAGCATTAATTATCAGGATCACTGTATTTAGACAGTGCCTCCTTTGCCACTTGCCTACGTTATGAAAGAAAGGAGTCCCGTGAAAAATTGAATGTATTATTCCAGATGCCAGAAGATCCTGTGCACCCCTTTAACCAAGTAAAAATATGTAGGAACATAAAAACTAACAGTAAATAGAAGCCACAAAAAGCTTTAGTTTAAATGTTTAGACAAGGATATTACACTGAAAATCAGTGTTCAGACATCAGTAGAAGAGTCCATGTGAAGTCGCTTTTCTTTTTCTAAATCTTCGAGAAGAATTAAATTCTATTATGCCCCACACTAGGCCACTGCTATCTAAGAAACGTGACGCAACAGCCAAAATTTAGTATGATTTTATTTGGTAATTAAAAATCTGCTGAATACTTTAAATATTTTTTTATAAAAGAGGGCTTTTACATAATAACAAGAATATCATTTGAATTATGGCCATATTTACTATAATGTGCTGCAATGATAAACTACTGAGAAGGCAAGAAAACAAGGTAAAATGCAGGGCTACCGAGCAGTTTCTAAGAAATCAAACTGCCATGTCATACTCTGGAAATACGTCCATTCACATCTTATTAATGATCAATACAACAGGTTAAGAAACTAGTCATTAAAAACATTTGGAATGCGCCTTTCTATCTTTTCCTGATGTCAACTGTCATTGTTAAAAGTACAACTCTTTTAACTTTTTCCTCATAATTAAACAACTCATTTTAGATATCATGTCCTGAAGAAGGAAGGTAACGCTCTTATACAGCACTATTCTTCTCTATCTTCACAGCTAATAAGAGATCAAGTGACTCCCTCTTTGTCTAGAATGTACCCTAATTTCAGTCTTTCACAGCCAATTTTTTAAAGCTTTTTAACACTTAGTCTCTGAAGATGAGAGAAAGGAACCAGGTGAACCACCTGCATTCATATTTTTGTGAGTTTCAGTCTCTCAGTTAATGTATAATCACCACCTCTTTAAATTAAACATACTTTATAGCGGATCTCAAATTCATCATCACATTGTGTAAATCACAGTATAAAATGGGATAACACCAACATTTCTCAAGTTTTTTAACCTCTTATAGCAGATGGCCTCTGCCTAGAGTGTTTTGAACGCTGCAGTCGCATTTTAATACCTGGGAGTCCGCTGGAAAAAAAAAACAAAAACAAAACAATGTGGGGCACAGACCAGTACATGCTGCACTAAAATATTCGGCTGAGAGGGAGGCTTAGTTAAGTTAGCTGATTTCTTAAATGCCTTCTCTGGGTATTTGCAATCCTTTCTTAAGTACTACTTTAACAATTAGCACACAGAGGTCTTTGGATGGCTCTCTGAAACATTTAAAACCAGAGAACAAAAGGTTTATTTTAAAAATGAAAACCTTGGCTTGTACAACTCCAGACGTGAATCTGCTTTCAATTACTGAAAGTATTTCCACTTTAGTGGAAGGGGATCAAATCTTCAACTACACCATCTTAAGGCACTGAATTTGATTATATTAGGCTTTCAGAAGACAGAATGACTTTGTGACACAGGCACATATAGCTGTATATATCATTTATAAGATATTCCAGAGAGACAGAGACGCCAGCACAGGAGAGGGAGGAAATGTGACTTTCTCATTCCCACAGCTGCCACAGATCTTTGTTTTATTGAACTACACACATCAATGGCAAATGATTTTTACTTCAACAGATACAGCACAAGTTTTTCCAAACCATCTCCAACTATCTTTGCACAGGAGTAGCCTGCATCGAAGCACAACTGCAAAGTTGAATTTCTCTGAGAGACTGCTCTATTAAACCTGACAAAAATCACACTACGTATTTCGCAGGCAAAAGACTGCTCTTTAATGAGCAAGCTTATTTTGTACCTTTTCCCCCATTAAGCAATTAGTATGATGGATTTTAGTTAATGGAACCAAAGGGCTTATTAATTTAAGCTCAATGCCGATTTTTGCACATTTCAGACATAAATTATCCAAAATCACTACTGCTAAGACTAGCTCCCAACGAATTCGTAAAAGTCACCGAATGCAGGCAAAAGGGCAGCTTTGCCTCACGGATTAGGACAGTACACTACTCATAAAAAAAAAATCCATCTAATTAAAAATACCGGGAACAAAAGACTCCATTCTCCCCGCGGCTACCTGCACCACTCCGGGTGACGAAGAGTCATCGAGAAAGTTCAGCCTCCATCTCTTCGAAATCCTTAAATGTGGTCCCTCAGGGGTTAAAAAGCCACCTCATCTCAGATGCGAATGTTGCCTCCGCACCGATTCAAACCCGCGCCGAGCCTCCTCCCATTCCGACACCACAAGGGAGAAGAGCGGAGCCGCCGCCGCCGCCGCCGCCACCACCGCCACCGCCACCGCCGCGGTCCCCGGAGCGAGCGAGCGACCCTGCCGCGCGGGGAGCCTCACCGGGAGCCGCGCTCCGCCAGCCCGCCCCAGGCCGCCGCCGCCGCCGCCGCTCACCCACCTTGCCGCGGCGCGCCCTCGCTGTGGCCGTGAGGAACCGAGCCCAGCGCTGCCAAGTTGCCTGGGTCTGGAGCGTATCGTGTTACAGCGCCTGGCTCCGGGCTCGGGCTGCGCGCGGCGGCCAGACATGATAGGCTGAGGCTCCTCTGTTTACACCCGGCCGCCGAGGGGGCGGTGCGCCGCTTAACCCCTTCGCGCCGGGCCGCCACCGCCGCCTCCCGCCAGCCCCGCGCCCAGCGCCCCGGCTCGGCCGCCGCCTCACCCCCTCGCCTCACCCCCTCGCCCCGCTCCACACACGCGGGCCGGGGCCTGTGAGCAGCCGTGCCCCCAGCGAAGACGGGGGAACTGCACTGAGAACCCGCTCCCGGCACCCTCCGAAGACCCCGCGGGGCGGCATCCTCCCCTCCACACACGCACGCTCGCGAGCCGCCCCGGGCAGCGGCCGTGTTCCTCGGCGGGGCTTCGCCGGCGGCTTTTGATCCCGCCTCAGAGCTGTTCTCCGGCAGCGCTACTTTCCCGTGCTCACAAAAGCATCTCTCTCCCAACCCATGAACGGATCCCGACCCCTGCTCTGCCACCATTCATGCGTCCCGCATCCGAGGTGTCGCCTTCACCCACACGCCCCACGGCCCCGCGAAACTCGGCCCTCCAGCTCGCGGGACGCGCTGCCTGCCAGGCGGGCCCGGCGGTACCTCGGGGGCGGGAGGGGTCGGTCGCAGGGCCCCCAGCCTGGCGCCCGCGGGGCGTCCGCAGCGAAGGGGTGGGTGTCGCTCGTGAACGCAGCAGGGACCAGCTCAGCCCGCGCTCGCCCCTGGGCCTCGGCCACCGCCTCTCCGCCACTTTCTCGGCCCCTGCGTGGACCGGCCCGTGGCGGGGGCTGCTCTGCGCCCTCGTCCCCGCAGCAGTCGCGGACCCCCATTAACGTTGACGAGTCAGTGTCGCGACCCGGGGAGAGAAGACGGTACCAGGGGCTGAAGGCATGTGTGCAAGTGGCCCGAGCCACTCTCCATGATATACCAGGGCTGGACAGCCCTGATCCGGAATAGCTCATGTGGTGTTCTAACTAGCTTTACTTTTAAATAAAACATACTTCAACATTGCATCACTTAAATTTTTATAAAAAATTGTGTTTTTTCCCCTCCAGATCCACTATTATCATTATTTTTGCATTGCTTCCAGTCCAACGTCCTTCCTTTAATTTTTCTTCCAGAACATTCCATCCCCTCCAGCCTCTTCCTCCATTAAACTGAGAATTGAATGACTGAATGTTCGTGAATTTTTAGATTCACCGGTGCTTTCTTCCAATCCCTCCAAACCTCTCATTTTTATAAAGAAACAAGGAAAACATGAAGCACCTTACATCACAATACCAGTATCAACAACATATCTTTATCAGCTCTCATTCCATATTTTAACTACCTTCTAAATACAGACCCAAACCAAAAAATTAATACTTTAAGAAAGGAAGGATCAGTGTTCTCTTTTCATTTATCAGTAAGATTAGCAGACTGCAATTAGAATTTCTCTCTTCCCCCACGGTCTTTCCTCCAGTAAAGACAAAATGCTTTCCTCATTCCCATGATTCAACAACAACAGTAATTTCCTTATCTTCTTGAACATACTAGCTTTACCTTGACTTTTGTCGCTTTTTATACCCAATGCTACAAGAATATGAATACAGCTCTTCTACCTCTTTGTAGATACTTTTCTTTCTCATTTTCCATTACGTCTAAGACATCCATCCTCATACATGGAAATATCTAACGCCGCTCAGGGTTTAAGCAGTCTCCACACCTTAGTTTTTTTTTTTTTCTATCACTAACTCTGGGTCTCTAAAATCGTGACTCACAAACACACTCTATTACAACGTCACAACCAGCCTGTCTATTCCTCCGTTAATGATCAATATATTCACCCTTTAATTGGGACACTATGAAGATATCATAGAAATTATTTAAACACAAGGCGGTTATTTAAAATTTAGACATTCCTTTGACACTGTATAAATTTTGAAGTTATTTCAGGGTTTTGAAATTCTTTCTCTTTAGTAAATTGGGTCAAAAAATAGAACAATAGGTATGTTGTTGGGCACTGCAAAACTTCTAAGCTCTTAAGCAAATATCTTCCTTAAGTCTTAATGTTTTGAAAAGGATCATTTCACAAATCAATGCAATGCATGTGTCTTCTGAGGGGGGTGGGGGGTCACCTGAAGTAACTGCAAATAAACACCATATAACTAGGGCAGAGGATGAAGATGATGTTGTTCAATTGGAATCTTTGAAGAATTAAATTGGCAGAACATTACACGGTTAAAATTTGCCAAGAGGCTGGGCGGCATGTCTCATGTCTCTAATCCCAGCATTTTGGGAGATGGAGGCAGGCAGACTGCTTGAGCCCAGGAGTTCAAGACCAACCTGAGCAATATAGGGAGACTCCGTCTCTTAAAAAAAAAAAAAAAGTGCTAGGACCTGGGGGCTTGTCTATGCTTCAAAAATGCACTCCTTGATTTTTGACAACCACAAGTTAGCAAATCTGGACTTGGACTAGAACGTTCGAATGCAGAAAGATAAGCACACTAATGGAAGAATGAAAGGTTTTAAGATCTTAAACCATTGTTTGGGTCAAGATGAATCTCAAGAAGACTGATCCTCTGACCTGCTCATTTCCCCAGATGAATGCTATGTAAATTGGTCACTGATTGATAGCATTTATTAAAATTTCCATTTAAAATGCTAATTAGATATAAGTATTACATACAGGTTAGGCAAAATTTTATATTGGAGTGTACTGGAGTATTCTACATGTATATCTAGTTCCACCTTTTCTGAATACAAAACTAATTATGTATTTCCAAATTAGACAAAGATGGGATCCTTTGAGAATAATCAAGGATTTA
This sequence comes from Homo sapiens, assembly GCF_000001405.40. Lineage (NCBI taxonomy): Eukaryota > Metazoa > Chordata > Mammalia > Primates > Hominidae > Homo > Homo sapiens. The sequence continues at coordinate 182,446,188 of NC_000004.12, read as the reverse complement.
CACTGAACGAAGCTGAGCAGTAGCAGTAGCAGCCCATGGGGCAAAGGCAGAGGAAGAGACATGGTTTTAAACAATTTCTATTGTTGAAAAGTGAAGGATGGTTTCCACATATATCTTCCCAAGAAAAGATACACAGTTTTGTGGACACCCCCATGCATACATTAAATCACTGCCGTCTTTTAAATACAGGAGTCCACCAAAGAGTTCCACAGAGACGTGTAATGAGGCCCACGTTCAACTTCTGTTTTCTTCTACTATAGTTTGCCATATCGATGATGTCAGAGATAATTAGCATTATGGATATCGCCTTCTATAACTTAAGCAATTCTTGTCTAAGATCTGCGGAATTCCCCACAGTTCCATGAGCAGACACTATCAAATATATTGAATTATGTGGCTATTTTATGTTGTGAATGAATAACCACGTGGAATCATACTTGGAATATTAAATGAATTTTACTTAAAACTGAATTCAGTTCTTTAGGCATAAAAATCTAATGACCGAACACCACGAGGAAGATTTTTAAAAATGCATGAACCAAACCAAATCAAAGCAAATTGTATTTAAAAAAAAAAATAAAAAGTCCACAAATGAGCTGTTACTTCAAACTGGCACCAACTTAGCTTCATATTAAGAATGCTTCTGACCTCTCTCTCCTTAGGACAAAAACCTTGAAGAAAAATCGAATTGTAACCGACACTGAGATTATTACCTTTCCCGCTAATTATTAAGTACCAAATCCACATTGTCAGAGGTGCTAATACAAAATCAAAATCAAACACTCATAGCTATACTAAATAGATGATTATGATTAAAGCTAACACTAAGCACTTCATTTTATGACTGGCATTTGATACACACCATTTTTATTTAATTTTCTAATCTCATATGAGAAGAGTAATATCATCCCATTTTATAGATGAAGAACTGGAGCTTAGAGAAGTTAATCATGTGCCCACATAGTTACAGAGTGCTTGGGCCTAAACACAGTTCCAGGTTTGATGGACTCAGGAGCCTGCCGCTTAACCATTTCTCTAAATATTTAGACAGTATTGACTCAATAGTTAAAGCTGGTTATTGGCCAGGCACGGTGGCTCACACCTGTAATCCCAGCACTTTGGGAGGCCGAGGTGGGTGGATCACCTGAGGTCAGGAGTTCGAGACCAGCCTGGCCAACATAGTGAAACCCCATCTCCACTAAAAATACAAAAAATTAGCCGGGTGTGTTGGCATCCCCCTGTAATCCCAGCTACTCGAGAGGCTAGGGCAGGAGAATCACTTGAACATGGGAGGTGGAGGTTGCAGGTTGCAGTGAGCCCAGATCGCGCCATTGCATTCCAGCCTGGGCAGCTGGGCAGGAAGAGCAAAACTCCATCGCAACAAAAAAGAAAGCTGGTTGTTAGGAGTGTAGTTCACCGTTTAAATAAAATTTATCAGGATAAGCCCCACCAAAGATTTGGAAACATAATATTCCATTTAAAAATTGATAACTTGTGGATTTGAGAAGGAGCAAAATAAAAAAAGGGATAGTCCTCGATTTCTCCTGTGTTTTCAAATTACCTCAAGAGGTCAGGAAACAAATAGGCCAATATTAGTATCCTCTGAGAGCTGTAATCTTATAGAGGAAAAAAATGGCTAACAAACATTCCTAAACACCGGAATTAGGGATTGTCGTAGGTCAATATATGTCTGTCCCTCTAGAATCTAGTCTGTTTAGACTGACTCTTAAAAATTATACCTTTATTTGTAAATATATATATATTTTTAAAAGCATATCAAAGAAATTGTTACCAAAATTATAGCACACTGAGATCAATTGGTAATAATAATGGTACATTAGTTAGATCCTGTGAATAAAATTGTAGATTTTGTCTTATGTTTTGCCAACTGTTATTTTGTCAGTAGCACATAACTTTCTAACAGCTATATGGACTCTGATGTAAAACTATAAGCTGACATAAAACTATATTTAAAATCATGGGTCTTTTCTCCAGTAAAGTTCGATTATCATTTACATTGGAACAGAAATAAAGGTTTGAAAACAAAGTCTTGTAATAAAGGCCAATTCATAATTTTTCACAGATGTCTACAGTAAATCTAAAAGGCTAGTGTAATAGCTAGGTGATTCTTTCTTTGATTTACCCTATGGAAAAATCCACCCACAATAGACATATTTATTTCACAATAATAAATGACCCACATCTGAAATCATTTCTAAAGGTGAGTTCTCTTTACTTTTAAAGGTGTTAAATTATTTCACCCCCCAAAAACCAAATGCTTTGTGGAATCTGATACATGATGAAGACTTAGGGCTCTTTCTTTAGATATCCAATCATGTCCACTGCTTGCCAAAAGCACTGGTCCTTAATTTTGTCCTAATTCAGATGACCTTGGGCAGGAGCCTACTGGGTCCTCTACAGCCTGGGCAGGCAGGGAGGAGGAGGAAGCAGGATCTGGGTGTGTGTGATGAGGTCTGGACTCTTTGTAGGGGGCAGTCAAGCAATGTGCTGTATACGAAAGGCTTAGTGAGCTTCAGTCCTGTCCTGGCAACTATCCAAGTAGGAGGGAAGGGGGTGAGGTAGGGACATCATTCCTACCTGGTGGTGAGAGCAGGAGAGAGGCAGGAGGGCAGAGCTTCAAGAGAAATCCAGATGGCCAGCAAGAGTTAGCTGGGGCTGTGGATGCCAGGAACTGAGTACGTAGCAAGAGCTGAGGACCCAACCCAAGTCAAGCCATCAGGTGTCCAACAATGTTAGAAGACAATCTATAGCACAGAGAAGTATATGGAAGCCTAGTTTTATCAGTAACCTCCATGACTAGGGAAGGACAGGAGTGGCCAAGCTAGAGGGAGTGCTGCTTATCCCTGGCACATTGGATTCAGGGGCTGCAGACACACTAATTCCTAGGCCCACCCAGGGATGGCAGTATGTGTCTATGCTTGGCAACTTATTGGGGTTCACCTGACTTTTAGGCTTTGATAATATGAATACATTTTGGGGAGTATTTTGAATGTATTCTTTGGCAGTCCAAGATAAAGAAATGGAAGTGTGATAAATAAAGATGATTGAATTGTTTTTAATTATGGAGCAAATTCTTCAATCTGGACCATCTGTTTCCAACCATCATTCCATTCACCCATTCCCAAAACACTTGTGTTGGTTCTCAGGCCAGACACGGTGGCTCATGCCTGTAATCTAACACTTTGGAAGGCTGAGATGATGGATCATTTGAGCCCAGGAGTTCAAGACCAGCCTGAGCAACATGGCGAAACTACATCTCTACAGAAAAGAACCCATATATATATATATGTGTGTGTGTGTGTGTGTGTGTGTGTGTGTGTATATATGTATGTATGTATATATATGTATATATATGTGTATATACACACACACACACACACATATGTACACACACACACACACACACAAATTAGTCGAGTGTGCTGGCATATGCCTGTAGTCCCAGTTAGTCTGGAGGCTGAGGCAGGAGGATCACTTGAGCCTCGGAGGTGGAGGTTGCAGTGAGCCATGATTGTGCCACTGCACTCCAGCCTGGGTGACAAAGCAAGACTCTATCTCTAAAAAAACAAGCAAACAAACAAAAAGACCAAGCATTTTTGGTTGAATGTCAAAAATCTTTGAAATTAAATGTATTACTATAAGTACTTTGTTTTGATTGTTTAGAAAGGAAGAATTATTCATTGGTGACTAGTGCAGTGGTGTTGTCAGATGGGTAGTTGTCTATAGTGGCAATAGCCGTGCATAGATCAAATCCTTTATGCAGTGGACAGAACATAGAAATCACACAAACTTTTATATTAACCCTTTACAATTTATAATATCAACCATTTCAAAAGAATCCATATGTACTAAGATATTTTTGCAAATAGTTTAACATATCTTTATTGACAAATAAATTTAGATAATAATTATTAATTTCAGGTGTTTTCATGATATAGTCATATAGAATGTGTTTTTCAGGATTTTCTGACTTTGTGAACACGATTTATGAGTATGCACATATATTTATGCATCATTGTGGATAGAGGAAGTACATGCTCCATACCTCTGCATTTTAGCTGACCAATTTCTGCTTGCTCATAACTTGGCTTAGAAGTCAGTTCTTCCATTTAGCCTTGCCTGATTCACCAAGAATAGTTTATGGGCCCCTCTTCTGCATTCCCATTCAGCTCCGTAAATACTCTTTTCCTGCCTTCATCGTACTATATTCTGCTCCCTGTCTACTTGTCTGTAGCTCCTTCCAGACCACGAACATACGAGCATAGGGACGATTTCTTTGCTGATTTCTTAACATTTGGCATAGTGTCTTGCACAAAAGAGACACCAAATAAATGCTGGTTTGGGCCAGGTACAGTGGCTCACGCCTATAATCCCAGCACTTTGGGAGTCAGAGGTGGGCAGATCACAAGGTCAGGAGTTCGAGGCAGGCAGATCATCAGGTCAGGAGTTCAAGACCAGCCTGGCCAACATAGTGAAACCCCATCTCTACTAAAAATACAAAAATTAGCTGGGCGTGGTGGCACGTGCCTGTAGTCCCAGCTACTAGGGAGGCTGAGGCAGGAGGATCACTTGAACCTGGGAGGCAGAGGTTGTGGTGAGCGGAGATTGCACCACTGCACTCCAGCCTGGGCAACAGAGCGAGACTCCATCTCAAAAAATAATAATAAATAAAATAAATGCTGGTTTGGGAATGAGTGGATGGATGGATGAATGGATGGGTCAATGGAAATGAAGAATCCAGATTTTAAAAAATTGCTTGCTGATTAAAATGATTCTTTCCTATGTATACATCACACTATTCTGTAATTATTGTTTTCTTTTTCTCTTTCTGTCTGTCTGTCTGTGTCTCTCTCACATACTCCTAAGCTAACATAAACCTCACGAGGGCAGAGGCTGTGACCTAATGTCACCTAGCACCATTGATAGTTCAAGGTCATTATTTTAGAAAAATCTATACATACATTTTTTGTTTATAAAAATTACAGGATTATAAAACCGAACATAAACTTAATACATGATCTAATTTTGTGATACCCTCCCAGATCGCTCTCAGATATAATCCAGTCTAAATTACACCACACACAGATGAATTTATTTGGTTAAAAAAAAGCCCTTCCGTGCCATAGCCATTCCAAGTAATACATTACAATGTTTTACATTGTTTACTGAGGGCAATTCTATTTTAAGAGTCTCTAACTTAAGCAGAAAAGGTAACTATCGGGAACTGGGCTTAATACCTGGGTGATGGGATAATATCTACAACAAACCCCGTGACACGTGTTTACTTATGTAACAAACCTTCACATGTATCCCCAAACCTGAAATAAAAGTCGAAAAAAAAAAAAACCTCTAGAGCTACAATTTATGCTCAATGCCTTCCGCACGGTCTTCCGCAGAAGTGAGGAGCAGCTGGTCACCATTTTCTCAATAAGGACCTTTCATATACTTAATGATAATTATTCTCAAATCTTCCCTTAAAATCCACATCGTCATGTTAAACTCATTATTACTACCATTTCCTCATGGGTCTGTTTTTCATCTCTTTCATCTTCTTAAAGGCTCTTCTCTGAACTTCCTCTGTAGGACTGGGGGTGGAGGTAGCTGAGAACCATCACCTTTGAGTCATCAGGCTGTAGATCTAGACATGTAGGCCCAGGAAGAGTAGAAAGCTCTATGATAAGACAAATGGCGTAGAGAAACGAAATGGAGTGAAGTGAGCATTGCTTTGGCTATCTGTATTTAAAGGTGCCCATCAGAGCCAGCTGCAGTGGCTCACGCCTGTAATCCCAGCACTTTGGGAGGCCGAGGCGGGTGGATCATGAGGTCAGGAGTTCAAGACCAGCCTGGCCAAGATGGTGACACCCCGTCTCTACTAAAAATACAAAAAAATTAGCTGGGCGTGGTGGTGCGTGCCTGTAGTCCCAGTTACTTGGGAGGCTGAGGCAGAGAATCGCTTGAACCCGAGAGGCGGAGGTTGCAGTGAGCCGAGATCGCACGGCTGCACTCCAGCCTGGGCAACAGAGCGAGACTCCGTCAAAAAAAAAAAAAAAAAAGGTGCCCACCAGGAGTTTGCAGCTGGAAGAAGGGGGTTTCGTTCTATAATGTAGATTTACTAACCTGGTTCCCTAACAGTGATACTTACGAGAGCAGATGAGATTTCAGAGGCAATGAGTAAACGAAGACAGCAACCAGCCAAGCTGGAATCTTGGTGGATGCTTACATAGAGGGGCCAGAGAGAGGAAGTTCACCCAATGGGGAGACAGAAGGCACCGTCTGGGAAGTTGGAGAGAATCTGCAGTGTAAAACGACGAAGAAGCCCCAAGTAGAGATTTCAAGAATTGGGACAGGGAATGGTGTGGGTGATGGTTAACAAAGATACATGTTACAGATTAATACTTCTAATGATTGAAGAAAAGGTCTTGAAATTGGCAGGAAGAAGCAATTTTCGATCTAAAGGAGAATAATTCTAGTAGAATAATGGGGTGAATGTCAGAGGTAATGGGTATTGAAAACCAAGTGGATGGTGGGGAAATAGAGACAGCTAGTTTACACACCAGATTTTTTCTTCAAACCTTCTAGATTTGAATTCCTCTCACATTTATTGAATGCCTATTATGTGCCTGAAACACCTTAGGTTCTTTCACATGAAATGCCTTGTTTAATCGTCACAGGACATCCCTAGATTAAAACTAAAGTAGAAAACCGTATTTCCATTATTTAAAATACCCTGTAGGAAAAAATATACAAATTCTTTTAGGCAAATTTCTACCTAGGGTCTGTCTTGGTTTATAAAAAGCCAATGTGCTTAGGGTCTTGCTAGGGGCAACTTCAGCAGCTTAAGGGAAATCATAGAAACATACACAGTAAGTAATATAGGAGAAGAGAGTTCTCTAAAAAGAGGAGAGAAGGGAGAGTGAAAAACAGGTAGAGTCAGAGGCTGTCAGGTAAGGAAAACTCAATTACTGTCTAGTCCTGGGGACTTTCAGCTTCAGAGTGATAACAAACTTCACAGATGTATCTGTACAGAGGGAATTGAGTCTTGCAAAAGATCTGGAGTCATTGAAAGGCAAAATAAGGGCATCTATTAATCGATGCTGAGCAAGTTAAATGTAACTCCTGAGGCCATGGCAAACTGAAGATCCTGACCACAAAGGCAAGTGTCCACGTGTAGATTTTGACACTGGACCATCCAGATGTTTCAGAGCCTATCATCCTTGGTGGCCATTTGACTGAAATAGAAACCACTGTAAAAATATGTAGAACTATGTTATTTTTGGCCAAAGGCCTTTGCAAGATTTTCAACAAAAGCTTTGTACAATGTGATCATTCAAATGAATTTTAAAAATTAAGGCAGAAGAAGTTAGAGTATTTTAGAATTAATTTCATAATATTACTCATTAGATCAATATATCACTATGTCACCTTAACTACAGAGTCTAAGATAGCCTCAGTACAGATGATATAAGCAGCCAGCATAAGTAAAAATGTTCTCAAAGTTAGGTACAAGTGTATGTTGAATAACTGCATCTTTTTTGGTTGTATTCTACAGTGGTTGTTGGGCAAATTTACCTTCAAGGAATTTCTGGCAGGGTTTCATAAGGATGGCTAGAATGAGGAATTTTCTAACTGGAAAAAAAACAAGTCAGTTTCTGATTAACAGCAATTTATGATTAGTGAGAAAGGCCTTAAATTATTTCTGGGCATCTATGCCATAAAAAAGCTTACTCTATTGCGTGATGATGATTTCTACCAACTTTAATAAAAACATGTAGTTTCATAACCAGCGCCAGGAAAATGCATGGCTGAAACTCAGACAAGCAGATATCTTTAAGCTTTAGACTACTTAAATAATGGTCACTGCAGTTGATGATAAAAATGAACTCACTGCAAAATAAAATAATTTAAAAGAAACAAAATAGCTTAAATAGTTTGCACACTAAAGGAGCAAAGAAACATCACAGCTCACCCTTCAAGAATTTCTCTACTTCTCTATAAATTCTCTAGAAATCAGGAAACCTGGGTTCAGGATATTATTCTTCTGACCAGCTGTGTAACCTTGGTAACTCTTAAGTTATCTGGGTCTCATTTTTTCCCTCTAAAAAGAAATCTCTCAGATCACTTGCAACCTTTAAATGGCCATCCAGGAGGTTCCTCCAGTTTCTTTAATGTCTTAGGATAATAGTTTTCTGTTGCTTTATTTATTTATTTATTTATTTGAGACAGGATCTCGCTCTGTTGCTCAGGCTGGAGTGCTGTGGTGCTATCTCGGCTCACTGCAACCACTGCTTCCTGGGCTCAAGCAATCCTCCCATCTCAGCCTCTGGAGTAGCTGGGACTACAGGTGCCCGCCCAGATATTTTTTTTTTTTTTTAGACGGAGTCTCGCTCTGTCATCCAGGCTGAAGTGCGGTGGTGCGATCTCACCTCACTGCAACCTCTGCCTCCTGGGTTCAAGTGATTCTCCTGCCTCAGCCTCCAGAATAGTTGGGATTACAAGCGCCTACCACCACGTCTGGCTAACTTTTTTATGTTTTTAGTGGAGATGGAGTTTCACCATGTTGGCCAGGCTGGTCTCTAACTCTTGACCTCGAGTGATCTGCCCACTTGGCCTCCCAAAGTGTTGGGATTACAGGCATGAGCCACCGCACCCAGCCAGCCATCAGCTATTTTTTTTGTATTTTTTGTAGAGACAAGGTTTTGCCATGTTGCCCAGGCTGATCTTGAACTCCTAGGCTCAAGGGATTCTCCCACCTCTGCCTCCCAAAGTGCTGGGATTACAGGAGTGAGCAACGATGGCTGGCCTCAGTAGCTGTATTTTAAAATTCATTCATTTTCTTAAGGTTTTTCCCTTTCTACCCTCCTGAGTTTGTTGCCTATCTATCCACTATAAAATTACAGATCAAGCTTTGGTTTGTTTATTTTGAAGAATGAATTAAAGAAGCTCACTCAGCTATTTCCAAATGTTAACTTCTTAATGCATATACGATTTAGAGAACAGCTATTTTTGTCTTTATTCTACCCCATATGGTAACATTTGGTGTGTTAAGATAGTAGGCACATTTCAATGCATTTAAGAGGTGAGAAGTTGAGAAGTTCTTTCCTTCATGAGAATAGCACTGGTGCATTTTTTTTTTTTTTTGGAGGCGGAGTTTCGTTCTTGCTGCCCAGGCTGGAGTGCAATGGCACAGTCTTGGCTCACTGTAACCTCCGCCTCCTGGGTTCAAGCAATTCTCCTGCCTCAGCCTCCCTAGTACTCCCTAGTAGCTGGGATAACAGGTGCCCACCACCACGCCTGGCTAATTTTTGTATTTTTAGTAGAGATGGGGTTTCACCATGTTGGCCAGGCTGGTCTCGAACTCCTGACCTCAGATGATCTGCCCGCCTTGGCCTCCCAAAGTGCTGGGATTACAGGTGTGAGCCACCATGCCTGGCCAAGAATTGCACTGGTGCATTTTTTAGAAGTCAAGAGAGGTAACAAGGTGTGTGTGACCTATATTATCATATGTTTATTAAATTGGTGGTGGCAAGGATCTAACCACAGCCATATCATGTGCTTTTATTCTTCCTACCGAAGGTGTACATACTTTGCAAGATCTCTCTTTTCCAATGATTCGGTGTCTTATCAACAACTTGAAATAAGGCGTTCCACAAATAGGAGGCTCTTTGTATGTGTCACACACGTTAGAGCGCATCACCAGTTTCCTAACAGAAGAGATTATGCAGCACCACCAAATGCTGCAACCTAAAAGGAACTCGAAGCTTACTGCTCAATCCCCTGCCTTCTCACAGGGCAGCTGGTGAGTATGACCCCGAAGACAGACAAAGCTGCAGTCGTTGTGAATCCTGCCCCTTCCATGATGTTCTCCCAGGATATCCTATTCACAGGGTTACGCACTCGGAACTCGGTCCGTTTGGATAAGGGAAACATCTCCCTTACTTATTAGTGATCCTAAATATTGTTAACATGACTCCCCATACTCCCTTAAGCAAAGAAGTGGAGAGAGACATTATGATATGCCTAAAGGCATCTGTTAAAGCAAAGGAACTGCTGTCAATAGAAAATGAGAGTCCCTACGACCTTCACAGTCAAACAGAAAGCTGTCCAGCCCCCTCTGGTTAATGTGAAATTTAATTAATATCACTGTATCTAGTAAAAAGAAAAAAAAAGCACTATTTTTCCTGTGCCTAGAGTTAGAATATTTATAATATGCCATTTCTTTTTTTTTTCTGAAGGATCAACAAGACTTTCCAAAGAGTAAAATATAAATCTATATTCAATTTTCTTCCAATTATGGAGAAATAAACCAACTTCAGGTCTTCCTTATGTATGTACTAACTGTGAGTTTGATGCCTTTTTAATCTCATGAGAAAATAGCTAAAGATCACCTTCCTCTGCAGAGGCAGGAACTACATATGCCTAAAAAGGGAATCTTTGAAAATTCTTAAATTAATTCTTGTGCCTTTTTCCCTATTCTATTTCAAATCAATTTCCTATTTTCTCACATTCCTCCCGGCTGGCAGCTGCTCCTTCTGGGCCTTTATCTGGCCCAAGGAAGGCAGGCAGGCAGGCAAGCAGTTGCCTGTTCACCGATGCCAGCCCTGTTCCCATGCTGGAGACAGAATATCTAATCTCCATATTACAAGCAGCTTCCAATTGCCCCTCTCTTAAAAAGCATCTTAACACTTGGGTCTATAGGCTAGGATCCCCCGTCTTTTTTCTTGTTGGCTTGTTGGGAATCAAAACGCTTTTTCCTGGCATAAAGACTTGCTGAAAAAGGAAAACAATAACAACCAACTCACAAGTCAAGTCACAGAAGAAAAAAAATTCACCTGCAGTATAAACACTTAAGATAGAAGAAGTCATGTAATAAACACCATATTTGTAGACTGTCTGAAGCAATACAGTTGAAGGAAAATAGCTCTCTGTAGTGGTCTGGCAGGGAGAATTGACTCTACTGAACAAAACCGTAACTTCCATAAAACCGTGGAACCGGAGAGACCACCAGCAAAGACTATGACAAACACTTCTCCTCACCCCCAGAACGGACAGTTACTTAAATGGAAATGGCATCTAGCATTCTCGATGTGTTTGACTTTGCATCAGATTCTTCTTGGGATATTTCCAGAATTATATTTTTATAGACTTCAAAGATGCCAGCAAAAGAACAACTTGTGTCCTGGCAATTCCCGTGGAAATGCTCCATGCCTTTCCTGTACTCATTGTTCTGTTGATCACTGCTGAAGTGATATGCTCAGACCCCAGGCTGAGCTGTGTGGCTGTCTTTCAGCTTCTCCGTAGAGGTCCAGCCTAGCCAAGATGACCAATCATCACCCTTGGCAAAGATTACCGGTCCTCTAATTGGAGATTCCTTGTGAATGGATTTCTAAGTCTTTTTTCTCTTGTAGTGTGTGGTAAAAGAAAAATATACCCTGATAATAATCTCTGGGGTGCAATTTGATAAGCTCAAGCAGAAAAAAGCAACCTTAAAAATAAAGTATACCAATATACGGTTTTTTTTTTTTTGTCTCCCAGGCTGGAGTGCAGTGGTGCGATCTTGGCTCACTGCAACTTCTGCCTCCTGGGTTCAAGTGATTCTCCTGCCTCAGACTCCCGAGTAGCTGAGACTACAGGTGCCCACCATCACGCTCGGCTAATTTTTGCATTGTTAGTAGATACGGTGTTTCACCATGTTGGCCAGGCTTTTCTCGAACTCCTGACCTCAGGTGATCCACCCATCTTGGCCTCCCAAAGTACTGGGATTATAGGTGTGAGCCATGGCACCCAGCCAGCTATACTATTATTTAATTTTAATTCTATGAAGTACAACTATAAAGTTCTACATGCAGAGCAAGTTACATATTTCCAAAAACAGGTCCTGCTTCTGATTTTGCCTTTTTTTCTCAAGGTTATCACCATTCTCAGTCACCTCCTTTCCCGGTCCTCACCATGTTCAATGAGAAGTAATTGTAGCACTTCTATTTTCACAATGATCTGTTCCATCCATGTTTTCTTTTTACTTCTTCTGAAACTACTCTACCTTTTTTTTTTTTAATGGAGGCAGCCTCTTGTTCTGTCACCCAGGCTAGATTGCAATGGTGCAATCCTAGCTCACTGCGACCTCAAACTCCTAAATTCAAAGGATCCTTCTGCCTCAGTCTCCCGAGCAGCAGGGACTACAAGCATGCCACCATGCTAGCCTAATTTTTAAAATGTTTTGTAGAGGTGGGTTCCCACTATGTTGCACTGGCTGATCTCAAACTCCTGGCCTCAAGTCATCCTCCACTTTGGTCTCCCAAAGAGCTGGGATTACAGGCATGAGCCATCACGCCACCCAGCCATCAAAATGACTCTCCTTCAAAAATCTCATTATAACTATCCTAGATATCTCAATAATCTATTACATGGCCTCTGTATTCACACTCCAACCCATATTCTAGTTAAATCTTCCTAATGACATATTTGCAAATGCTCCTCCCATGTTCAAATCCTCATTGAATGCTACTGACTTGAGAGTAACTCCCATTCCTCAGCCTATTATTTCAGGAGACCACTCGAGTTTTATCTTGCACTTGACGAAGTGATTTTTCTCAGTCATGCCCCTACCCTTTTTCTGCCCTCTGTACATCACGTCACTTCCTTTGCTTAGCTGCCCTTCCTCTCGTCCTCCCTTTCTTCTGTCTCCTTCTTTCTTTGTCTCTGACTTTCATAATCACTGCCATCTTCCAAGGTTTACCTCACAAATTATGCTATTCCATGACTTCGGTTTTCAGCCAGGCTCATATCCAATTGTTTAATGTCTTCTGTAGGATGTCCCACAAGCACCTATTGTAAAGCTGAAATAGTCCTCTTCCACAAACTCGTATCTCATCCTGCATTCCCTGCGTCCATGAATGAAACCTCTCTATCCACTTAACTGCTCAGGAAAATATCTAGATGCCATTCTCCAACATCTTCTCTTATTGGCACTGTCTTCCCCCACTCACCATGCGAAATCTATCCACAGGCCCTCTGGTTAGATTCAAAATATTTTCCATCACCACAATCACTACCTCTGCTAATGCAATCATTATCTTTCACTTGAATGCAGTATCATACCTTCCTCTATTTGTGTTTTCCTCCAACACATTCTTCACACTGCATTCAGAAACACCTGTTTAAAAATAGGATCCTATTCACTTCCTGGCCAGGCACAGTGGCTCAAGCCTGTAATCCCAGCACTTTGGGATGCCAAGGCAGGCAGATCACCTGAGGTCAGGAGTTAAAGACCAGCCTGGCCAACATAGTGAAACCATCTCTACTAAAACACACACACACACACCCAAATCCATTCCCTGATGAAAAATTTGAAAACTGTAAATGACCCCCCAGTGCCATTGGGATAACATCCAAGCTCCTTAGTAGGGCCTGTAAGATCCTTTGTGGCCTCGCCTCTCCTTGCAGTTTTGGCTTCAGCCGTGGTTTCTACCACTTTGGCCAGGACATTTCTCCTCTGTGTCTGGAAGAGCATCCTTCCTTGGCTAACACCTATTTGTCCTTCATGCCTTAACTTAGATGTCTCCTCTTCTGTCCTGAAATCTTTCCTGTCCCCTCAAGGTTGGTCATCACTTGGCTTTTGTATATATTCACTGTATGAAGAAAACATAATTATCACAGCAGTTATTACATTGTACATATTGTCCTAAAAATAATTTACATTGTTAAGCATGATTGGTTTAATGTTGGTGGAATAACGTTGTATATCATGCAAAGCATTTAACATATACAAAAGCATTTAACCTGACTACAATCCAATGTAAAGACTTCTGCATGTCAGAGAAAATTATAACAAAAATATATCAAAATGGGTGCAAATTTAGGTTGATGTCCAACAAAATAGTGAACATAAAACACATTGTGAATTCCTAGCCTACCTTAAATGCCTTTTTACTCAACTTTTACACGTAGAAATTTTATCTATTCTTTGGCATTTCATGTCGTCTTCTTCTCAAAGCCTTCTTGGACCAATTAATCAACATTAATCTCTTTCTCTCTTGTATTCCCCTGGCTCTTACTTTTTTTCTTTTCTTTTCTTTCTTTCTTTTTTTTTTTTTTGAGACTTTCTCTGTTGCCCAGGCTGGAGTGCAGTAGCGCGATCTCGGATCTCGGCCCACTGCAACCTCCACCTCCCAGGTTCAAGCGATTCTACTGCCACAGCCTCCTGAGTAACTGGGATTACAGGCACCCGCCACCACCCTCTGTAATTTTTCTATTTTTAGTAGAGATGGGGTTTCACCATGTTGCCCAGACTGGTCTCAAACTCCTGACCTCAGGTGATCTGCCTGCCTTGGCCTTCCAAAGTGCTGGGATTACAGGTGTAAACCACTATGCCCGGCCCTGGCTCTTCATTTCTGATTGTATTACACCATGATGTCCAGTGCTTACTGTGGCTACTCATAAGTAATTCTAATGCGACACATCCAAAGTCAAATGCCACCTGCCACCCTGACCCCTGCAGGCATTCCCCGTGTCCCTAGTGTCTCAGTTCACATAGCTCTCCATCTAGTTAACCAAGGTAGAAATTTCAATTGTCTTTCCTCCAAGTCCTACGTAAAATCCATTATCAAATCCTGATGCTTCTGTTGTTCCTTAGTTAGGTCTTGAATCTCACCCATCCTTTTCTTTTCTTTTCTTTGTATTGAGAGGGAGTCTCGCTTTGTTGCCAGCTGGAGTGCAGTGGCGCGATCTCGGCACACTGCAAGCTCCACCTCCCGGGTTCAAGCTATTCTTCTGCCTCAGCCTCCTGAGTAGCTGGGACTACAGGCATGTGCCACCACGCCCAGCTAATTTTTGTATTTTTAGTAGAGATGGGGTTTCACCATGTTGGCCAGGATGGTCTCGAACTCTTGACCTCATAATCCGCCTGTCTCGGTCTCCCAAAGTGCTGGGATTACAGGATGAGCCCCCACGCCCGGCCTCATCCCTCCTTTTCTATTCATGAAAGCACCATCCAGACCTAGACCCTTATCACCTTATACCTGGTTCTTTGTAATAGCATCCTAAATATTCATTGTCTCCCCTTTTCTCACCTCATCAGTACCCCCTTTCCATGCTACCAAAGTCAGTTATTTATTTGTTTGTTTGTTTGTTTGTTTATTTATTTATTTATTTATTTATTTAGAGATGGAGTCTTGCTGTGTCACCCAGGCTGGAGTGCAATGGCACAATCTCGGCTCACTGCAATCTCCACCTCCTGGGTTCAAGTGATTCTCCTATCTTAGCCTCCCGAGTAGCTGGGATTACAGGTGCCCACCACCATGCCCAGTTAATTTTTGTATTTTTAGTAGAGACAGGGTTTCACCATGTTGCCCAAACTGGTCTCAAACACCTGACCTCAGGTGATCCGCCCGCCTCGGCTCCTGCAGTGCTGGGATTACAGGCGTGAGCCACCACGCCCAGCCCAAAGTTATCTTTCAAAAACACAAACCTGCTCAGATCTCTGCTTTGTGATCGACAAAGCCAAACCTAATATCCTTAGGAGGACACACATGAGCAGCGTGCCTTCAGGCACTGGACTTTCTTTTTAATCTTAATCTACTGCCTTTCTTCAACCCACTCTACAATCTTTCTCTTTTTTCTCGTTTGAGATGGAGTCTTGCTCTGCTGCTCAGGCTGGAGTGCAGTGGCACAATCTTGGCTCACTGCAACCTCCCCTTCCCGGGTTTAAGTGATTCTCCTGCCTCAGCCTCCCGAGTAGCTGGGACAACAAGTGCCTGCCACCACGCCCAGCTAATTTTGTGTATTTTTACTAGAGACAGTGTTTCACCGTGTTAGCCAGGATGGTCTTGATGTCCTGACCTCGTGATCCGCCTGCCTCGGCCTCCTAAAGTGCTGGGATTACAGGCGTGAGCCACTGCGCCCGGCCTACAGTCGTTCTTTTTAAGTGTGCTACAATCTGCTCCTCAAATATACCTTGCCTCTTTGCAGAAGAAGTGGCCTAATAACATTTTTCTCTACAATGATAAACTAGCAAATGCAAATGAATCAAATGTTTTTTCCACCTGCTGCCTTATGTTATCCTCCCGACCACAAACACAGCTGCGTCATGTCACTCAGTGATAATACTGCATTGAAGAATGGTGAAAACTAAAGACCACAGACGCAGGAGTCAGACAGGCTTCAGTTCAAATTCTGCCTCTTACACTTTCTGGATGTGTAATTTTCAGAAAACTAACTTTTTTGAGCCTCAAATATGTCTGTAAAATAGGAGTAATATACGCATGTCATTGGATTGTTTTAAGTTGTATTAAATGAGATACTTTAGGAACATAGCTATTACAGTGCTGAACTAGTAAGATCTCAAAGGCAGTGTTCCTATTTTATTCATCGTTCAATCTCTTATGGTACTATGTGTAAGCACTGAGTAAATAAATGTTGGTACCTGAACCAAATTTGTGGCAATTTTGAATTACCATGGTTAATACAACTGCAGCTGTTAGATGACCACTGGATTCCATGGTAATAAAGATTTAGAAATTTTCCAAACTTCAAAACTAATCATTTGAATTTCATTTAAGTTGTTATGGCAAAACAGTTTTACTCCTTGGCATTAATGGAAATGTCAAATTCAATTAGTCATTTTAGGCAATAAATTAGTAAAAAACTAATATTGGATCTAAAGAATTTTAAATATAGCTGTGATATAAGTAATAATAAGTACTTAAGTATTTCTATTTGTATTATAAACATCTACAACACATTTAGAAGAAATTGCTTATGCAATTTATATGTGTAGGCAAATAAACTTCACAATCAAATATAGCAGAAATAAACACTGCCTTAAAAGTTATAAAAATTAAGCAGTTTTGATGGATACAAATAAAAATTAAAGTTAGTTTTTATATCCAATAATACCAAATAATGTTTAACAGTCCTATGATATTACCTCTGGGGTTCCTAAATTCTTCTCTAATTCAATAATGTCATTATTTCTGTCACAATTTAGTTGTGTGTGAATTGGCAAATCACACTTTTTGAGTGTGGGAGACAAAAAGGTAAGTCTCCTGTTTGTGATTATCAACAGTTCTAAAATCATCAAATACATATCACCCACAAAAATAATGGAAATGGTGGGAGTCTTTGGATGAAGCTACCTTAGGATCAGTTAGGTCAATAGACAAACAAAGATATTTCCTAACACTGGGAAATACTGGACCTTTCCCCCTGTATGTCACACATATTTATACACACATAAAACAGGATAAATCCATTATGCTTACTGGAACAGAGAAGCAATTATATCAACACAATACCCTCAGTAAGAATTAGTTACCATCAGAGACAGAAAAAATAGCAATGATACAAATTATTCCTCTTTTAATTTTTTTATATTATTTCTTGGAGAAATTAAAATACTGTGCTAGGAAATTTTAACAAAATAAGGTATTTTTAAAATGCACCTTATATTTTACGAAATATTTTTTATTATTCTAATATATACATTTATGGTTAAGATATAGGGGCTGCACAAGTCAAGCAAGGCCTTCCAAAGGCCACTTTTTTGGATTTTCTGCTTGGCTTCATGGCATCACTCCTGTAACTTGGATGCCAATTGACTGACGGAATCAATAGCTGACCAAAGAACTCCAACTATTGGCATCCATAAAATGATCTGGCTCTATACTAGATAAAGACTCATCAAATTGATCAGATCCTATCTTTGGGAAAGTGAACGTGGAGATAAAATGGGAACATCAGTCAGCAGTGGTGGCGTAAGCAGGAGAAGCAAAGCACATGGGAACTAGACAGGTGGCTACAGTGAGGTACCTATGGCATCTCTTTATGCTCTCTCACTTCCTTGAGTGAACAATTGTTGACATGTCTTGATTGACATTCATTTCTTCCAGGTCTACTGAAATGGATTTCTGGCTTTTTCTTTCTTTGCCAAGTACCTTTATAATAATTCCTTATCACTTAAGTAACCGGAGTTCCTCTAAATCTTTACTTTCCAAAAGCACCTAATGCAGTATCCATTAGCTCTCTGAATCCAGGTTGGTTTTCTCCACACCTTTGATTAATTACTATTTACTCACAAAACTGAACTTATAAGAAATTTCTCTTTAAAAATGTGTTGTATTTATAGCAAATACATTAGATGCATTTTTTGTTGCAGAAATGTTTTAAATAATCACATTTTCCTTTTGTGGGAACAGAAAGGTCAGCAAGTTGGCAAAAAAAAAAAAAAGTGACAGTGCTGGATAGGGTTTTGGGAGGTGGGATAAAAAGTCACTTCTCATGTACACAGCTGCGAGTAATGGATGCAACATGTTTAAGGCCTATTCTTGGATCAGTTCCCCTACATTTTCAACTCAACTTTTCTTGGCAAGATTTCTGGGTCCATACTGTGTATGTGTCTGAATTCCTTCAGCCAAAGCCTCTTAATATAAAAATTCAGCAGTATTGCATTTTGTGTAGATGCCATGACTCAAAATCCAGTCTGTTTTGTGTACCGCATGACTCAAGACTGACCTCTGTATTACTATAGGCTTATTTTTAGCACAAAGTGGTATTTATCTATGTCATTTTCTATAGCCATAGATAAAGATGGGAACATATATTATCTCTTAGACTTGCAGTTTACAAAGAATATAAATGGAAGGAGAGCATTTTTCAGTAAATTAACAGAAAATGCATATAACCGCAGCCTGACTTTTACCTTAATGCAACAATTCTGTTGCAGAAAAGAGAGCCAAGTAGTTCCATCCTGGGGAATCCAGCTTCCTTGCTCTTCGAAAGGATAAGTTTCTCTCAAAATATGACTATCCCTCCCTAAAACAAACAAAAGCTCCCTTTTGGTCGTGTAAAGTTTTCCCTCTGTATTCTGGAATCAGAATTGTATTTTAAAAATCAATTTTCAGAGAGACTGCAAATGTGATCTCAGCCATTAATATATCCTAACGTCCAAAGTGTAAAGACAAAACAAACAAAAGTAACAACACAGATTTGGTTTAATGAGTAGAAGTAAAAAGTTGAATATTTTCCCAAGTGAAAAAAAAGTAATAATGTTTATACTGGAGTTAAATTTATGAATCCAAAAAGTCATTATTGTGAGTAGGTCTCCAGAAGTCCCTCAGCACATAAAGAATCTGAATACCAAATCCAAAACATTAACACAAAAAGATTTTGAAAATAAGCTAGAAATCATGAACAGATGCCTCAGCATGGAAGAAAATTAGAAATACAAGTATGCAAAACTGAAAGGCAAATATTTTGGAAACATGTTTAGAAATTCAATATTTTTCAACAGATAATGAACACAGGGGTACTATAATTTCTGTCTGGAAAGACTGGGAATTTATTCTATAAATTCAACAATTAGTTATGATTTAAATTATACTCGTCAAAGTATTAACTGTAGGTTCAGAATCACATCAAATTTAAAAATCCTTATCAGGCTGGATAATGGAATAATAAGAGGTTTTTATACAGTATTAGCTAAAGGAAATGATCTGGGCCCTAAAAATATAAAGACATTGCAATAAATATTGTGATACAGTTTAAATATTCTGAAATACATGCAACTATTTTATATTAATGACTAGATTAGTCCCAATTTGATTTTAACTTCTAATAAAAGTATGGTGCTAATTGGGGTCATTTGAAAAGAAAATCAAGATGATTTGAAAAGTCATTCACTCACATTTTTCTTTATATTTATGCAAAGAGATCTGCATAAGTATCAAGGATGGAATGGCAGTCCTCCGTCATTGTCTTTAGAAGCTATCTTAATGGTCTTTAGGTTGTTTCTTTGATTTTAGAATTTTTCTAGTATAGCATATACTTTCTTCATTAGTTTTTCAAAGTCAAAGATTCCAAACTAGATAGAATACTACATTCTCAGTGGTTCTTCTCCAATATGGGCCTTTGGAAGGAGCTACCCACGCAACCAATTACTTTCTCAAGTAAACTGATTTCTTTGTCACTGTAGAATATTGCACAGTATCCACAAGAGCTGAACTTATGGTTCACATGTAAATATTGGCCCTGCTTAAAGTCAAAAGAGACATTTACTCCCAAACAAGTTATGTTTAGAACGTTTTGGGAAGAAATGCATTATAAGCCATTATAAAAATTCTAATACCTCCAATTTCTACTTCGAGTGTTTTTTTTTTTTTTTTTTTTTTTGACATGGACTCTCGCTCTGTCTCTTAGGCTGGAGTGCAATGGTGCGATCACAGCTCACTGCAACCTCCACTTCCCGGGTTCAAGTGATTCTCCTGCCTCAGTCCCCTGAGTAGCTGGGATTACAGGTGTGTGCCACGACGTCTGGCTAGTTTTTGTGTTTTTAGTAGAGACAGGGTTTCACCATGTTGGTCAGGCTGGTCTTGATCTCCTGACCTCGTGATCCGCCTGCCTCGGCCTCCGAAAGCGCTGGGATTACAGGCGGGAGCCATCATGCCCAGCCCACTTTGAGTGTTTTTAATTGAAGTTTTGGTTGAAAATTCACTTGAATTCATTCTGCGAAAGAGGGCAATATATTTTGATACAAAGAATGGAAGCACAATGTTTCAGAGAGTAACCAGGGATCAATCTGATCATGGCTAACCATCCTTGTGGGCACTTTTGAAACATCTGTGTTTCATCAGGAACTCCAGAAAAGGCAGCACATACTACAACGGAAAAATTTCCTCCAAGCCCCTCCCTTTTTAATGGAATGTTTTAACATGATTTGTTTTATATGTTTGACAGAAAATAAATTACTAAGATACAGGAGATTATCTGAAGATTTGTGATCCTTACAGAGGAGGTTAATATGAGTTAGACCAGATCTCAGCATTTAGGATATATAGGAAATACAAATGCTTCCAGTCATTGTCTTAAGCAACCAGAACAATTTGGGTTGTTGTTTGACTTTTTTTGGAGAAATAAAAATAATGAACATATTGCTCCAGAGACTATAATGGAGTCCAACATAATCACCCAAATTATTTAAAACTGTTGCTTATCTTCTGAAGCCATTTTTAAACAGCACAGCAGCTAGGATGGAGTGAAAAGTAAAGAGTTAATGAATCATATAGTTTTTTCCTTGGACTATTTTCCTCATTAATACCAGTCACAAATGCAAAAATAAACATTCTCATACAATCTGAAAATAAGGATCGATGTGCAAGTATTCAATTTTGAGGAGACATCTCAAAAAATCTTTCTTGTTCTACATTACACCATGTCATCACAAAGAGAACTGTCAGTTTTTACGTAATAGTTCTATACTCAATTGGGGCTTATCTAGTGAGGTTAAATATAATTTTAAGATTTCATAATGCCAGCAAAAAATTTAATTAGTTCAAAAAAACAGCATTTTTCTCTACATTACTACTCTTTCTCCCTTTTAATTTCTTTTAACCTCAATTGCTTTAAAACAATCATAAAATAATCTGTGGCTAACTAAGAGGGACAAAGATGGTGATACCCTATCTTGCCGCTAGCAAACACACTTACTTTTCCGTGGAATTAACTTAAAAAGAGGCCAATTTAGTTCGTTTTAGGCAGATTGTATGATTTTGTCCATGCATTATTTCTTTAAATGGTGGCAAGGTTGATGCAAAGTCCTCATATTAAACATGTGCTTGAAACATTCTTACATTAAATATTTTTGGTCATGTACATTTTTTTTAAAAAAATAGGCCCAACCTAGAGATGATAGTAATAGTCAAAAATGAAAAAAAAAAGTGTAAAAAATCAAAATCAACAGTGAAGATAATTTCCTTCAATATTTGCTTTCTAAGGGGTAAATGCTAGAAAGAGTGACTTTAACTGAAAGACTCAAATCTGGGAAAGATCAAAATGCAAATTGCCATTAAAGATTTATTAAGGTACTTTAATGCTCAAATTTATAACAAACATTACATTTATATTTTTGCTTTTTCACTTTTTCAAAAAGAGCTCCTAGTTGAATTGCTAATTTTAATGTGTATGTGTTTTAAATTTTAGTTAGCTTTTTAAATTTAATTGTAGATACTGCAACCAAAGAAAATACAGAAAAAATTAGTCCAGTCAACTAAGTGAAGTAGAATTGAATGACCATTCTTAGGTTTTTACCTATAGGGATTCTTTTCTTCCCATGTGTTTTAGTTTATACTCATTACAAGTGAAAACTGCTTTTTCAAAAATATACTGTACTTGTGGGTCACTGTTAATCCTGTCTTAGTTTTTCCCTTGAGTTACAGAACACGGTAAGATAAAGTGACACAACTGTTAAATTTCTTTTTTTCATTAAGTACAATCTGGTGAAATAATGACTAAAGTTAACGGAAGGCATATGTTTAATGCTGAACTTACGTGAAAGCAAAGAAAACATCTAAATATATTTTCTCATGCCTTATAAGAAGTCCATTAGAATATATTAAAACTATTTTAAATCTTACAGTATGGCTTATTAACAACTGCCAAAAAGATTCTCTCAAAATTAAACATATTATTGTTATGGTTGATAATAAACAGGTGTTTCTTGTTTCAAAAATAAATTGGCCATCTTGGAGCTTGGGGTATTAACATATGAAGCTTTGCGTGTATTTTTTTAAAAAAGAGTATTTTACAGTGGCATTGTTCTCTCATCTAGTGCTCATTTCTAACTTTTAGTTTCTTTGTTGACTAAAAGTCATTGGGCTTTGTTGACTCCATTTTTAAAGTCTCAGGAGTGAGCACAATTTTTCAGAACACTACATCCTTAATACAGGACATCACCAAAGAGCCGGAAAGAATAATGCAACCATATTGACCACAGCTGTGAAAACTTTTATACTATATTCAGAGGCATTTGAGATTCAACTTTAACTTGTACAAACATAAGGTGATCTGGAAAAAAGAATTTTAAAGACGTGAAGGAGTGACTAATATTTTCTTTTTCTTCTCCAGCACCTCTCTTCCTAAAGTCCTATTTCAAAATACTTTACACAACCTGAGCAGACCTCCGAAAAGAAAATGATAGTAAAGAAATTTTAAAAAATTCATACACACACGTACACACACAAGAACAAAACCGAACAGGAAAGGCCACGACAGCAGAAAAGAGATGTTGACAAATTTTGGAAGGTAGAAAACAAATTAATTTTATGGATCACAGCTTAAAAACCATCTATCTACCATCCGTTTTGTAAATGGAAGAAAGAAGAGTTCAGAAACGGAGTCCAGTTGTTGAGGCAGTGTCATTTCAAGGTTAGGAACAAGGCCTCTGGATGGAGACCAACCTGCTACCTACGAGCTCCGTGAGCTCCGCAACTTAGACTTTCCATGCCTCAGTTGCCTCATCTGGAAGAAGGGGGCAACAATAATAAAACCTATTTCATACAATTGCTAAAAGTGAGTTAATATACATGTGGCATGCTTACAAGGGTGTCTGAAAACTGGTAGTGATTATTTTTAAGTAAAGCTGTGAAAACTGTACAATAAGCAGTAAAAAAAAGTTTTTAAAATTTTTGTCCAGATATATTTAGTACATTCTTTCCCAAAGGTTGATCCCAATATGCAGTGAAATTGAATGACAAGTCGATTCTAATTTCAAGTTCTTCCTTCAGAAGGGACTATTTCCAGGTCCCCAGTAAAGCCGGAGAGAATTCTTAAATTGGTTTCTTGGGACCTTCCCTGCTCAGTGATGCCCTAATTTACACTTCATAATTTGCAGCCTGCACGTGAGGCATTCTTGAACAGTCTGAACTGAAAAGAAATCCTTATCATAATTAATTTTTAAGGCAGCAGGGACTTGGTTGCGAGGTTACTCAAAGCCAACAACAGAAGAAGGAATGTCAATGTGACAACAGGTCAAAACAACGCGGTTACGCCTTCCATGTCACCACCGAGCTAATGTGTTTGCTTTCTAAAGATGCAACTTCATTTCATGATGCCGTTTTCAAAGCACTACAGCCCACTGCTTGCTTGGCTTTAGAACTTCTAACACTACAGTCTACACTCTTTTAAAAAAAAACAGTGAAAAAAATGTGTAGCTATCCGTTGATAAATAAGCACCTTTATTGGATGATACGAATTTGCGTGGCTTCAGAGATGTTTCAAGACACAGGAACACATTTACATTACAAATAGTTTTAACACAGAAAAAAAGGAAGACTGAGCTTGGAGATGAGAGGTCTTTTACCAGAAATATTTCAGAATTTATCTCAAAACAGTTTTTTTTCTAACCACAGTGGGATTCATTTCGCACGGAAACTGCCTAATGTAAAAGCCAAGTTGCAAAGCTGGCCCCGGGACTTGACCTTCAGCCAATGGTCATCCCGAATGATGAGCTCCAGCAAGAACCTGGTAGATCTAAAGGGCCATTTCAGCCCCTGAGGTCATGGTTGGGAGGACTTTGGCTAGTTGGTATGGACTAAGTTGCAAATCAAGAATTGAATATTCCTTATTGATTAGACAGCATTTAGATTGTTTTTCTTTTTTTCACAGCTCTTTTCATTTTATTTTCTTTTATTTTAAAAGAACCTTAATACATATAAAAATAGATCTGATCCATATAAATGTGAGAGCAGAAATCTGAGTTTTCTTTGATTCTCCCTGTCACATTTTGCTTTCTTGCTTGCTCTTCTTGCACAAAACAGGAAGATAGTTATGACCAGAGGCTAAACATTTACTAACAGAAGTAAGTCTTCTCTTCTGGATTCTTTGGGAAATGCTCAGAGGATATTTCTGAGCAACAAAGGGGAATTAAGACTATACAACTCATTTATTTCATCTTTCAAAGTCATACCTAAAGCATGAAATAAGGGGAGAAACGTTGATCTAGAGGAAAGAGTATATATATTGTCAGGGCTGTGGTTATTGCTCTCTTGGCCATTAGCTTACTTGAGTGACGTTGGATGATCCTTAATCTCTCTAAGCCCTCACTTACTTTGGAGATAGTGTCCTCTCTATCTACTTTTCTCAGTGTGGTTGGCAATGAGAAGAAGGTGAGATAATAAAGGGTGATGACGAGGGTGAAGATGAAGATGAAGAGGGGGTGAGGACAATGAAGACAGATACAATGGCTCAGAGAAATGTGGATTTTGATTAGTCTATCAGTGCAATTTTATTTTTAAAATGTCACATCTCTGATGACATTGCATACATTTCAGAAATTACTTTCTGAAGGCTATCTGCAAGCTGTTCAGTGATGAAACCATCTCAATCTCTGGAATAACTGGATTTACTTCTTTGGCATTTGACTTTTTTTTTCTTTGCACTGATATCAATTCTTAGCTATCAGGATAATGTATAGAATAAGCATGTGGCTTCCAAAATGGAATAATTAATGATAAGGACATAAGAAAACTCCTCATCTTTCCACATGGAGATATGTCTTCTGAGTGCGTCAAATAAAAAACAGAATTTCCAACTGTTGATTTATTGGTTTGCCATTATGACTAACCCAGCATGTTTTTATAACAGCCCCTACCTTGACATACCTATAGTTTGGTGTATATCCATTCATCAATCCTCATGTCAATGCTAAGAGTGTACAATCATATCCACAGGATTCTGCCCCCACAGCAGCCAGAGTTGAACTAAAGTTTTCCCTTAGTGGCCCTGAGCCTAATAATCTCTTTCAACTGATTTATCTGAGTAAGTATTACAGTGGAAAAATTGTAGCCATGTTCTATTTTTAGTCTGATAAAGGCCTAGAAACTTCCTGACAAAACTTGTCATTTCACAGAAGAGTCGTGGAGGCCATGCCTCTCAAATTATGTCCGTATGCGGCAAAAATAAATCTTCACCAGTGTAGTTCGTGTGTGTGTGGTGACTGAGAGAGAAAGTTATGAATGAATTATTGTCTATGGATGACTGGAGTCGCTCATACAGTAATCAGAGTGACAGTAGCTGAAACTGCATCAACCGCTGTCCAGTATTAATTCATTTCATGGCCACAAATGTGTTAAATTAAGTCAAATTTTCATCTGTCTTATAACTCGAATATCTACCTCTCCAAACACCAAATGTATATCCATGAGAATTAGAAATTCCTTCAAAACAGGAGGCTGCTTGACAGATAGGGCACAATTATAACAATCAGGCAGACTTACTCAAATTCTATTTCTATAGCTTACTAGATAGAACTGAATATATTTGTTAACCTCAATGTCCTCACCCTGAAAAATAGGGAAATAACAGTATTTCTTTTTATTATTATTATTATTATACTTTAAGTTCTAGGGTACATGTGGACAACATGCATGTTTGTTACATATGTATACATGTGCCATGTTGGTGTGCTGCACCTGTTAACTCGTCATTTACATTACGTATATCTCCTAATGCTATCCTTCCCCCTCCCCCACCCCACGACAGGCCCCGGTGTGTGATGTTCCTCACCCCGTGTCCAAGTGTTCTCATTGTTCAGTTCCCACCTATGAGTGAGAACATGCGGTGTTTGGTTTTCTGTCCTTGCGATAGTTTGCTCAGAATGATGGTTTCCAGCTTCATCCATGTCCTTACAAAGGACAAGAACTCATTCTTTTTCATGGCTACATAGTATTCCATGGTGTATATGTGCCATATTTTCTTAATCCAGTCTATCATTGATAGACATTTGGGTTGGTTCCAAGTCTTTGCTATTGTGAATAGTGCTCCAATAAACATATGTGTGCATGTGTCTTTATAGCAGCATGATTTATAGTCCTTTGGGTATATGCCCAGTAATGGGATGGCTGGGTCAAATGGCATTTCTAGTTCTAGATCCTTGAGGAATCGCCACACTGACTTCCACAATGGTTGAACTAGTTTACACTCCCACCAACAGTGTAAAAGCGTTCCTATTTCTCCACATCCTCTCCAGCACCTGTTGTTTCCTGACTTTTTAATGATTGCCATTCGAACTGGTGTGAGATGGTATCTCATTGTGATTTTGATTTGCATTTCTCTGATGGCCAGTGATGATGAGCATTTTTTCATGTGTCTGTTGGCTGCATAAATGTCTTCTTTTGAGAAGTGTCAGAAATAACAGTATTTCTTTTACAGAGTTTATATAAAAGTTCAATAAGATCATGGGTAACACATTTAGTACAGAGTCTGCATCATGTGTTCAGGAAGTATTTACTTGCTATGATAATTACTATTAACAATAAAGATCTTAAATAATTTCATATATAGAATGTCTTTGTAAGGCCGAATTGTCAGCATTGAAAACTAATTTTCCAAAACCATTTTTATCATCTTCTGTTTATAACCTTCCTGTCGTATCCACTCATAACCCTAAGGACGGAACGTGCCGCAGATCTGAGGTCTGTTGAGAGGTATGGCACTGTCCTTGGCCCCAGCAAGTCATATCCCACTCTTAAGACCTGTGACCTGGCCTGGCACGGTGGCACACAGCTGTAATCCCAGCACTTCGGGAGGCTGAGGCAGGCAGATTGCTTGAGCCCAGGGGTTCAAGACCAGCCTGGGCAACATGGCGAAACACTGTCTCTACAAAACACACAAAAAATTAGCTTGGTGTTGTGGTGGGTGCCTATAGCCCCAGCTGCGTGGGAGGCTGAGGTGGGAGGATCACATGAGCACGGGGAGGTCGAGGCTGCCTTGAGCTGTGATAGTGCCACCACACTCCAGGCTGGGTAACAGGGTGAGGCCCGTCTCAAAAACACAAACAAAAACAAAAACACTATATCTAATTTCCATCCTTTCTCAGTTCCTCTTGCCCCTGAGGGCCCCCAGTGCTGGAAACAGGTTGTAAAATTCTTATCACTACCCCACCCCCCAACAATCATGCAGGTTTGATCACTTCTGTGTCTGTGACCCCCTGGCAAATTCCAGAAACTTTTTCTAAATAAGCAAAGGACATTACGAATTCCGTGGTTAAATAAACGATGCTTACTGGAGAATCCGTTCTTTTCAGCTGTTTTCTATCTTCCTTGACTTGTTATACTGACTTGCTTTTTGAAAATAAAAGTGAAACTGCACCTCAAAGAAACTGCTTAGCTCTCTCTAGCCACTCCACTCTCTACAACAATCTCAACCTGCAATATATTCGAATTGAAATGTTTCCCTACTTTTTTGGCCTGCTTTTTTTTCACCAGTATTTTCAAAAACATCTGTTTCCAAGGCAAATCTTAAAGTATGCTTTCATTTTTATGTTAGCACCTGCACAGATAAATGTTTTGGAAGTAATGATACCATGATTCAGTTTTAGTATAATTTAGGGCCAAATTATAGAATTTTTTTCAAAATTAGGGATATTAAAAAACCACGTACACATAAATCTTCAGACATAAATTCAACTTTTGAAATGTAAATCTTCATTTTGGAGAGATGTACAGATATCAAACATTTAGGTAAATCATGAAACATGTTATCAATCATCTACATCTTCAAAGAGCTATGTTAAAAACAAAGAAAATAGCAAAATGATGGGCTCTTCCTGGCTTTATCTTCAGCTTTCGTCCTAGAGGTGGATTTTCACTCTTCACTTAAATACTATAACAATGTAACTATCATTTAGGAATAAAAAGTATCTTTTGTTGTCCTAATACCTATTTTCATCTTTGCTTCTTGACCCTTGAGGATGCCAGTCTGACAATTTTTTCCCCCTCAAAGTGACTTTTAGCCGTTTATTAGATACTAAGTCCTTCCTGGCATTATTTTTAAATAATCAATGTATTTTATGAATTTTTTTCTATCATTATCCTAAAAGTTGATGTTAGCAAACTACAAAAAAAGAATGCAAGTAAAAAATAAAGAAAAAGCATGTCATACAAGGATATACCATTCACAATAGTAAAAGGGTTAGATAACTTTTTGCTACAATGGTATTATATGTTTATATTTAATTAGTGAGAAACTAATAAATATTAAAATGTTACATATGAAAGATCACTGAGAAACAAGGTCCAAAATGTAATTGCTATTATTGTTTTCCATCTGCATACTGTATTGAAAATGGAGGCCGGGCTCGGTGGCTCACGCCTGTAATCCCAGCACTATGGGAGGCCGAGACGAGCGGATCACGAGGTCAGGAGATCGAGACCATCCTGGCTGACACGGTGAAACCCCATCTCTACTAAAAATACAAAAAAAAATTAGCTGGGCGTGGTGGCAGGCGCCTGTAATCCCAGCTACTCGGGAGGCTGAGGCAGGAGAATGGCGTGAACCCGGGAGGCGGAGCTTGCAGTGAGCCGAGATCGCACCACCGCACTCCAGCCTGGGCGACAGAGGGAGACTCGGTCTCAGAAAAAAACAACAACAACAAAGAAAATGTAAATTGACCACCTTAGATTTCAATGTTTTGTCATTCGTATCAACAACATGCTGAATGACAAAACATCAAAACCCAGTGTGAGGCAGGCAGTGATGCAGACAACGTGTGCCTCTCCGATGGTTTGTTTTCTAAAGCACTCTGTTGCAGGTTTGGTGTTTCTTAAGCAATGAAATATTTTCCTATTATTAACAGGAAAGAGCATGTTTTGCATAACTGTATAAACAGACTCATTATTTTACAATAAATTCTATCTAGAATAATTTTGTTATAGTTACTTTGGGAAGCCAATTGTGACCCCAAGAGTGGTACTGACTTGGTCACATGCAGATATTCAATGACTTTATTTAAATCACGAGTTATTAACCTCAGTTGAACTCTGGAGTAAAATCTCATAAATACCTTAAAAAAATGTAGTGAATCAAAAGAAATGTTAAACTGAAATAAAAACAATCATGAGACAGCTTGATCATGAAAAATTGCTTGACTCAAAGAACTTTTAAAGGTTAGAGCTCTATTAAAGGTTTCTTTTTTTTTTTAAGAAAGCAATATGAGAGGAAAAACACAAGGAAGAAAAAAGATTAATACACTCACTGCCTACTTTTTGTTTTATTATGCTCATTTGTTTCTAAGAGGTTACCATTTTTGCAGCTGGTCAGAAATATCACATTCCTAGATGTCTCAGAAGGTTTTATATCACTAAGCTTAACCATACCTCAACTCAACTTGAATAACACATTAAGCAGCTGTTGAAAATAAAAACATATTATGGATATGCGGATGGAGACATCAATGAGAATAAAGCAACTTCTATCTTGGTGTGTGAATTAAGACTACCCATTTCCCATATTATTCAAATTTTCACAAATATTATAGCAACTAACCATAGGGATTCTAAAACATAGGCTCCAGGTGCTTTCTAGTGGAGACAATTTCTTAGTACTTTTACAAGTATGGTTAAAAGTTTTATTTTTAATTAATTTAACATATGGCATGCTGGGGAGGCAGGGGGATTGAATTTATTATAAGGTGTCTCAGGATGATGATATACATGCCAAGAAACTGCTTTAAACGACTCCAAGTAGCTCAGTATAACTGCACTCTATATGGTGTAAACAAAGCAGAAACGTAACAGGTCACAATTGAAAAAACTGCAGCTAAATTACATGTCAAGTTTCACTCTGAAATAATTTTCTTAAAGTTCAATAAGCAATAATTTATTTCATCTTGATGTATTTTAAACTCTTCTGTTTCTTGACATATTGGCAATTTAGCACACTTAGAATACTGGCACTTGATTGTTTACCCACTGTCATATATGAAAACAGAGGGAAATGATGCCTCTAAGCTAATAAAGCTTACTTTACATTAGTTTAAAATTTTTAATGCAATTTTTTTCCTTCCCAGTCTCCCTCTCTTATCATGCCAAAGGAATAAATGAATATGTAAGAGCTGGTTTCTAGTAAAAAGAAATGTTCAAACCTGGCTGCCAGTCAAAGGGTTTGTATACAACCTAATAGATGTATATTACCTCTTTCCAATTTCAGAGCAAAATAATTTCAGAGAGTACTAATTTTGGTCATAACATTACATATTTCTTTAAGACATGAAAGTCAAACTGACTTCCTTCCTACTGCCAAAAAATCTATAGCACATTTCCGACATTTGAAATGCTACATTCTCTTTTGGAATCAAAGATAACAGTGCCAGAATGATGACACAACCAAGCATTCAAATGTGCCATGAGGCTTGAAAACCGCTGTGGTCAGAAAGCACAGCTAAAGAAGCAAGGAAAAGCTGCCCTTTCTTCTCCCTCCTGTTAAAGGCCATCTGAAATCTATAGGCTTCTGGAAAAAAATAGACTTAATGGGCATTAAGATATTTCGAAATGGTATGCTGATTAACAGTGTGTCACCTATTAGTGTTCAAGGTGGAAAATTTACCCACCAGTTTAGACAACACAATAACGAAGGTTGAAAACTAGCGAAGTAGCACAAGTGAAATCAACTGAAGAGCTGAAAATTGTTTTACTGTGTCACAGTCATAGAAGATTCAAAATTAAATGTAAAGCTGATATCTACTTTGTACCTTTTTTCTCTATGTGAATTTGGTATCTACATTTATCTTTGTGTGTGTGTATGTGTGTGCACGTGCATGTGTCTGTGAGAGATTTTTGAATATTTCATATATTATTTAAACAGCAAAGCTTTTAAATAGTCCCACAATAGATCTTTGAGATACTTTATAAGGATTTATTTCACACATCTCCTTAGATTAGTTCAATATTATACATATTTTAAAGTGAACTACATTTCTATGCAAGTTTAGAATCAGAATTCCTATTTTAAAGATTTACTTCAATCCATTGCTTCAAACCCAAACTGCTATGGTAATTTTTGGAAATGTAATTGCATGCATTTAAAAATAAAGCTCGGTTTCCTCGTGCACACACATCATGAAATTAAATTATTAAAAACTAATTTTTCTGTGAAGCATAGTATTTTTTCTATACTCATTATTAAAATGATAGATTTCACTTAGAGTTCTTCTTTTAAAAGAAATGAATCACAGTATCCCCTTCCAAATAGATTTAAAGTACTTTGCAAAATTTAACAACATACACAATGAGGGATAAATTTTGACAGATCCACAGAGAGCAGAGAACATGACTGTTAGCAAAATAAATCCTGGTTTGGTCTGGTATGATTTCAAAAAAGTCCACTCACCACAATTAGGCATAAAATTTGACTAGGAGTTTCCTAGCAACTACAGCAAAAATGAAAATGTTACTTTTATATAGTTGCCACTGTCTAAAGGAAGAAATTAATTTATTTGCAAGAATAATTTTTTCTAGAAACTAAATTTGGAAGAAATATATTGTATGATCTCTGTGTGTAAAAGGTAATAAACAAGATCTTCAACTATGGTGTTATAACTACTATGATTGTCTCACTATACTAACATATTCCAACAATAGTACACTTTTGTGGTAACAGAGTAAATTACATTCTCATTGACAGTATTATCTATGTGATTTAAGATATTTGTTATAATTAGTGTTTACAAGACTGTGTTCTCACTAGGTTGAAAGGTCTTCTAAGATAGGAACTGTCTTGGATCTGCACCCCTTGCACTGTTTATTAAATAAAAGATATTTTACTCCTTTCCATTAGGAGCTTGAATTTTATACCTGAAGTGGTAGTTTAGCTGGGAATAGAAATCTAGGTTGGCACTTATTTACTCTCTATGTCAAAAGCATTTGGGGAAAATCTTCTGTTTGCCATCAGTGCTCATGAGAACACTTCGGTTTGGGAGTTGTTCTTTTGTAGATAATGTGGTTTTTTTTTTTGAGACAGAGTCTCACTCTGTTGCCCAGGCTGGAGTGCAGTGGCATGATCTTGACTCACTGCAACCTCCGCTTCCCAGGCTCAAGCAATTATCGTGCCTCAGCCACCTGAGTAGCTGGGAATACAGGCCCACACACCACGTCCAGCTAATTTTTGTATTTTTAGTAGAGACAGGGTTTCGCCATGTTGGCCAGGCTGTTCTCAGACTCCTGACGTTATGTGATCCACCTGCTTCAGCCTCCTAAAGTGCTGGGATTACAGATATGAGCCAGCGTGCCCAGCCTGTAGATAATAGATAATGTCTTTTCTCTCAGGTTACTGTAATATTTTTCTCTGAATCCCTAATGTTTTATATTTTCTTACCAAAAGTGTCTTTTTTTTTCCTGCCTATCCATCAGTTCTGAAAAATCCTTAACCATTATTTCCTTGAATGCTGCTTCTCCTCTGTGTAACTGGCTCCTTCTGATGTTCATATTATACTTTGTAGACTATCATTTCATCCTTCATGTTTCTTATTTGCTCTCATTTTTTCAATCTTTTCATTTTCTTATATATAAGGTGTATAAGGTGGAATTCCTTAACACTACTTGTCAGGTCAACATAATTTTTTCCAATTATGTTGAACCTAGAGTTTATTTTATCTATTGTTTTTCATTTCAAGAATCATTTTTCAGAATTTTCAGTAGTACTTTATTATATATTCTGTATTTGTTTCATTTGTTTTCATAATTTCTTATTCTTTTTTTTTTTTTTGAGACAGAGTCTCACTCTGTCACCCAGGCTGGAGTGCAGTGGTGTGATCTCGGCTCACTGCAACCTCCACCTCCCAGGTTCAAGCGATTCTCCTGCCTAAGCTTCCCGAGTAGCTGCGACTACAGGTGAGTGCTAACCCACCCGGCTAATTTTTTGTATTTTTAGTAGAGACGGGGTTTCACTGTATTGGCCAGGATAGTCTCGATCTCCTGACCTCATGATCTGCCCACCTCGGCCTCCCAAAGTGCTGGGATTACAGGCGTGAGCCACTGTGTCCAGCCCATAATTTCTTATTCTTTTATGGATGTTATTACTTCCCTTATTACTCTGAGAATATCAAACATACTTTTTTAAAACTCATCATTTTCATTTCATATGCAGTGAACTCATCTTCCAAACACTGATTTCACAGCATTAATTTTATTTATAAATTTAATTTTAATTTGCATATACATTTTGAATAGTATTTTATATATTCCCTGACTCTGTCTCTCTTCATTTACCTCTTGCTGTTTGGTGGTATTTTGGTTGCCTTCATTCACCTAACCCCTTGCACCCCAATCCCAGAACCAGATCTTGTATTGGCACCTTGAAGCTCTCGTTCTGTCATGAACCTGGGTGTATTACACATCCAGTCTCCAAGTCTGGAAGTATCTGCACTCAAGTCTTGGCTGGGAGGCTGCCTTTGCTCCAGCCAGCCAACCCCAGATACCCAGCTTTCTAGGGAGGAGCTTACAGGCTTTTTATCCCAACTTCCTCTCTGGACTTTTCAGTCACGACCCAGCTGCTGATTTCAAACACAGGGGCTGACTTGGGTCCAGGCGTTGGATCAGGTACTGTTAGCCCTCATCATCCTGTAGGAAGCAAACTCTACCTGCTTCTGTTTCTCTACCCAGAGTCCAGTAGACCCTCACTTCAGCTTCAGTTCCTGGTTTATTCCTAGCCATGGACACACTTAAGTTGCTTTTGATTAATGTTTTAAAATTTGTCCCTTTTTATATTTTATCTATGTGACTGGTA
Source organism: Homo sapiens (assembly GCF_000001405.40). Taxonomy (NCBI): domain Eukaryota; kingdom Metazoa; phylum Chordata; class Mammalia; order Primates; family Hominidae; genus Homo; species Homo sapiens. The sequence continues at coordinate 182,411,844 of NC_000004.12, read as the reverse complement.
CTTAGAACCAAGGAAGAAGCAAAAGGTGTATGAATGAAAGTATGAACTCACATGATAATGCCCTCTTTACAGGAAGTATTCACTATCTTCCTCACCTCAATGGCAACCTGTCAAAATAACGCATAGTACGGAAAATATCTCCTCTTGCAGAGTGAATTTAGGAGAAGGAAAAGTTCCACGCCCCTCCCCTCCTGTGTTAGTTACACCAGGGTTCCCAGAGCACTTGCATTAGCATCATCTGAAACACTCATTTAAAATGCATATTCTTGGGCCCCCTCCAGACTTACCCATATGTGAATATCTGAGGGTGGGAGCCAGGAGTTTGCATTTTTAACTGCATTTTAGCTGTTTCTTTTGCAAACTGAAGTTTTGAGAATCAATGCCATACTCAGAACCTCCTCTTTGTAAAGTCCTGTTTCTAAGAACCTCTTGGGTCCTCTCTCATTTGATCCCAGGAGGGATAGTGAGGGCATTTAATGCAACAATCAGCTGGACTTTGACTGCATACAGGAAAGTAAACACTTGTAGTCAAAAACTCTCCATGAAATACCTTTAAAGCAACAAAGTATGCTAAAAATTGTTATCTTGTTAGTTACTATCAAGAAATTACTTTCTGTGTAATCACAATGGTGTCCACCTGGTGACTGACAGGGCATCACCGGGCTCGAGAGTGAAGGAAGCTGTGAGGGACAGGCTTTGGTTAATGGCTCTTGACCACTGGAGTGGGACTTAGGGATAAGTCCACGTATCCAACCATTACAGCCGATAGGGACTCACAGCAGGTGAATGCTCTATTTTAATTTCCTCCTTTACACCTGCTTTTGAGCACACTGAAGCAATGACAAGGGAGGAAATATGAGTCAAATAATTAAAAATGATGATATATGCTCGTTTCATGAACATTAATGTACAGGTAGGAGGAAATGTACATCTTAAGGAAGAAAAGGAGAAAATATTCAAAATATATTTTAGTTCCAATAGAGTGAATACACATTTTTTTCCAGCTCTCACTTGTAATTCAATATGATATGTCAAAACTAAAGGTGAGGCTCATATCCAAATATTCCATAACCTAGGAAAACTCTGATTTTTTTTTCCATTTTTGCTCGTGTGCTCTTCATCTGTGGTCCTCGTGGTTAAGACGATTTCTCATCTTTGTCTTGCTCTGCTGTTGGCCTCTCATCTCTTCTTAATTTTCATGTGGCACTGATGCTAATAGATCTTCTACGTAAAAAGTGACTCCTATTAATTACAGCAATGTGGTGTAACTGGAAAGCCCCAAATTATTTTATATGAGGAAAATGCCTTTTTATAAAAATCTGTGTGGCAGCTTGCCAGCCGAGAGCTACTCCTTAGCGAGGCCCTGCAAAGAGAAATACTGTGAGCCTCGGGAGACAGAGGGCAAGGAGACTCCTGGCTGCCAAGCCTCTGCTGCCCTGCTCTGCGTGGGCCATGCGTCCAGGCATGTATGTGTGCACTCAGGACCACACAAGCCTCTAGGCAAAAAGTCTTCCTGAATGTGCTGCGCCATTTTCAGAACCAGAAAATTACAGTGTTGCCTAATTAGTGATTATACACTTAACCACATTACCACTATTGTCATCTTCATTACCAACATTTTCCCAGCATTCATAGCTTCTAGTGTTCTGTATTAGACATAGCAGGGATTTAAAATAGAAGAACGTGATCCCTGCACACTGAAAATTATAAAAAGCAGGGGCTGAGTGCAGTGGCCCATGCCTGTAACCCCAGCACTTTGGGAGCCCAAGGCAGGCAGACAGCTTGAGTCCAGGAGTTCAAGACCAGCCTGAGCAACACGGTGAAACCCCTTCTCTACCAGAAATACAAAAAATTAGCCAGGCATGATGGCTACTCTGCAGCCAGTCTCAGCTACTCTGGAGGCTGAGATAGGAGGATCACCTGAGCCCAGAAAGACGAGGCTGCAGTGAGCCATGATCACACTACTGCACTCCAGCCACATGACAGAGTGAGATCCTGTCTAATAAAAAAAAAAAAGAAAAAAGAAAAAGAGAAGAAAATTATAAAAAGGAATATGATAATCATATAGATGTTTTTGAGGACATGTCAATAACTAAAGAAAATGTCTATTAATTGCAGATCATAATATTCTCATTATGGCATTGTCCTCAGAATATATTTACATACATAAAATTAACAAGCCCTCCTCTAGCTAATATCTATTTGACAAATCACCCATGTCAGTAGACGGCTGAGGCAGAGTCCTCATCATCGACTGCTGAAGAACCAGAAGTGATTAATGAGAGCCTGCACCAATGTACACATGGAAAGGATGCAGTTATTTGTGTTGTGGAATATCTAGCCCAATCCTGGATCTGGGCCCGACAGGGGAAAATACCGCAGCCAAAGCTCCTGGGGCTATTACAGTTAAAATGAGACCAGGAGGCCTCTGTTTTGGCTGCTGGGATGAAAGGAAATATGCTCCTTGTAAGTCAAACTGGAAAAGGAACTACATTTTCTAATAGAAGTTGTGTTATAACAGAAGTATTGCATTTCTCATTTTTCTAGGACCCTGCGTATCTTCTGAGAGATGACCCCAGTGGGATGCCAGGTTCTCCAACAGGTAAGAGAGAGCTTTCTGGTTGGGAGATAAGACCAAAAATGTCCTGATGCATGCATGGCCTTCACCTGGACAGAAAGGATCTCTAGAAAGACCTCTACGATGCTGAAAGTGGATGTCTCCAGGAGCCACAGCCACTAGCTCTTGCCTTGTTCTTCCTCTCATTTGCGATGTTTACCTCATTTGTCAGAGTGCCACAGCATGGATGGAGCAATTTTTAGTTATCTGAAACTCTGCTTGCCATGTTTGTCTGAACCCCTGACTGGTCCTCGTTATCTGTAATCTGCCTCTTCGCTGCTTTGTTGCCTTGATACAGCCATGCCTGAGGTTTCACATCTTGAATTAATGCTCACACTGATAATTTAACGGGAAGGAGGCTGCCAAAGGCCCCAAGGGGCATCCCATGTGATTCATTTTTTGAGTGTGCATCGCAAATAACACTGGCTCAGAGACCTGCCTCCTTGAGGAAGAATGCTTCTTGAACGAATGGATGAATACTATTTCATCTACACGGAATCCACTGAATGTTAATAAGAAAAGTATACTATAAAGGATGACTCTTTATTTTAAACTCTGCAATCAGGCTAGTTAAATTTGATTTTTTTCTTTTTTTAACAAGAGCCAAAGTGTTAGGTGATGTTAACCAACCATAGCTAGCAGCCTTGTCTCTAATTCCTTGCAATCCCACCTTTACCATGCTCTCATGTCAAGAATGCTGGCCTTTTCTCCTCTTCAGGGATGGGGCCCATTTTGTTCCCAGAAGATAAATGTTTGCAGTTGGTCCGAAGGTTTTCTCTAGGGAAACACAACCAACCGTTCCAGTTAATGAGCTTTCAAAGCCTTACCCCCTAACTGCCCAGAACATGATACATATTTCTGCCTGCATTTTATTCACATTTTATTGTCACAGAAGAACTGTCGACTAAGGAATATGGATGAAAGGGCCTCTGGGAGGAATGGTTGATAAATTGGTGTCTTTTTTATGGAATTTGGAAGAAAAAGTTTAAATACAACTAAGTTGATATTTATGTCTATTCTTGCAATGATTTACTAATAACAGAACCTAAAAAGGAAAACTCCCTGGTCAATATCATATCTCTTACTGCACACTGGGGTGTTAGATTATGGTCCTATGTGCCTTTTTCCCATGAAGAGTTTGTGATTTTACTTCTGGATGGCTTGTAGTAAGAGTAAGTCAGGACTAAAGAAAGAAATGACAGGTGCATTTGAACTCTGTAGTTCAGGTTTATAACATTGGGCAGGAGTTTGGAATAAACATAAAATCTCAAGGTAAGTGCATATATAATTATGTGCAAATCAATTTTGAAAGGTATTTTCAATGCATTGGTATTGCCATTTTAACACTTAATATACTTTTTGACAAAAATAGAAGGAAGATTTGGTAATGAAGAGTGAATTCCTGAGGATAGCATAAAGAAGCAAAGATATTATGGAAAAGCAGGTCTTTGGCTAATGATTCATTGGGATGTCTTTTTTAAATGATGCAATATATCTTGAACAAATGTCAATTTCATTACAGCAACTTTTAAAATTCAGAGTCATTCTTTATAGCTTTAATATGTTCGGGCCCCAAGTCTTTCTTTTTATTGAAGGTCAATATGTAACAAAATTCATTCATTCATTCATTCATTCATTCACTCAGCAAATGCTTAAGGTCTCAGGTCCTAACACCAGTGTCATTTAGGTTACAGTGTTATAAAAAGTTACAAACAATGTGACATTTTCTTTCTTGTTAGAATGACATTATTTAAAAGATCTGAACTACTTACTACTAGCCATTTCTTTATAGAGGTTTCAAGGGTCACACTTCCCTATAATATGTTATTTTGACATACTTTGATACATTTAGTTGCTGTGAAATGAAGCAGCTGACCCTGAGAATCGCTATTCCACTTTAAATGAATATACGTCTTATTAAAATTCAACCCAAAAGGGTAAGATGCAACCTAGAAGTAAAAAATTGGTTTTCCAAAATGATAACCAAAAGTTTATTCCTTCTCATAGCATTGATTTTATTTTATGTGAAGAGGTGGGTTTTTACGTTCGAACTCTGTCCACCAGAACTGAACTGAGATCTCCACGGGATGAGTAACAAGTAATAAAACTGATTTCCACTGGCCACACATCACAGATCAGCCTGTTTATTTTACAGTCGAACCATGGATAAAAAAGTTCCCCAAATCACCTCTTTATAATTCTAATCGGTTCATAGGGAATGAGAGCAAACAGCATTCTGGACGTAAGGTTAGCATTCTTTAGTTTCCCGCCTTACATTGAAGTTCGTTTCGTTGCCCTCCTCTAACCTAAAAATCTAAAGATGGCGAATCTGCTTCTTATGAACAGGACATGAAACGTCTGAAACCATAATTAATCAAAGACATTTCAGCCTATTTTTGTTCGTGGAAATGGAGGTAAAAATCAAAACGTTCTGTAGAATGTTCTGCTATGTACAAAGATCTGTAGCTGATTATAAACTTTATAGATAGCGAGATATGAAAGAAAGCAGATACACGTGAAGGAGTTAGAGAATAATTAGTTAACTGAAAGTTAAAACTGGGGGGAGGAAATGTCTTTTTCAGGGCCACAGACCACAGAAAGACATCCACTGTAAACAGTAACTTGACAAGCACAAAGCCAAACTTGTCCTCTAAATTCTCCAGGCGGCCAGCCCTCTCTCCTAAGCCCCTTATTTCTGGCAGGTGTTCCATCATTGTTCCCCATGTGATCTGGAAGACATCTTTTTGCTTTTTGTTTTTTAACATTTACAATTAGTTACCAATGCTGACTAATTCTTCTTTTGAAATACTTTACCTTCTGTCCCTTTTTTCTAATCTCTATTGTCACAAATATAGCTCCTGTTAATGCATGCCCAGGCTTCTGCAAAAGCCTTATTTTTTATTTATTTTTATTTTTATTTTTTTTGATGGAGTCTCGCTCTGTGGCCCAGGCTGGAGTGCAGTGGCGCAATCTTGGCTCACTGCAACCTCTGACTCCCAGGTTCAAGCAATTCTCCTGCCTCGGCCTCCCAAGTAGCTGGGACTACAGGCACCCACCACCACATGCAGCTAGTTTTGGATTTTTGGTAGAGACAGGGTTTCATCATTTTGGCCAGGCTGGTCTTGAACTCCTGACTGCAGGTGATCCACCCACCTCAGCCTCCCAAAGTGGTGGGATTACAGGCGTGAACCACCATGCCCAGTGTGAGTCCAGTTCGTCCTGCACAATAGTGCCAGATTATTCATGCCAACCTACTGCTTCTTATGCCACTGTCGCACACCAGCATCTCCAGTGATGGCTCATCTTTGCAAACCCAGAGGCTCCCTCCCGACCCAAGCCTGCTTGTGGTGCTCCTTTATTCCTCCATACCCTCCAGCTTTCTTGCCTGCCTTCTGTCCCTGAGTTTATGCCATGCCTGAAGCAAATATGCCTTCCCTTCATTCTTTCCAAATCCTAACATACTCATCAGTATTTCACTTTCTTCAATGCCTAGCGCAACTCTCTCATGCTCCTACAACATAAATTGCCTGCACTGCTCTCCTGGGAATCCACAATTACAGAGGAAGAGCAGGGACCAAGTCTTCTACTCACTGTGATATCCCCAGTACCTAGGACCTAGCTTGACACAGCACAAGTACTCACTGAACGTTTGTTAAATAAACGGATGGATAAGTGCCACTTCAAATTCTTTGTTAATTCTTTCTTTGGTATATGGCAAGTCCCCTAAGGATACAGATGATGGGTACTATCCATTTGTCATCTCCTTTAGTGTCTAGCATAGTTCCATACACTCAACATGCATCCAATCTATTCCCGCTCAATGCACAACCTTAGGTACGCTCTCATCAGTATACAAAGGAAAAGTGACGAGAGAGGTAAGGATCACGTTAGCCCTTGGTTTGGGTTCTTTCTCTCACCAAAATTACGCAACATCTACTGTGAGTACAAAAGGAGGCATTCAGGAGAAGCGATAGATTGTAGCGGGGAGGTGAGGGAATGTTCCAGGACGGCGGCTGGGAGCTCATTTTCCCTCATGGGAGGCCAGCTGGACGTTCTAGGGAAATGGAAGTCCATGAAGCCTTTTGGCTGGGAGTAGTGAGTAATGACGCCTAATACCTTTCTCAGGTTCTGGGTACTGGGTTTGATTTCTCATACACTTAACCAAAAAAGCCAGGTAAGAAGCTAGTGCAAGGAGTCCCGCAATACAATAAAGTTCCTCAGCAGCCATTCTCAGCCACCTTCCCGATGCTCTCTACTGTTTATGAAGACAATTGCCTTCCAAGGGAGAGAGTCAGCGCTGTGACCGGCGATGATGGAGAGCATTCAAGGAGAATGCAATGATTGTTCACCTCCACCTTGGCCTTGTCCTCAGCTCACAGCTGTGTGGTTCCAGTTCTCAAGCTCCTTTGATGAGGAGCTGTATATTCTAATCAATAGTAAGCTAACGTGGACGTGGTTTCCTAAGAGTTGTCCTGCTTGAACACAACATAAGTGAATGCATTAATGAATAAATGTACTTTATTTACACGCTGCAGATTGGGGCCTCGTGAACTCAAATTCAGATTTTGAAAGCATGTGCTTCACATTAGCAAAGTCTTGACATTTTTAATCAGCCTGGCTCTGCTGCCTGCACACACAATGTGTCAACATGAGAAAGCGGAAATACTGTCGGCGGCTTCCAGTTCTCCGCACTCTGATTAGGCATACACTGTCAACTTCATTTGTACTTGATCCATAAAAAGAGTTACATCGTGATATTCTCTTCAAATTCTGGCAAGCTTTATTGATGGCTTAGATGTCTGAGTTAGTTTGGCTTCTATTAAAAACTCCAAATTTGTTTTTTAAAGTGATGAATTACTTCATTTTGTAGGTGTAGTTTTTCATATTCCAAAATAATATTTCTGACCTTGGGGAGGATTTAGATTGAATACTTTCTGTTAACCATTCATAGATTTTTCACATTTAGGTTACACTGAAAAACTGTTAAGAACTTTATATTTAATAGTCCTCCTGACACCCTACTGCACTGGAGAAAGTAAAGGCTGTGGTTATTCTTATTTTACTGGATGAGAAGGGGAACAAAAATGTCAGGAATTAAAAGGAGTCAGACTGTACTGACAGTGATTGAAAAAAGGAATTAGCAAATTCTAAAGCACGATGATAATAAGCCCAAGTTCTTATTACCAATTAAGAAAACAAATTTCACAGCTTGGTGCAGTGGTTCTTGCCTGTAATCTCAGCACTTCGGGAAGCCAAGGCAGGAGGATTTCTTGAGACGAGGAATTCAAGATCAGCCTGGGCAACATAGGGAGACCTGGTCTCTACAAAGAAATTTTTAAAAATTAGCTGGGTGTGGTGGCACACGCCTGTGGTCCCAGCTACTTAGAAGGCTGAGGCTGGAGGATCTGAGCCCAGGAGGTTGGGGCTGCAGTGAGCCATGATCATGCCACTGCACCACAGCCTGGTGACCCCATCCCCAAAATAAAATAAAATAACTAGAAAACAATTTTCACCCAAAAGAACCTGCTATTAAACTACATCGGTTTCATAAAGGCATCCAATTGTTCCACGGTGGTAAGAATGTGCTTCTTTTAGCAGAGACACATCACTACTTCTAGAAAAACAGATAAAAGCTAATTTTCTTTGCAGAAGAATAGATAATACTTAAACATAATTCAGTCTGATGTTTCAGCTTCGATTCCGTCTCTTCACCATCAGATAGTGTGTCCCTATCTGTCTAAAATTCTTTGAGACATAACATAATGTAGGATATACACTATTCTTGCATTTGTACTTAGAGTTAAGATATAGTGCATCAGGCCTGTGGCAAGTTACAAGGTATAGCAGTCAGAGGTCTTCTAAAACAGATGCACAATCTTTTATTTATTACAGACCTTTTTATTGTTACAGCTGTACCATCATTATATTTCAGAATAATTCCTTATGCTCTGTTTGTTTGAACTATGAAAGTATAGTCATCGTGCCTTTGTAAAAATGTCTTACTGGAGAAATCTTATTCTTGACCAATCAACCCTAGGACTTACAGCACATTTCACTTGACTGAGCTGCCGTATTTGCCAAACTGTGTCTGAAAGATAGAAATATTGAAGAGCCCAGCTTCGGAAATGGTCGGATTACATGGTTTCGTATCTTTGGAACAAAATTGCTATGTGACCAAAGCAAGAATCTAAAAACCTAAAAATAATTTTGAAATAATTGAACTGTGACCAAAAATATCTGAGACAAATCAGCTTTGGGACAAAAATACATTTCCATCATGGTTATATATTTCCTTTTATTCTCAAATCATATTTGTCAGAGAAAGAACAAAAACATCCTTTCATTCAAGGAAAAGTTATGTTTTAAATAAATCTCCTATTTTAGGGCTTAGTTGTCTTTGAAATTATATTCCAACACCATATAGCTAACAAAAATTTGAGTTGTCTCATGAAACACTCATTTGATCCACCAAAATGCATTAGCATAATTTCTCTCTCATCTCTTTGTTCACATTGTAGTTGTGGGATAAGAAAATCCTAGGCAAGCGCAGCAAACAGGAAGCTTTACCCACATAAAAATTCCAATGAAAACCGAACCAACTGCTTGACCCTCCTAAAAAAAGAAGAGAAGTATATTAAATTTTCTTTTAAGCTTACTGGAAAATTTTCATTATGTCCACTTTGATTTATTTTGGGCCATGAATGTGCCCATGTTTATTTTTATGGCTGGCTACGTCTACGTTGGCCCAGAAAACTGACTACTGTACAAACGTCAGTGGGAAAGCACAGTGTTTTGAAGAGCTGCACTGACCTTGTTTTTACTGTAACAGCAGCCAGTTAGTATACAAGATTTTGAGGCATGTGGAGCGACTGTACAAAAGTCACTGAGGGAATTCACACTTTCCCAAACATAATATTTTGCCCATCTAGATAGAAATAATTAACATAAAGGTCTTTCCGCGTATAGTTTTGAATAAAATATTTAAGAATAGCAAAATAAACGACCTGTGCATTTGGGTATTCCAATAAAGTGAGTGACGTGAGCAGGTATTGAATTCAGAAAGAGATATCCCCTCACCTGAGCCCAGGGAAATTAGCAAATGGCCCTTCATGCAGCTTTGGGAGCACCCACAGGTGAGTAAGAACCGTTTCACGCTGCCACGTGGGTCTGCCATCCCTTCCACTTATGACCTCTGACTATTTGTCTTTGTTAGTCGATACTTGTAAATTCTGTTTAGCACAGATAAGAAGACTTACAGTGAAGTAGGCTGGTCAAAAGCTAAAGGGGTCTCAAAGTGGAAATGGTAATAACGGATCGCACCATCCCTTCTCATCTACTTCCTGACCAATTCCTTATTAAGTTTTCATCAGCATTTGGAACTACAATGTGTAACAGAATAAAGGGAATAGAAAGTGTAAATGTTAAATGAATGTCTTTAAAATTTTTACCTCAAAATATCAGAGAAACAAACTCTGTTATGACCAGTCATTAAAAGAAATCTTTAGGTCTGTGGCAATTTAAAACAGATAAATACAAGAGAAATTCACACTATGAAATAATAAAGTAAGTGACTCAGTGTCTCACTTAATATTCTTACTCATCTGTGGACCTGAAAAAAAACTGAAAGCCATTTTGATAAAACAGATGTTGAATGGTCTCAGTGGAAATGACTGGAGGTTTGTGCCATGTAATTATTGTAAAATACCACACATCTGGCACAAAGTTTGGCCTTATATCAAAAGTCATTTAGGACGAAATGAGCAAGGAGACTTCTGGCTTCATGAGAATCTTAGCTTGTATTTTAAAGAATAATTTCAACTTTTAAGTTCTCTCTTTACTAAATGTAATGTATTTCATTAAGGAACAGTAAAGTTTCTCCAAACCACCAAACAAATAATTAAGGCATTAAAACTGGACAACTGCTCTCTATTATTTCAAAGAAGATAACAGAGATATAAATTTGTACAAAGCAATCTAGTTCCATGGGAAAAAAATTAAAGGATGTAGAAAATGTATAAAGGACCTTTTCATTCATGAAAAGCTAAGGTTTCAGAGGAACTCCGGAATAACCTGCATATGAGTTTATCACTAATCCATCATCGGGAAAAAAACTCCAAGCTGAGAGAGGACCCTGTTAATGTATTCTGAGTCCAGTGGAGCAGAAGCAGGAATGTTCTGGCTATAATATTTCTCTCCATCGCTACAGCCATCTGCCCGTCATGGATCACATCCACTACGCACCAGCAGCACGGGGTTGCTCCACATTTATATTTATCAAAAGTCAAATCTTGAAGCTGGCAATGCCTTGCCTTGCTTTCTACCCCCATAGTATAACATGAATCCACGGTTAACCTGATAAATAGAAATAACAGGATATTCCTACATAATCCCTTCTAAGTAAGCATCTCTCAGAGGAAGCAGTGATTTTATAGTGGAAAAAAAACTTTTCAGTAACGAAATAACACTAGTGAGAATAAATAAGAAAGCTCTTGGAGCTCCCTTAATTAGAAAAACAGAGCTTTAAAAATATGCTTGCATTGTGAATTTTTTAAAGATTCATTTCAAATCCATGATTTTGCTATTTATTATACTTTGTTAGACTGCTAAATTGTTTCAAGTTTATCCATCTTCTGGATTTTATTTTTCTCATCCACAAAGATGTTATATCTTAAAAATAACTTTAATGTTAAATGTAATATGCTAGCTTTACAATATCAACAGTACTTGGAAATAAATGAAATGAGCCTATTTAGCCAACATACAGTGTTTTATTGATATACAAACAGAAAAATGTCATGTAATGAGATGATTAAGAAAAACATGAGCTTTGTGTCTTAAAGGTTATCCATTTTAGGTTACAGTAATTGATCCCAGGCACTTCAAATGTTTAAAACATTCCAAACCCTCAGCCAAATGTTGAAGAAATAACTCTGCCAGAATTTCAGTAGAGAAAATTTTAGAAGGCTGTTCAAATCCAAAGAAAAGGAAAAATATATATTATTGCTGAAAATTGTACGTGTGTTCTGCTTTCCAATGAAAACCATAGCCAAATAAGCTTTCATTAAATTGGAACAAGATGACAAATACTAAAGCTGAAAATGCATACAGTAAATGGAAACATTAAACATTACATAAGGTCTCTGAAGTATAACAAAAAAATGGAGACAGAAAATAAAAGAAAATATTTTCAATATCTTAAGAGCTGTCTCCTCTTTCCCCAAGACACACAAGTAAAACAGGTAATGGCCTTTGAAACTAAACTTCAATTTTTAAAATAGCAAAGAAGGAGTGCCAGTTAATTCATAAATTTCACCACCAAGACTCTGCAAAGCTAGGAATATTTACAATAGTTACAAACAGCCTACCTGGAGACCCTTTTACTGTAGTCAGGTGAAGTGACAGACTACCAGAGACTCACTCTCCATAAACTTCATTCCACAACAATAACATGCTGTATATAAAACTGCAAACTGGCAGGCGAGCAATGATCTTATTGCATAGCAGTTTGGGGTATGTTTTTCATCTTCCATGAAGGTTGTAACAAAAACTGAACAAGCAGTGCGTTGTACAGCTCAAATGGGCCATGGCATAACACAGAGATTGCAGAGGAAAACTTGTTTTGTCTTTGTCTATAGGAGCAAATAGAATTTAGAATGTTTCTTCTGATCAGGTAGTTGAAATATTACTAATCACTAATGCCAAGAAAACTCATAGCTAATTTTCACACGCAGAAATATGTACCCATAAACAAATTGTCCCAGTTAAGCAGTGTACTACTGGCTGTCACAGCATAATGGGAATTCAAAGGTAGCCACTGCTAGCAGCTTCTGCTCAGCAGCTTTCACTGAAAGGAAACAGTTAACACGTTTAGAATTCAGTTAGGAGGTTCTCTCTATGAAGAAACAAAGTCTAGGATATTTTAAAGATGAAAAAAAAAAGTACCACTTAAGTATTCTAAAACAGTGTCTGCACTCATTCCTATACCAAAATATTTTACCAAAAATATTTACCTTTATAACTCATAGTTTAGCCAAGGTGTGAACCGGGCATTTGAGGTCTGCTAATTCCTTTAGGTACCACTTAGCTCTACGGATTGTATGTAATGATTTATAAGCTTATTAGTCAATGCATCTGAAAGCTGAAACGTTCCTCCTGAAGTGTACAGGGTACCTCAGTCGCCCGACAGAGCCCAGACTTATCCATCACAAGACCGAGTTCGGGACTGTGCATAGTGTAAACATAAGTAGGCAATCAACAGACACTTGCTGGATTTTACTGAGTGAACTCAACTGAACTGCACTGAATTGAATTGAACTAAGGAGTTGGCAATTATCCATTTTTTAACTCCCAAATCACAGTTCAGGTCTTCTGACTTATTCGCGTAGAACCCAAGGTGCTGCCAAGTTCAAAAAGACCTTACCAAATGTTTTCTGGTGCTATTGTAATGACTTCCTTTTACCCTAAAGAGAGACACTTAGCTTTTGTCACAACTATATCTGGTTGGCCAATTGGCTATCAGCAAAATAAAAACTGAAAATGTGGCATCTGCCTTTCCTCCACGTTCCATGCCTGTAACACCCCTGTTTCAAGTCACTGCCAATCAAGTATGTAGATGAGATTTTATTCAACTCCTATCTGCATGCGACTCATTCCTAGGAACCCAGCATACTAAGTTAGAAAGACATAGAGACACTTTTCACTTTTCTTTGATGCCCCTCTCACAGCGATTCACAGTTAAGTCAGCTAATATATACTGGGCAGTCAGTCAACAAACACTGTGTGGAATCTATATAACAGCACCTCTGAAATAAAGGAATATATAGAGAAAAAGTTGTGGTAATTGTTCAGTAACTACAGTAACCCCAGTGGAGGTGTGGGGTGCATGTGTGTGTGTGTCCCCTTGTCCTTACATTCTGGTTCTCCTCATAGCTAGAGGCATAGGACTCACAGCCTAATGCCTGTCCAGGATCTGGAGCCAATCTCACCCTTAGTAAGAAGAAACTTAATGTGCTTCAGTTTAACACGTAAAGGATCCAGCATCAAGTCCCCTCCACGCGAGCGATCCAATCTGGTGTTTCACTTTGTAGTAAATGAGCTTCTGCCCTGCTCCTGAGACAAAGGGTCCTTATAACTGGAGTCCCCTTATTTGAATTTCTATTTTGATGGGCTGTCCAGGCTACTGCTTCCTCCAGGACTCAAAGTACTTCTCTAATATTAAATGCCAGACTTATCCGAAACAGAGAACTAAAGCCTGCCACATGGAGGGGCCACATGTAAGAACCTAATGAAATCACCACTGCGTCTAACCTAGGGGTGCCACTTGATCGTTATTGACCACGGCACAGAAGTAGAGCGCAGTCATTTGGAGCAGTGGTCCTCATAGTATGGTCCCCAGACCAGCAGCATCAACATCAGCAACTTCGCAAGTCATAGCCCAGAGCCACCGAATCAGAAACTTGGGGGAAGGGGGCCCAGCAATTTGTTTTAGCCGCCCTCCAGGTGATTCCGTGCTCACCGAAGGTTGAGAACCACTGGTTTAGCGCATGATATTGTGAGGAATGCCTGTGTTTTAATACCAGCTCCATTGCTTGTTACGGTAGTAGCCCCGGTAAGTGTGATTCTAACCTTTCTCAGCCTGGGATAACTCATCCATAAAGTGGAGATAAAAGGCACATCACAGTCTTAATACAAATGTGTCCTGTGGCCTCTGGCATACAGTGAGTGCTCAATTATGCTGTCTCCTCCTAGACTCTCCATTCATTGCCTTTTTCTGCTCTCTCCCATTACCTCTTGTTTGATTTTTTTTTTTTTTTTTTTTTTTTTTTTTTTAGATGGAGTCTCGCTCTGTCACCAGGCTGCAGTGCAGTGGTGCGATCTCGGCTCACTGCACCCTCCACCTCCCAGTTTCAAGTGATTCTCCTGCCTCAGCCTCCCAAGTAGCTGGGATTACAGGCACCCGCCACCACACCCAGCTAATTTGATTTTTTTTTTTATGTTAAAAACTACTTCTTACTTGTCTCCCTACTCTGCTCACACTTTCCTTCTCTTACTGAGTCAGAGTCTCCCTGTCCAGATCCTTATAGATTTTTCCCTTTTTTACACAGTTAACTCTTCTGTTCCTAATTCATAACATGATGATGGAAGCAATTGTATTTGATTATACATGTGATTCCAAGATTCTTTTATTATTAAACTTACGGCTTTTCATTGGTATATTGAGTGGGAGATTTATTTTATTTTATTCTATATATTTATTTTTTTATTTTGAGACAGAGTCTCGCTCTGTCACCTAGGTTGGAGGGCAGTGGTGCGATTTCAGCTCACTGCAACCTCCCACTCTCGCGTACAAGCAATTCTCCTGCCTCAGCCTCCCAAGTAGCTGGGATTACAGATGCCTGTCACCACACCTGGCTAATTTTTGTATTTTTAGTAGAGACGGGGTTTCACCATGTTGGCCAGGCTGGTCTTGAACTCCTGACCTCAGGCGATCCACCCGCCTCAGCCTCCCAAAGTGCTGAGTTTACAGGTGTGAACCACCGTGCCTGGTCAGGATTTGTTTCTTTTATATAATCCAACCCAACCTGGCTTGATTCAAAAGAAGTCATAGACAAATACAAAATCTCTTTTATTTAAAAATGATCAAAGTAAAAGACTTCCACCTCAATCTGAAATAATTTATAACATGTCAATGAAGAAGTGCACCATAATGATAATAATAGCTATTTTTTGCTTGTTTACCTGTGCCAGCCACTGTTGTTTTATTTAAGAATCACAACAACCTGTGAAGTAGATAGCTGCATTCCATTTTATAAAGAAAGAAACCAAGGAGCAGAGGATTTCAATAAGTAAATGAAAGTCTCACAGCTGTAAGTGGAAGACATCAGGACTGGCTGACTCTAAGGCCTGCATTCTTTTTTATACTGTCTCTAGAAATACTAGGCTTCCTCATGATAGTAAAACTGTATTTAGACAGCCTCATCCAGAAAGACAGGGGCAGCCTGGAAGGAAGCCAGAGATGAATGCAGGCGATGAAGGCAACAGAATAACTGACTTATGAGAAAGTAAGAAAACAGCATCACACAATGCACCCAGGTAACAAACCTGCACAGGTACCCCTGAGTCTCAAAGCTGAAATTCTTTTGTAAAAAGTGAGGAAAATTCAAATATGCTTCGGTTGAGAAAAAAAATGAAATATGACAACTGAAATGGAATGACAATTCTATTTTATACAACTGCTTATAGTATAAAATGGAATCATTATAATTATTAAAAATAACAATTTGGGGACAGTGAATTAGGTAGTTCTAAGACAAAACAATTTTAGGCAAGTTCTTCTCTTCCTCTAAACACCCCAAGATGATTTTACCTTGAAGAACTTCTGGATTTTAGCAATTTCAGAGCAGAGCGAAAAATTAACATCTGGGGCATTTCAGACCATTCAGCCAAAGGTGAAATAAAATAATTCCGCACAAACAGGAGGAGAAACTGAATGACCTCTTTGTCCTTGTCAAACTTTAATTTTTATGTTTTATAAATAAAACATTTTATTTTTAAAAAGCATATGCATTTATCCTTCAAGACTCCGGGTCTCTTGACTAAATAATGAATTTTCAACCTTTAACATTTCCATTTCTCTTTTAAAGGGCTCAGCATCTCCCCTATCAAAGTGCATAAGGAGAGCAACAATTAAAACATTTTAAACATAATATCTCAGCATTGAATATTCTTGGGCTAATTAGACTTATAAGACAGTATATTAATTTAGTACTTTCCTTTGGCATATTTAGCCCTGAGGGCCACATTTTACCCAAACTAATTTTTATTTTTTAATCCTCTATTAATCAGTACTCCCTAAAAGCATTTTGATTCTTAAAATTGACTCTTATATAATTTTGTGGTCATAAACACTGGTTGTGATAAAGTGTTGGACTTTTCTGGCCAAATCTCCTAATGGGTTAATTTCCTGAAAAAGCCAGGCTGTATAGGAGGCTCAATGTTACTCCTAAAATGCTTAGTATATCCATTTGTTTCAGAAGTGTCATATCAGGGACAAATCCATGTGTTAAGAATTGTCTGATAATATTGTTGAGGGATTAATCTCACAGACTAGATCATCAGCACGATTATCTTTGGCATTCTGTGTGCACACAGCTCCATTCTAAGCATGAAAAGCCCTCTAATGCCAAACTATGAGAGCCTATATATTGAATGATCTGCCACCATTCAATATTTAATCCTGCAATTGAAGCCACTAAAGGGATATAGCAAAGTAACAAGATGAATGAATCGTGACCTCAAACTTGCAAAAAGACAACCCAAACAATTTATCTTTCTGGCCTGTACGGCATTTTTTATCCAATATTCCTATCACTTCTGCTCAGTCTGGGAATTGTAGATTGATCAATGCCACATTAGCGAATACTTGAAATGAGAGCTGGGAATTTAGACAATCCATTGTTTATGCTTTAAGAATATTCTGGTTCAATTTAGTTTATCTGAAGGCTAAAATCAAGAACTCATAATTAAAAATCAATTTGATTCTCTAGACTACATTTTCAAGCAACTGTGGAAAGGATGGCATAAAATAATCAGTGTCTATGGAAAATAAAATACAGAAATGATTAAAACAAAAACTTAGAACTTTGTGCCTCAGAGCTTACATAGAACTCTTTGAAATTATACTGCTCTCAAATGCAGTAAAACCACATTTCAGTTATTAAGAGGATAAGTTCCACCCTGATTCATTGGTTAATTGCTTATTACCACATCACTTCAGCATGTAATCTTATTTTTTCACAAGATAAGTGGGGTCAATCTGATGTATACATGGTCATACTAATTCGTAACTTTTGCTTCTGTATGCGCATGTATTTCAATTGCGTAAGATCAGTTTTGCTTTCATAGGTGGGGGGCAGGAAGGAATAGGTAAATATGCTCTTTTCTTTTGCTTGTAAAGTCCCCATAATAAAAAAAAAATTCTCAGATTTCTTCCCTAGGGAAATAAATATAAGCATACATTAGGCAGCAAAAGAAACCAGTGGGTTGTTCCACGAGCAGTTAGAGACCAAGCACAGCCCTTGTAGATATCATAGATGCATTGGTGACCTTCTTAATAACTACTCTGTAGGTTTTGAAATAGCCCAACGGTGATGTTTATTTCATTCTGTTACTCAATTTTATTTTGAATCACCACGTGCTCCCCACAAACTCTTCTTCCCTAGGATTGTAACTCTGAGACTATAATTGTTCTCTGCCTTCATGCATGGTTTCTGGTCAGGGAATAAGAGCTCTAAATGACTGGTATGTCATAATATCAAGTTGGCCACATTTCAGTTGGTATCTGATATCCAATAGTTTCTCAATAGTTTTGAGAAATGGACGGAAACTGTTAATGCATATTAGAGGTATCATTATTATGATGAACATGCCAGCAATCCTCTGTGATAAAGTGTCATTGACTTCCTGCCAGCTCTCATGGATTGGTGACATTTTGTTAAGCAGTCTACTAAAAAAATCCATAACAGGATATTAGATGGTATTTAAAAATAATATCAATGCAAAGGATCACATAAAAGAAATCCTGTATCTTAAAAATGCTAAATCCGAAGTCCATTAGCTGTTTTGTCAATGTCTACTCTGTGTGATTTAATTATTGCATTTATTATGAAATTCTAAGATAAGAATTATGTTTTGGCAGCACATATATATTAAATAAATTAGGCTTGTGGAATGATTATTTCTATATTTTGATTATAAATTATTTGCAAATGTTTCTAGCCATCTCATTTTGATTTTCTAGTTTTCTATATGTTATTTCCCTCCTGCTGCTTATTTTATCTCTGTGTATGTATGTCTAAAGATGCGTATATTATGGCGGGTGAAAAGATACAGGACCATCCATCGCATTCTGCCTTTTGTTTTTTAACTACTATTAATCCATCAGTTTTTTATTTAAGCTACACAGGTCTCTTAGATGACAGGCCATATTGAACTAAACACTGTTTTTCCTAATGACTTGTCAACAAGTGCAGGAAAATAAGCAGGAACAGGATTCAGATGTAAAGATTTAAGTAAAATAATGTGTCATTTAAAAAGACGTTGTCTGTTAGTTATTTTTAATGGTGTGCTACACAGACGGTGATGGAAATGGATCTCATTAAGAGGAAACGCTCCGATAGCATCTTTTATCCCTCAAAGACAAACCGACATTTTCTTTACTTTCTTTCTCCATTGAGTCTTTAACTTCAGCCTACACAGATACTCACAAATCTCATCAATTGTTAGCAAAATAAATTTCTATCGTTATTCAGTTCTTATCTCTTCAATTTTGCACCCCCAATAGCTCTTCTCATTCACCATTAAACTTCATTAAAAAATAGCTCAGACAGCTTCTCCTAGTTTCTCAGTGCTTCCTCACTCACCGTTGCAACCTGAAGCCCCACATCCTCAAGAAATTAATTTCCCTCTTGATTTGTGTGGCGATGCCCTCTCTTTAGCCTGCCTCTATTTCTCTACTGTTCACACCTGCCTCCTTCTCTGTTTCCACCCCCGCCCCACGTGGAGGCATTCCCCTAGGTTTGGCGGCTTTGCCTGTCTCCCTTCCGCTCTCAGCGCTCCCCACATGGGCAATAACTCAGGGCTCCAAGGCCTCATCTCTCCTCCCCAGTCTGCATTTCTAATTCCCATCTCTCTCCTGAGTGCTGGCTGTGCTTTTCCAAAAATGCTGGTTATGGATTGGTGGCTGGACGTACCATGTAGCCAAACACATATTTCAAGTTACATGTAATTAAACCCATTAAAGTTACACTGGGGTGTGAGCTTACTTTTTATTACATCTTGCAGAAATGATGGCAAGCTGGGTGGTAAAGTGAAAGATGGTGAGTAAATCAACATTTGCTGTTTCACAGTTAAAGCGATTCAACAGATTTCGGTTTTCCCTCTCCCCGGTGATACCAGACGTGTTAATACCTCTTATTAATTACCTCAGCTCCGTACGGTAGAGCAGGTGGCTGCAGCAATGGAGAGCCGCTTAGAGGAAGAACGACCCTTCACTGTTCACATCCCACAGCCTTATATGAAAATGTGCCCTTTTCCCCATTTGAGATAAAAGAACATTATAGATAAAATAGCCATTCAATTTGGTATTATCAGTGACTTGAGAGTACTGGTAGTTGAATTATAAGTAAAGTTAACTAAAAATGGGGAAAAATCTAGTCAGATTCCATTCTCTGGAGCATCCCTTGTAAAATTAAGGAACAAAACATTTGAGCAATTTGTTCAGCCTATGCCTGAAACTGCTTTAAATGAAATATTATGCCATATTTTCTCAATTGTACTTCATAAGCATGTTTTTTTTTTGCCCATTTTGTAGAGGAAGAAGTCAACCATAAAAGGATAAGTTCAGAAACATAGAGCAAATCACTATGGCGTTAGTCAATAAACATTTTTAAGTACCAACTTTATGCAGGCCAGTGCCAATTGTTTCTTCCATGCAGGTAGTCTCCTAATCTATTATCTCTGCCATCTCTAAAAAGAGTAAATAGTCTATACAGTGCATTGGAATTGACCTTTGAATAAAAGATGCTACGAGCTGCATAATCATTAAATGCCATTACATTTATTGAATCTGCTCAGTTACTGAAAATGAATGTTGCTTTTTCATTGTGTGTTAGTCCAGGCAGTGAGGCAACATGGCTGCGTCCTCATTTCTAACAGCCGTGTGCCTGTGTTTGCAGGACGCTGGCCTCCTTAGAGCCAGGGCCAGTCATGGTTTTATTTAACTGTGTCTATTCAAGCCTCACAATGAGCGCTCAGTAACTTTGATGAAAAATTATATATAAGTGGAACAAGTCGTACTAGAATCCTGAGGACATCTGGGTTTGATTTTAACTTCTGAAATTTACCAGAGATGCAACTCTGGATAAATTAGTTAATTTATCTGGGCCTCAGCTTCCTAATCTGTAAAGGGAGACTCTTGCCCTCTTCTCAGTCATGGGCACGGATGGGCATAATCTACACAGGCGGATCAAATAATATGTATGAAAATGTTCTGTAAACTGAAGAACAGCTTACGAAGGCAGCTATTATTTTTAATATTACTCTAATATAAAAGTCTGTAAAGGTAATTTGTTTTCCATGCTAAAAATAGCTTACAAATGGCTGAGAACATCATTAAATAATTATATGCAATTAGGATAAGGACAAGAAACATGAGAAGAGGGATTGGTGCGCAGAATTAACAGCTATTCTATTAAATGAACAAGCATCTCCCATGTGCACGATTGTGTTGGGCTACACAGGGACATCCAGGATAACCCTGCCGTGGACATCATGCCATTTTGCTCCAGATTGGGCAAAAGTTAACAGTAATCATCATATCAAGTGGGACATGTAAGTATCATAAATGAGTCTGAGAAGGCAGAAGCAATATCCATTTTGAAGAGGATCAATAAGAGCCTTGTGGAAAAAAAGTCACTTTTGAGATGATCTATAAACTGACAAGGTGCTGAAGGGTGGAGAGATGGGGACGGCAGTGTGCCTCGGGCTGAAGGAACCGCAGAAACCAAGGCACTGCGGTAGGAGAGTGTCAGTAGTGCCACATCAGCACAGCACACAGACAATTCAGGAATGTCTCAAAACCTTCTGCAACCACATTTTACTGTCATTCCATGGCTAACGATCTTGTAGATCAGGGCACCTTGTTAGCAAACTCGAAACTGGTACTGCAATCCCACTTTACAAAGCTGACCATTTTCTGCTGCTTTCCAACCAGGTAAACCAACAAGAGCTCTCAGAGGAGTCCTTGGCAACAACAACCACCACAACAAAAAGGCCATAGCTCTTTTAAAGAATGTGATTCTGCTAAATTCTTCATATTTATAATGTTCTGTGACTCAACAGCATCACACAGATAAAGCCCAGAGGAAATGTTGCAGTTAATAAATTATTAAGCTGCTCTCCTTTAAAACACTGGGACTGGGCAGTACAAAGACTTGCCATGGTCTGTCAAATGCAAACGGATCTGTAAATCTCAAAAAGAAGAACTCTCTGAACTAAGGAACAGCTGGCTGTGCAGATCCCATGACCCACCCGGGATCCCCTTCCTGCAGCCTGTCACTCTTAAAAAGTTTAACGCTAATACAGTCAATGAAACAGAAAACCAAACTGAGGGAGGTGGGCTATGTGCACCCTCAAAAGATCTATCTTACACTTGCTAAAATGACCTTTAAAGAGTCATCTACTGGGCCGGGCGCGGTGGCTCACGCCTGTAATCCCAGCACTTTGAGAGGCTGAGGCGGGCGGATCACGAGGTCAGGAGACGGAGACCATCCTGGCCAACATGGTGAAACCCTGTCTCTACTAAAAATACAAAAAATTAGCCGGGAGTGGTGGCGGGCGCCTGTAGTCCCAGCTACTCGGGAGGCTGAGGCAGGAGAATGGCGCGAACCCGGGAGGCGGAGCTTGCAGTGAGCCGAGATCGCGCCACTGCACTCCAGCCTGGGCGACAGAGCGAGACTCCGTCTCAAAAAAAAAAAAGAGTCATCTACTGCAGTGCAGCTTTGCAACTACAGTCTTGTGCCTACACAGAAATAACCTAATTCGTATTGGTGCCTTCTCTACGATATGGTGCATAGTTAAACAAATTTCCACTTTGTCATATTCCCTGTTAGATAGTTAAATTTCAGATTTCTTTGTGCCACATACGCTGACCTAAAATGGCTAATTTTTAAAGTAATTATATGTAATTTTTTTTTCTGGCAGGTAAAATGGTTTCGGAATTACTTTAGCTCTGTTTTAAAGTCTAATCTCTATGGCCTGGGCATAGTTCTTTTTTTTTTTTTTTTCCATCTACCAAACCCAAATTGGCTTATTTTGCTGAAATGGCTACAACAGAGGGCTGGCTTTGATAAGTTGTATCAATGTGTACTTTCTGAGCAGAGAGTTTGTAGGGCAGGTGGAAAGGGCAGCTGGTGGGAGGGATCAGATTAGTGGAAACACAAAACTGTACTTTCAGCTACACCTCCCTCCCTTCCCTACCCAACACGGGCAACTATCCTTACCATCAGGATGAAAAGTTGGAAAACATCCCAGTTTCATTTTAAACAAGAAAAGAGATTTGACATATTAATGATGTGGGATGTATTGAGAACAGCATCTTCCTTCCTTCTTCATATATAACTTCAGACATTTCTATAGGGATGTTGCAATATAATTTATGTTTGAAATTTCAGTTATGAAAGGGACTAGATTTAATAACACTGACTAGAAGCTGGCAGTGCAAAGGAAGGTCTAGAAGCCACCTCTGCCTAGAACATCACCTCCATCTGTCTTGGTGCTGGCTATCAGTCTGCTCTTGTTGCAGAGCCAACAACTTTTGGTCATAGATTGCGAACATTTTCAAAATGATTCTGGTGTTTGTGACACAGATAAAGGCTTCTGAAAAATTGGGGTGGCCAGAGAGTTTCACATTCAATTTCCTTTATGATCTAAATTTGAGATTCAAAAGCATGATAATACACAAAAGCAATAGCAAATTTCCAGTTAATCTTCTACCAAATGTTCTAGAAAAAGAATTACATTGAAAACAGTGTTTCTAAGGTAGTAGGATGGATGTAGATGTTTGAAAAGCCAGCAGAGCATTTTTGACTTGGTGAGAGAACAAGGAAAAGTTGCTGCATAGCCTCCTGCAAAGTACTTTTAACCCGTTTAAACCTCAAATCCATACCTATTAAATGTGGTTAGTACTCAAGCACAATTCACAAGACTGTTTTGGAGAATTAAACAAAATAAGGATTCAAAAGATGTAACACAGCTTAGTGCGTAGAAACTGTTGAAGAAGTGGGTGTACATTAAATGTTTATTATATTATTATTTTTGTTATCATCATCATCGGACTGTTTTTTAGAAAAACAACATAATAGAAGCAGGCTGAAGAAGTCTTGATGAGGCCAGGCAGAGGACTGAGAGGGACTGCTACGTCAAGGAGACCAGGTGGGAAGTAGTTCCTGGTTTCCAGAGAAGTGGCGATGGAACTTTGAACTAGAGTGGAAGCAGCTGGGAATGAAGGGGAAGAGGCAGCTACAGAGAAAAGAAAGAGCAACCCCAGATGCCCAGATGGTTGAAAATACCCTAATTCGCAAGGTTTAATTCCTCATAATTTGCGAAAGTGCGAGTCTCCATTGGGGCATGCAGATACATGCTTACACGTTTGCTTAACCATGGAGAGAAAAAAAAATTCCAAAGCAAGACTGAATGGCTGGTTTCGTTTGTTGGTTTTTTTTTTTTTTTTTGCAATTATCACCCCTTAGAAACCAGAGTCCTATTGTGTCCGGAATTGGTGGGTTCTTGGTCTCACTGACTTCAAGAATGAAGCTGCGGACCCTCACAGTGAGTGTTACAGCTCTTAAGGTGGCGCGTCTGGAGTCTGTCCCTTCTGATGTTCGGATGTGTTCGGAGTTTTTTCCTTCTGGTGGGTTCGTGGTCTCGCTGGCTCAGGAGTGAAGCTGCAGACCTTCGCGGTGAGTGTTACAGCTCTTAAGGCAGCGCGTCTGGAGTTGTTCTTTCCTCCCGGTGGGCTCGTGGACTCCCTGGGCTCAGGAGTGAAACTGCAGATCTTCGTGGCGAGTGTTACAGCTCATAAAAGCAGCGTGGACCCAAACAATGAGCAGTAGCAAAATTTAGTGTGGAAGGGGACCCAAGCGTGTTGCCACTGCTGGCTCCGGCAGCCTTCTTTTATTCTCTTATGTGGCCCCACCCACATCCTGCTGATTGGTAGAGCCGAGTGGCCTATTTTGTCAGGGCGCTGATTGGTGCGTTTACAATCCCTGAGCTAGATACAAAAGTTCTCCACCTCCCCATCCGATTAGTTAGATACAGAGTTTGGACACACAGGTTCTCCAAGGACACACAGGTTCTCCAAGGCCCCACCAGAGCAGCTAGATACAGAGTGTCGATTGGTGCACTCACAAAGCTTGAGCTAAACACAGGGTGCTGACTGGTGTGTTTACAAACCTTGAGCTAGATACAGATTGCCGATTGGTGTATTTACAATCCCTGAGGTAGACATAAAGGTTCTCCACGTCCCCACCAGAGCAGCTAGATACAGGGTGTCGGTTG
Source organism: Homo sapiens (assembly GCF_000001405.40). Taxonomy (NCBI): domain Eukaryota; kingdom Metazoa; phylum Chordata; class Mammalia; order Primates; family Hominidae; genus Homo; species Homo sapiens. Next base: position 182,387,111 of record NC_000004.12, on the reverse strand, counting down.
GTGCATTCACAAACCTTGAGCTAAACACAGGGTGCTGATTGGTGTGTTTACAATCCCTGAGCTAGATATAAAGACTCTCCACGTCCCTACCAGACTCAGGAGGCCAGCTGGCTTCACCCAGTGGATCCCGCACAGGGGCTGCAGGTGGAGCTGCCTGCCAGCCCCGCGCCATGTGCTCGCACTCCTCAGCCCTTGGGCGGTCGATGGGACTGGGCGCCGTGGAACAGGGGGCGGCATTCGTCGGGGAGGCTCGGGCTGCACAGGAACCCACGGAGGCGGGGGAAGGCTCAGGCATGGCGGGCTTCAGTCCGGAGGCCTGCCCCGCGGGAAGGCAGCTAAGGCCCGGCGAGAAATCGAGAGCAGCGCCGGTGGGCTGGCACTGCTGGGGGACCCAGTACACCCTCTGCAGCCGCTGGCCTGGGTGCTAAGCCCCTCACTGCCCCGGCCGGCCGGCAGCTCCGAGTGCGGGGCCCGCCAAGCCCACGCCCACCCGGAACTACAGCTGGCCCGCAAGCGCTGCGCGCAGCCCCAGTTCCTGCTCGCGCCTCTCCCTCCACACCTCCCTGCAAGCTGAGGGAGCGGGCTCCAGCCTTGGTCAACCCAGAAAGGGGCTCCCACAGTGCAGTGGCAGGCCGAAGGGCTCCTCAAGTGCCGCCAAAGTGGGAACCCAGGCAGAGGAGGCGCCGAGAGCAAGCGAGGGTTCTGAGGACTGCCAGCACGCTGTCACCTCTCACTATTTTATATATCATTCTTTCTTTTCAAAACACAAACACTTCAGCAGTGCTATAAGGTAAAACTTCTTGTCCCTTCTGTGTTAACAATACCCAGACATTTTGTGAGAATCCCTTTTGTGGGAATCTATTCTTGTGATAAGTTGTTTGCTATTCACAATTATGAGGGTTCCAAATCAGACTGGGCTATGTTTACTGAAATTTTTAAACAAAAGGCACAAAGATACTTTTGCGAATTCTAATTGAGTGCATGATTGATTTTCTCCAAATAGAAACTTGTGATCAGTCTTCACTTCCTCTTTCTTACGTTCTAAGTCAAACAGTGAGATTTTGCTGCTTATCACATAAAAAAGCAATGCTAATTTATAATATTCTTGGGAGGGTTTTCATTTTTAAAAGGTAGATATTACTTTTCCTAGGTATAAAATCAGAAATGACACAATTTTTAAAATGTAGTTTGGATATCAGTTTAGTTACCTTATAAGAATGCCATTAAAAATAATAATAATATGAAAAATAGCAATGTATTCTTCCAAGAAAAATAGCTGTATCTCATATGATAATTTAAAACACATCTGTCATCTACCAGTAGTTTTAAGAAATTCTCAATTTATATCAGCTTCTTGTTGAAATAATTTATCTTAGAGGCAAAGAAAAGGACAAATTCATTAAAATATGAAATTTTTTTGTTTCATTTCCCATTTAGTTTACTTTCATTCATTTAAAAAATAACTTTTAACAAAGCCTCTATCAAATATTGCAATGGATTATTGCTGAATAGAGTAATAGTAATTTCTTATCTTTAGAAGATGCACTGGCTGGGCGCGGTGGCTCACGCCTATAATCCCAGCACTTTGGGAGGCCGAGGCAGGTGGATCACCTGAGGTTAGAGGTTCGAGACCAGCCTGGCCAGCTTGGCGAAATCCTGTCTCTACTAAAAATACAAAAATTATCCGGGCTTGGTTGTGGGTGCCTATAATCCCAGCTACACAGGAGGCTGAGACAGGAGAATCGCTTGAATCTGGGAGGCAGAGGTTGCAGTGAGTGGAGATCGTGCCTCTGCACTCCAGTGTGAGTGACAGAGCGAGACGCCGTCTCAAAAAAAAAAAAAAAAAAAAGACGCACAATAAAACTTCCTTTTCCCAGATTTACCTCTTAAGATTCCCTGCTGGTACAATTCTACATTCTCAACTCAACATTCTTGTCATTTAATGTTTGGATGAATTCGGAGTTTAATCTGGACAAGCAGAAGGATTTTTCTTTCCAGGATGCCTGATGATGTGTTTGTACTTACAACAATGCTGGGGGACACCGTCATCTACGTAAAAATGAGGCTGAAGCCGCAGAGCAGTTTACTGCACTGATGAAGAAGCTCTTCTTTTTCAGGCTGCTGATGGGTCTTTTCAGTTCCCCAGCACTGAGGCCAGACTGCTAACTCTGTCAGTAGAAAATCTGTAAAACTGTTTTTTAGGAGATGGGGCTTATTCAGCTTCCAGACTTAATACTCGTTTTAAACACTGTAGCCAAATACGGAGGGAGGTTGAAAAGAAATGTGGAATGTGGGCAAGAGGGAATAAAGGGGGACAAAAAAAGAGGAGACTCATGAAAGGAGTCTGAAAAAAAGAAGAGTAATTAGAGGAGGGAGCAAGCAGGAAATCGCAGAGACAAGGGAAGGCTGCAGTGTGGAGGCTCAAGTTGCAGGAAGAGGCTAAGTTGTATTTCTGGAGAACAGTGAATAGCTACTCTCTTCTCATCTATTATGTTGCTGGCACTACAGCAAAGGAAACACAAATATTTCAATATCGGTGGTGTTTTTGAAAGTCAATGGAAAGGAACCAAAGTACCACATTTATTCCACTTATTTTCCAGCTTGTTCAAGGGCTACTTTAGTACAAATGATTTTGGGGGCACTAAGTATAACAAATGCATTTCTTTGTTTATACTCTTTGTTTGTAAACATACATAATAAAACTCCTCAGTGACACCTACCTGCGTCTACTCTGTAATTTTCTTTCAAAGTAATGGTACTAAATGAAGAACCATTTATATTTTCAAGAAAAAAAAAAAAACTGAACCACAGCAGACATTTTCAAAGAAAGCTTTGCCAATTTTTCTGGGTATAAACACATGAACTCCTTTGCTTTATAATTTTGGCTCTGAATAAAATGTCACATGTGAGTAGTATATGTTTTTTCATTTGAAAAAGTCGGCTTCACAGGGTGAGTGTGAAAGATCTGAGCATCATTATTGAGTCACGTCCAAGGGCTTTTCTCACGTCCCTTCCCTACACACTATCCGTATTCTTGAAACCTGAAGGCCTGACTTCCTAGGCCCAATGAGCATGGGAGAGGGAAGTGCCCAAAACAAAACTGACCGAAGCGGGGAGAGCCTGGCATGAGCTCAAGAATATACACTGTGCATGCACAGAAATACGGTCCTGCCTCTGGCAGAGCCATACTTAGCTGAATTTGATGTATCCATTCTTAGGGTAGAACCGCTGCTTGTTGAAGGTGAGTTGGTTGTAAGTGTGCAGCCTTATTTCTGGGTTTCCTCCTCTGTTCCATTGGTCTATGTGTCTGTTTTTGTAACAGTACCATGCTGCTTTGGTTACTGTAGCCTTGAAGCATAGTCTGAAATTGGGTAATGTGATGCATCTGGCTTTGTTCTTTCTGCTTAGGGAGCTAAGCATTGGGTACACACAGACATAAAGATGGAAACAATAAGACACCGAGGATTCCAAAATGGGGGGAGGGAGGGATGGAAGACAGGCATGGAAAAACTATCTATTGGGTATTATATTCACTATTTGGGTGACAGGATCAATAGAAGCCCAAACCTTAATACCATGCAATGTACCCATGTAACAAACCTGCACCTGTACCCCTGAGTCTCCAATTTAAAAAAATAAATAAAAATATGTTTTTTAAAACAACTGCTGCTTGTCACACTGACAAAGACTCTCTCCTTGACTCCACTTGAGTCAGGCCCCTCCAAGTGCTCTGTTTGACTAGGCCTCCACCTTCTTCACCCTTCCCCTTGCTGGGCCCACATAGCCCAGATTTAGCAAGACTCTCGCTAAATCAGTTTAGAGAGAACCCCCACATCTTCCATATCTGGTCAAATTCCTCATCTCCCAACTTGATGTATAAGTCCTTGGCCTACCATCAGCAAGAATCCTGTTAAGTGAGTTTAGCAAGAATCTCCCTACCCTGATGTCTTTTCTTAGTAATTTTCCATCCACCACCCCGACTCCACACCTGTTCTTTGGCTGTAAATCCCCACTCGTTCCATAATTGAGGTTGAGCCTGATGTCTCTCCCCTATTGCAACAGAATTGACACCAGTTGCAACAATTCTGAATAGTCTTCCTTAACGTTTTAGCAAGCGCCAGAATGAATTTTTCCTTAGCAACACCAACGAGTAGGTGGTCCCAGCTCATGGATTCCTCATATGGAACTAAAACTGTAAGAACCGTAGCAAGGGTGATCAGCCTGAACATCATGGGTCGAGGAACCACCAGAGTCTGGCATCAGGTACCCTGAAAAGGATGAGCTCACCTGCCACCATTTTATATGTGTGATAAACATAATGAGTTCCTGAAAAGAGGTTTTTAAAGATCACAGGAATTTGGGGCCTATGGCTTCGACCTCTGCCTGCCTTTCAATGTGCAGAGTGGATCTGGCTGAAGGATCAAGCTGCTATCATGGACACTGTGGTGTGGAATCTGGGAGGCAGCCTGGGCACCCCGGACCTGATGCCTAGAGAGAAGACAGCAGCAGGAGTTAGCTCTACCATGATAAGTTTAAAAAACAAATACAATGAAGGAAGAAAAAAGTCCTGGGGCAAAGGCTATTTAGCCCATGGTTCTCTAAACATTTCCTGGAAAAGTCCTTCAACTGCAGTGTGAATGAGAGAGGCGGGGAGAGGTTGGCTGGGAATGATATTGCTCATTTGAGCTATTTTGGATGTGAGATATGCAACAAAATGCCTGGGTATAACTTGAAAATATAAAAAAAAAAAACAAGAAATGGTGCAAAAATATCAATCAAAGTTGATGCAATGAATCAGCCATCTAGTTTAATGTGATTAAAATCAAGAGAAATTACTGACACATAGTTTGAGAATTAGCCCCTTTTTTCTTCTTATAAATAATGAAGAAAATAGTCCAAGCAAAACAGAGCCAATTCAGATTTCATTATATATCTACTTGCATCTCAATATGATCTTATCTTTAGCGATAACATCCTTTGGCTCTCTTCATAGCCATAGATAGTCAACCAAATCCACATATTTACAAACTACCATATAATTCCCTCTTTAATACATTCTATCAGAGCATCGTCCTAGGTTTCTCTACTGTCACTACTCCAAAAGCAAAATGCATATTCTAATTCTAGCAATGTCAGCAATACTCACTCAAGACCTCTACTCCCTAGCACAAAATGAGGACCACATGAACAAGACGATTTCTTCCCTTTGGATAAATAACATCAGCTCTTCATTAAGAAAACAACAGCTATAGGCCCGGTGTGGTGGCTCACGCCTGTAATCCCAGCACTTTGGGAGGCCGATGCGGGCAGATCACCTGAGGTCGGGAGTTCGAGACCAGCCTGACCAACATGTAGAAACACTGTTTCTACTAAAAATACACAATTAGCCGGGCGTGGTGGTGCAGGCCCGTAATCCCAGCTACTTGGGAGGCTGAGGCAGGAGAATCACTTGAACGCTGGAGGCGGATGTTGCAGTGAGCCGAGATCGAGATCACACCATTGCACTCCAGCCTGGGCAACAAGAGCAAAACTCCGGAGGGGAGGGGAGGGGAGAAGAGGGGAGGGGAGGGGAGGAAAAGAAAAGAACAGCTATAGAACCCATTGTGGAGTTGCCTACCTCTATTCAAATCTCAGGCCCTAGGGGGAAAATGTCTACTGCTCTTATTTTTCTCCAAAATCATTATTTTTTCTTTAATGATTACTGATCTTCTCTTCATCCCAGTATCGAAACCATCTTAACATCCTGAGTCTTTTTTTCCCTGCATCCCATGGTCCCTCCTCCTTACATGTTGACAGAGATATAACTAACTGGAGTGGTCAGGGAGCTAGGGAGACACACTAGGGATCAATTTATCTTTGGCATGGGAATTGACTAATAGGTGTTTTCCGTCTCTAATTTCTGTGACTTCCCCCTGTCGGGGGATCCCCAGACCAATTCTTTCCTGGCTATCAAAAGCACCTGCTCTCACTCCTCAGCTCAGCCCTGGTCGGGACTCTCACAGCTGTCTGATCTCGTTCCTGGTCAGAGCACACCCCTCCCTCAGGGGTACGGAGAGACTCAAGCACTAGAAGACTGCCCGTCAGCGTCAGCCCTGTGCTAGCACAGAGGAAATAAGAGCGGGTGACCATCCCATAAGCCAGACCACCCTTGCATCAGCTTTCTCCATGCGCTGGTGCCAAACAAGAGGAGGTTTCATATGAGGTCAGGAAGGCAAAGAGGGTATGTGGTAGAGACTTTCAAGAAGATTTTACTAAATTCTTCTGGGACCTTAGCCAAAGCCTGGGTTAACCTTGGTTGCGTCACTGGTAAACTAATCACACCCTTGCTGAAATGGGAAAGCAAGATGTGGCCTTCGTTAAATTCCGGGAAACTGGTAAGTTTTGTGAGCAGCATACATTCTCACAGTTGGGAGGCATTTTAAATAACAATTTTGAATCCTTTCCCCTCTATTGTTGGTTTTTATGTGTAGTTCAAGGTGCTTGGCAGGGTATTACCAAAACTGATCAATATCATCAGTAGCACATGTGTATGCTATAAGCCAGCATAATTTATATATAGCAGGGCACATATAAGTGCATTATACTTCATATATTAATTCAATCCAAATGCACAAATATTTATTGCATGCTTACGCAATGCCAGGCACTGCACTAGCTGCTGGAAGTTAAACAGGAGGCGAAGTGGACATGGTGCCTGTCCACATGGAGTTTCTGGTCTCATGTCAGTCTTTCACACAACTCCTCCATTTATCTCACTTTACTCTAGCTGAAGCTTAACTAGCTCTTAGGGGAATGGCTGCACTAGTTCTTTTTTGTTTTTGTTTTTGCTTTTTGTTTTTTGAGATGGAGTTTCACTCTCGTTGCCCAGGCTGGAGTGCAGTGGCACAATCTCGGCTCACTGCAACCTCTGCCTCCCGGGTTCAAGTGATTCTCATGCCTCAGCCTCGAGAGTAGCCGGGATTACAGGCACCTGCCACCAGGCCCGCCTAATTTTTTTGTATTTTTAGTAGAGACAGGGTTTCGTCATGTTGTCCAGGCTGGTCTCGAACTCCTGACCTCAGGTGATCCGCCCGCCTTGGCCTCCCAAAGTGCTGGGATTACAGGGGTGAGCCACTGCGCCCATCCTGCACTAGTCTTTTGTTGTTGTTGTTGTTGTTGAAATAGCTAGCCTGCCTTGTGTACTAATGTACACCAAGAGGTCTGGTAAATACTTGATCAATAAAGTTATCTCTGCTCAATAACCCTGTGAAGTAGATTCTCTCATTTAACCCCCTTGATTGACGAGGAAATGGAAATACCAAGAGATGCAGAAAACTGTCTAAGGCCCCAGAGCTAGTGAGCGGTGGACCTGGAACATGGGGCCAGACGGCCTGGCTCAGGGCTGGACTCTGCCATCATACTCGCAGGCTGTACAAATGTCTTACAGATCTCTCCTTCATGCAGCCTCCCTTCCTTAATGGTACATCCACACCCTCAGATTAAAAAGAGTTTTAAAAGTGTATCTCTGTTCAAGTCATTCTCCTCCTCAGACATCTTCAGTGACTCTTCACTAGTTACTGCATTATATACAATGTCTCAGACGAGCATGAAAAGCCCCGTTCAGTCTTTAACCTACCTTTACAATTTTCTAGTAACACACTATGGGTGGGATACACTGTGGGGACTTGGACTGCTCACTTTCCCCTCAAAACAGTCCCTTTTCCCTGCCCCATTTTTATGCTCTTCCTGTTTCTTGCAATACCCTTTTTTCTTTCTTAGACGGAGTCTCGCTCTATTGCCCAGGCTGGAGTGCAGTGGCAGAATCTCGGCTCACTGCAACCTCCACTCCCCGGGTTCAAGTGATTCTCCTGCCTCAGCCTCCCGAGTAGCTGGGATTACAGGAGCCCACTACCACGCCCGGCTAATTTTTGTATTTCTTTTAGGACAGACGGGGTTTCACCATGTTGGACAGGCTGATCCGCCCGCCCCGGCCTCCCAAAGTGCTGGGATTACAGGCGTGAGCCACCAAGCCTGGCCCTTGCAACACGCTTCTAGTCTCCAGACTGGTGCCATCTCCTCGAGTTTTTATGAAAGTCCAAATCCGATGCTCGATCTTCCCGCTTAGAACTACCCAATGCCTGTGCATACTGGCCACGGTACGCACCTTCTGCCACGTACCCAGTTATTTGTAGAGTCTCAAGGGAAACGGTTTTAGAATGTGGAGCTGAGCTCTGAAGTTAGACTGGCCTGAGTTCAGTTCTAGCTCTCTGAATTTTTAGCTCCAGGTTCTTAGGCAAGTTGGATCATGTCTCTCCCTGTTCAAAACCCTTTCATGGCTTCCTATTGCAATTTTGGGAGAAAAAACACTTCTGCAATCCAAAATAATCTTTTAAAAATTCAAAATCTTTTCAAATCCAAACTCTGCAAAACCCGACTTTCCTCTGCAACCTTATTTCATGAGTTATGCCACTGTCCTCCGTGACCGCTGGGTGACCCTTCCGAGGCCTGTTTTCAGTTTCTCCAGCGCTCCCATTAGCTCTTGCACTCCTGGGGTCTTTGCGATGCTTTCCTTCCATCTGGAATCTCTCCTGCTATGTTATCTAACTTGTTCGTTCTGTCCCCTCAAGTCTCAGCTTTAAACCTGTCACTTTTTCAGAGATGACTTCCCTGGCCACCTGGTCCAAAGAAGTCTCCCTCTCCTACATTCTGAATACCCCCTCTCACAGAAGCCAGCTCCATTCTTTGTATGCAGTGTGCGTACATATTTTTGTGGTTCACTTGTGCGAGGTCTGTCTTTCCCTCTAGACTTGTAAGCTCCCATAAGGACAGGGAACCTGTCTGTTTGGTTCATCACCATATCCCCAGTCGTCTGCACAACAGCACATGCAGATGCTCAAGAAAGACAAAGGGATAAATCTCTCTGTATGTTGGTTTCCTTATTTATAAAATAGGAATCACACTTACCCGAGCTCACTGCCTTTAAGAAGCCGAGAACAAAATCTGCACAGACTGGGAGTGCTCAGTGAAAGGGAGCAGCTACTCCCAATCCCACTTCCACTTCCAAACTGCAGTCCTTGCAAGCGAACTGCCTTCCCTCCGTATCCTCCACATGACCTAGCACAGTGAGCATCGTGGACATCCATCAATGTCTGCTTGAACTGAAGTGAGCATGCCATCCGAAATCGCAGTTTTTCATTCTACCACATTTGCTCTATTTCACTCACCTACAGAGATTTGCTTCTCTATGATCACACAATAAGACATTCACTCAAACTTTGCTGTTGTGATATACTAAGAGAGTACCCACAGAGTCTAGGATAACGTGCTAGCATCACCAGGCTCTCTTGCTTTCCCATAATGTGAATAATTCTCTTTGGGAAACTGTATTCCTAATGAAAATTTAAAAATCATATAAACAATATCATGATCTATATACATGATTTGTTTTACATATATGACTTTATATATAGTGTATCAGAAACAAGCAATGACAATATCTGGATTAAGGAATAATTGTGGAGCCGGGCGTGGTGGCTCATGCCTATAATCCCAGCACTTTGGGAGGCCAAGGCGGGTGGATCACCTGAGGTCAGGAGTTCAAGACCAGTCTGGGCAACATGGTGAAACCTCATCTCTACTAAAAATACAAAAATTAGCCTGGCCTAGTGGTGGATGCCTATAATACCAGCTATTCGCAAGGCTGAGGCACGAGAATCGCTTGAACCCAGGAGGTGGAGGTTGCAGTGAGCCGAGATTGAGCTACTGCATTCCAGCCTGGGTGACAGAGCAAGACTCTGTCTCAAAATAAATAAATAAATGAATAAATAAATACAAAATGTGGCTTTATGTGCCTATACGCAGAATCAAAATTTGATTGTTGAACAAAGAGAGTTTGAAAAGTTTTGCAAATTAGGTCAAGTGTAGGATTCCTGAATCAGAACACAGTTGTTTTAATTTTACTATATGGGTCATTAGCAAGCTGTCTGGGAAATAGAGGAGGTACTAAACTAAAAATGTGTTGTCGGTTAGCTGACCATTTAACTTAATGACCAAACCAAGACATGTTTAAGAGTGGAAGGAGACAGTGCGGACGGATTACACTGGGACAACAGACATAAACCTGGAGTATTCCGGGGTTGCTATTTTGTGTTCTGAATTTGTGAAAAGCTTGATTCTGACTACACAGTGCCAACAAAAACAAAGATTTTTGTATTTTTCAATCAATCTGCCTGTGTCTAGCATTTTCAATTGTTATTGTCTTCACTTATTTTTGATAATACACTTTTAGAACATTATTCAGCATAATGTAATATCAAGATAACATCTGATTCAACCCAGGTAAAACTCACAGGAAAAAAAAAGTAATTTGACCAGAAACAACCCCAATTCAGGGAAAAAAAAAAAATGGGTCCAATGGCCATCGCTCTGGTTTCTGTACACTGACTCCGGTTCAGCCACCTCCCTCCTCTGCCACGTTGCTGCTCCAATGCTTGGTGACACCCAACATGACTGTCTTTATCTTCTACCCAAACAAATCTTAGCTGATGTCTAAATCTGTATTTTCACAACATGTTGGCTCATTACATTTATTGCATTTTAAATGATATTTAAACTTGAGGTAAATAATTTAAAAAGAAAATATCAAGGGCTTGGAATGAATATCTTTAAATATAATGCAGTCAGGTAGATATTTTTGCAATGCTAGATGACATTAATGTGGTGGCACTGAGTAACTGTCGACAATTAGTCACAAGATGGAGCAGAGGTCTTGGAAGAAAATTACTCCCAGGTGACAAAATATTGAAAATTCAATTATACTCTGTTTATTATGGGCTTACATTAGCAACTATATTACTAATGAAGACCTGGATAATAAACAAATTAATGGGAACACAGGGGAGAACTGTTAGAATTATTTTTTCCCCTTACAGTATTCTACAATATTGATTCCAAAAGCGTGCCAAATGACAGCGCAAATGTTGCTGAAGCAATTCTTAACATAAATTATGTGTATAAGAACATATGACGAATTCGAGTACTCAAGATTAGGAAAATAATTTTAATACATAATGACAAGATGCAATAAATTTAATGTTTAAAATTTCCAGTTATGCAAGTGTATAAATCATTTAGGAAAGGAAATCTAGTGAATGCAAATAAGAAGAAACTATCATAAGGGGTGCACAAATGGTCTGAATTCTAATTAAAACACTATGTCATGGAAGTCAGTGCATTCATTATCCCTTTTACAAATGTTGTTTTAAAAAGCACCCACAACATGCGGTTCCCAGCCGGGCGCGGTGGCTCACACTTGTAACCCCAGCACTTTGGGAGGCTGAGGCAGGTGGATCACCTGAGGTCAGGAGTTTGAGACCAGCCTGGCCAACATGGTGAAATCTCATCTCTACCAAAAATACAAAAAAATTAGCCAGGTGTGGTGGCCTGTGCCTGTAATCCCAGCTGCCCAGGAGGCGGAGGCAGGAGAACTGCTAGAACCTGGGAGGTGTAGGCTGCAGTGAGCCGAGACTGCGCCACTGCACTCCAGCCTGAGCAACAGAGTAAGACTCTGTCTCAAAAATAAAAAAATAAAAATAAAAACCATCCACAACACGCAACTCCTTAAAAAATATTTTTACAAAAGGTCAGAGAATACAAATACCTGTTTTTCCACTAGGAAAATAAAAACCTTTCTCTGCCTAAGACTAAGTTTCTCTCTGAATTCCTCCCAGCATTTTGTGACATTGTGCCTAGTTCCATGGACATTTCGTTCATTCCGCTGTTGAAAACATTTAACCAGGCATCTATTTGGGGTGTGGCTTTATTGCTACACAATCCAAGGAATGGACTTAGAAGCCTAATTCCCCTTTTCTTGATACTTATGATCTAGTATAGGAAAATAAGACAGGTAAACAGATAACTTCAAAATAAGGTAGTAAATGCTAAATGTCATGAAGCATTAGAGAGAGTAAACATCTGGGAAATTTAGAGGCTGGACAGCTCACTGCCCTTTGTTATTAGGATGACTAAAAGGAAGAGATACTTAAGTTGAGCCTTGAAAGATTGGAAGGATTTTGATCTGCAAAGAGTGGCTAAGAGGGTATTGCAGATTGTTGGTGGTATGATCAAAGGCAGAGAGGCAAGAAAACTCATGGTTTATTCACAATATGGCAAATAATAAAGAAGACTCCATTACAATGTCTTCACAGGAATTGCAAGGAAAGAATGGAAAAATAAGATTATTTGGTGTTTAGATAACGGGGAAGATAAGCTTAGAGAATTTAAGTTTTCCTGAGAAGGTTGATGCAACTTCTGTCCTGTCTTCACTGGTGCAAAGACGTTTTATGAAGCCAAGATCAAGAGAATTGGGGGAAAAATTTTCTAGATGTAAGAAAAGGACAAAAGACAGGAAGAAATTTGAAGAAGTAATATATACACCTCCTATATACTCAGGACTAAAAAAAGTTTTGAAATAAATCGTTTGAATTGGATGGAAGTACATGGCAATGGAAAGATATCATGTAGGGAAGAAAGACAAGGCTAATGAACTTGAAATTTTGGAAGTGATTTGGAAATGGTAAGTGGGAAGAAAAAATAGAAACTTGAGCTCCACTTTGGCAAACTGTTTTGAGTGCCATGATGAAAAATATATAACACAACTCATCATGTGATTTCATAATGTCTCAAAAATGTTATAGTGGTTTATATTTTAAAAACTTATTTTACAATTTTCCATTATGAAAGAGAGAGAATATGTTTAGTGTACAATTTATATTGCTGCTTTAGATAGCATTATTTTAAATAGAAGGGATATCAACGAAGTGGCCAAGAAAAAAACAGCAGGATTGAAATTCAAATACAGCTCAGATTTAGTCTATAAAACCAAAAAGACTGTGGTGCCTCTTTCAGTAGCAAAATGCTTTATTAGAGGACTAACTTTTAGATGAAGAAAGGGATATCTGAATGATGGACTGCCCAGAATAATGAAAAATTAATACAGAAATAGTAAGACACAAAGCATGTGAGTAAAGACGTGTGAAACTCACACGTGACTGTAGCTCCCGTTAGAGTTACTTCTAAATATACATATATATATATATACTATACACACTGGTAGGTCTTGTTTTTCAGCTTTGTAGTCCCTGAAGAGTCAGAAACAATGCCTTGGCTGTGTTTGTTGAGTGAATAAATAAGAAACGAGGTAAAGAAAACTTGGATAACAGTATTTTCACAAAGTAGGGGAATCCAAAATTTTGAAGTCTTTAAATGTTGTATAGCTGTTAAGAGAGAAACAGAGAAGTTTAGAAGGCATCTCCTCGATAGGAAAGTCACAATTCCCCTTAGTAGGGGGCTCCCAAAAATGACTCTAGGGAACAGGCAAGAAATTATGCCCTTCAAGTCTTGGTTCAGAGGCTGATATAGTTCGGATATTTGTCCCCTTTAAATCTCATGTTGAAATATGACACCCAATGTTGGAGGTGGAGCCGTGTGGGAGGTGTCTGGATTATGAGGGGGGTCCCTCATGAATGGCTTGGTGACATCACCTTGGTGATGAGTGAGTTCTCACCCTATTAGTTCATGCAGGAGCTGGTTGTCAAAAAGAGCCCAGTACCTCCTCCTTTCTCTTGCTCCTGCTCTTGCCATGTGACACTTCAACTCCCCTTCCGTCCTCCACGAGTAAAAGCTTCCTGAAGCCCTCACCAGAAGTAGATGTTGGCGCCATGCTTCTTGTGTAGTCTGCAGAACTGTGAGCCAAATAAACCTCTTTCGTTATAAATTACCCAGCCTCAGGTACTTCCTTGATAGCAAGGCAAAACAGACTCACTCAGAGGCTGACAAACTTGTCTAGGAAGATAGGGGTCACATGAACGCTGCAGCCAGCTTGCTTTCCATGCACTCTCCATAACCAGCAGAGTCTTTTCTGTCTTAATTTTGCAAAGGCAAAGAAAAATAAAACTTCTTCTCTGCAAAGCAATGGCAGCTACTGAAAGTGAGATGTTGCCCTTCTTTATCGGGAGGTCAAAGAGGTGACAGGTATATACCATTGCCAGGACACTCAAATTAGAAAATAATATCTAACTTAATAATTATCAATAGGCCTGGTGTGGTGGCTCACGCCTGTAATCTCAGCACTTTGGGAGGCCGAGGCAGGCAATTTGCTTGAGTTCGGGAGTTTGAGACCAGCCTGAGCAACCTGGTGAAACCTCATCTCTACCCAAAAAAATAAATAAATAAATAAAATAACCAGGTGTGGTGGCACGTGCCTATAGTCCCAGCTACTCAGGAGGCTGAGGTGGGAGGATCAGTTGAGCCTGGGAGGCAGAGGCTGCAGTGAGCCAAGATCATCCCACTGGACTCCAGCTTGAGTGACAGAGCGAGACTCAAAAAAGAAAATTATTAATCTGTCAAAATTATCAATGAAGCAAGTAATTATAACATTTAGTCCATGTTAATTTTCCTTCTGGATGGATTATTTTTTTTTTGTTCAGCATGGGACAGGTGACCACTATTTACTATGTAAACTAAAATTTTGAGGACAAGGTATTTATCATTACTCTTATAACTTGAGCTCCGCTAAGATGCATCACAAATGCTTACAATCTTGTTTGCAAACAAAGAAATCTTGGAAGAATATATTTTCCAGAAGAACTATGGAAGAAATAGAAGGAATTATGATATATTTAAAGCTTAAAAAATTTGAAGTTATTAGTAACAAAACTGCACTGTCGAGTATTTTTTTAATTTGTAAAGATGTCAGTGTCATACTTAATACGGAAAACATGCAAACTATAGCTAAAAGACACAGACTACTGGTTTATGTTTTTCATAACATAATGAATCTGTTGACAGTACATATATTGCTGTTATTTATAATCCCATAGTGACAAGAAAATGTCACCAATTACTGGCTACAATGACAGAAGACAATTTATTCCTAATGATTTGTGCCTGCTAGGAAAAAAAGTAGGCTACTAAAAGAGAGCTACCATTCTATTCCCCAACAGCTGTCTTCTAACTGGAAGTATATTTGCAATGTATAGCAAGTTATTTTTGTTAATGAGAGTTTGCATAATTTATCTATATAACACCTTAAGCTGCAAACTACAATAAGATATTCTAAGGTATATTTTTAAAACAGATATAAACTGAAATATCAGGTTCGTGGAACAGCCTTTCATTAACTCACATATTGTATTCTCTTTCAAACCTAGATCTCTTTAAAGTTGCATCGACTTTTAGGGTGTGGGAAATAACATTTGAAAAGCTACTAAGTCAGGACTTCAAATAGATATTTATTGCTCATCCTGGTCTATTAAGAACTGCAAGTTGAAAGAAACATGTATTTGAATGCCTCAGTTATGAGGAAATTTAAAATGATGAAATGAGAGGGGACGGGAGGGAGAGGGTCTGATAATTAGAAGCAGGATAGGAAACGAGACAAGACCGTGCGATTGCATTCGATTGGTAAGACTAGAGGATGTGGGAAGAGAATGATCAGAAAATCCTAATCTAGTCATCCATGGTGATCCAGGAAATAAGAATTTTATGGAAAACTCTAGAGAAATCCAAAGCTGGAAATTACACAGAAATTTACCAAGAAGTAGGAGAAGAGAAAGGTAACACGTTGTGGATATTTTCAGTGGTTTCAGAAACATCATGGTGAGGCTTAGGTCAGATTGAAGAAAAGGGTCACAGAACAGATTTACCCATTGAAGACATATTTGAGGGCAGACACCACGGTTTTTAACATAGCGTTGATACACATTTTAGACAACAAAAATAACTTTGAACAGAAATAGGGTGTTATTATCATTAAAAAGGCAAAAAGATGCTGGGTACCAACATCAACAGTGCATTAAAACATAAGAAAGTCTGTGTGTGTGTGTGTGTGTGTGTGTGTGTGTGATGGGGAGGAGAATTTTTGAGGCCCTCAGAAACGAAGGAGTCATGATAAACTGGGAAAAAGCTCAGTGAATAATGAAAATGACTAGGGCTAAAAGGTAGGAACAATTTCTCAAGGAATGAATATTGGTCTAATTAGTTTTGAGAAAGAAAGGATAACAGTCTTGCTTCTCAAATGTGAAAAGAAGTATGCCATGAAACTGAAGACCAAAACGTCTCAACTTCATATTAAGAACTTAGGACAAAAGCAGGAAAAAAAAATTTAATTAAACACAAACACAGGCAAATTCAGAAAAACCATGATACCTAGTTGAGTTTGTCTCTCGAGGCTTCCTTACAGAAAATAAAACTAATGTCTCTCAAGGTCCAGAGCAGACTTATGATTAAGATATTCAACTATTTGGCAGGTCCTTTAGCAACAGAAAGCAGAATTGTTTTGCAGAGATCACTTCTAGAAACATGCAGATAATCGCATGAATATTCTCACAGTGAAATAATGAACTGCTCCAGATTGCGTTTTAAGAGCCTGTAGTATCTCAAGAAAGACACAGATAACAATACTTGGGAAAACCTGGGGTAGGAATGACTCATGTTTAGAAATCAGGACCATGGTTAAGCAAAACAGTAAGTACCACACCACGTTGTTCTCTTTGAAAAGTATGTGAAAGAGAAAGGGGAAATGTTATTGTCTCTTTTTTGTTAAAACCGACTTATCTTTTAAAAAGGTTGATTAAAATATTCAGGTAATGTCAGTTATTTTTGTATTAATCTATTAAATATAGGACCTGCTTGCTAGGTATGGTAAGGTATTCATCAAAAAATTTCTTCCTGAATACCACTACCAGTCAAAACAAAATAAAAGAATAGCTCTGTAGGCGATAGGGTATGCTGTATTAGTTTAAGTTCTATTTGTCATAGACATGATACTTACAACAGACACACAAGACCCAACGGAAACTTGGGTTATGTTTGATGGATGCAAAAAATAAATCTTAAATCTAACTTTTCTTACCACTTCAGGTGGTTTCCTGGATTTTTATGCTTTGCATCTTCACTTTGTTAGACCTATCCTGACCCAACATGACTTTCCTCCCTTGAGAGAAATCCTCAAGAAAAAACTTTGCAAAATTAGCTTTGTAGTCTTAATCAAAGATAAAACAATGCACATTAAAATTATTTAATAAGAAGGCAGAATTTGAAGAAACTCAAACCCAGTGACACCAGGTGAACTGCCTAAGGTAAAACAACAAATTAATGATAGAACCAGAATAAGAAACCAGATCTCTTATCTTCTCATCAAATGCCCTTACCACTGTGCCTATGAAACTTTTCTTTCTTTCCTTCTTTCTTTTTTTGAGACAGAGTTTCACTCTGTCACGTGGGCTGGAGTGCAGTGGCGTGATCTTGGCTCCCTGCAACCGCCTCCCGGGTTCGAGCAATTCCCCTGCCTCAGCCTCCCGAGTAGCTGAAACTACAGGCACCTGCCACCACGCCCAGCTAATTTTTTGTTTTTTAATAGAGATGGAATTTCACCATGTTGACCAAGCTGGTCTCGAGCTCCTGACCTCAGGTGATCGGCCTGCCTCAGCCTCCCAAAGTGCTGGGATTACAGGCATGAGCCACTACACCTGGCCAGAAACTTTTAATATAGCAGGATTACATCTTAAACTAAAAAGTAGGAAATGAATTCAACTGCGCAGAAGCTCTTGGAGACAGTGAGGACATTTAAGTTGAA
This sequence comes from Homo sapiens, assembly GCF_000001405.40. Taxonomy (NCBI): domain Eukaryota; kingdom Metazoa; phylum Chordata; class Mammalia; order Primates; family Hominidae; genus Homo; species Homo sapiens. The sequence goes on along the minus strand of NC_000004.12, from coordinate 182,369,497 downwards.
AAAGCTCTTTCCTTCTCATTGCAAAGCACGTAATCTGAGGACCTACAGTCTACTACTGTCTGGATGCCAATAGATTCCACCCAAGAACAGGAAGTTTACTCAGCGGGTTTTAGAATTAGGCTGTGGCTTTAACTGCTGGCTTTGTCACTCAGTATCTGTGTGACCTTAGCAGGGTATTTAGATTCTTTCTAAGCCTTAGTTTTCTTTCCTCTGTAAAACACAGATAATACTACTAATCTCAGAGGGTAGTTGAAAAGATTAAACATAATAAGTGTTGAGTAAAGTCCAAATATCTATCTCTGCCTCCATCAACTTCTCTGCCATTTAGATTTTCATATACTGGTTTTTCTGAAGAACAGTAACAACAACATTCACATCCAAAATCCTTAGCAATTATCATTGGAAAGGTCACTGTTACAAATGGCTGTTTTCAAAATGCTTCTGGATAGTAATGACATTTAATGTGGGGGAGGGCAAAGGATTTTGGAGCGAACACAAAGTGTTTCATGAGGGAACGATGTTTGAATCGCAGAACCAGCATTGGTTGGAGTAAGAGGATTTTTGTGAGGGAAAACATATGATCGAAATAGGAGAAGAAATGCATCTCATGGAAAGGGTCAACAGACACTCTCTCCTCTCTGATGCTTCTGAAGAGAATCTTGCCTGACAGCTGTCAACTACAGATGGGCTGCACATGCCGTACAAGCTACTTGCAATCTGGGGGAAGAAACCAGGACTCGTGGGTATATACGTGGGCAATATTCTTATCCTTTAAAGAACAAACCTTCACCTCCAAATAGATCCCTTTACATCGGTTTTTATCCCTTTTAGAGATCAATTTGGGAGCAGACAGGTGAAACTATGACAACATTTTAAGGCTACACTATATAGCCTATGCTCCCTTCTGATCCTCCACACTCACCTTTTGCTGTTTGGAGACAAAATGGTAACAGCCCTCAATCTGCTAATGGTATTAGCAACTAAGGAAGTTAGTTAGAAACTAAGTTAGTAAGGAACTAACATGGGAACCCTGAAGATGCAAAGGTCGACAATAAAAACTACTGGATTCTTAGCCTGTCTTTACAGGATAAAAGGGCCCACTGGTCAGGACATCTGCTGTGTCTTTAACAAGCTGTCTACAAAACTCAACCAACTTGATTTAAAATCTTACTCAGGATTGAGACTCAAAGGTGGAGGGGAATACGGTTTACTATCATAATCCTACAGCCTACTTCCTTGCACCATCCTGCCTCTGATGCTCGTGTTCTCAGGAGGTTCCCATGGAAAGTATATCAGCTGCAAAACCCTCATTACGGCTGTGGTGAAGATAAATACAAAGTCAAGAGTACAGGAAATCTATTTTATGTTGTGATTGTTTTGAGATTTGCAGGAAGTAACTAAAATGCATGGGATAAAATATTCTCAGACTCTGCTATTCAATCGCTAGGGTCTTACTCTAGCAGCAAATTAGTGCACCTTAGCTGGTATTGGAGTACAGGTATATGAAAGTTAACTAGGCTAGTATGATGTAGTATTTTTATTAGATACCGAGTGGTCACTGAATGACCTGTTCTAAGAAATGACTTATGAAAGATGGAAAAATAACTTTTCCATCCTTCCATCTTTTGATCCTGAACTTGATCTGCTATTGTTCACTGTCCACCTTATTCTCTAAAACCATTATGTTTTCCTTTAAATCCACATGTATTTTTGAGTTTTGATAACACTTTTATATACTATCTACTATTTCACAAACTTCAGTCTCAACTCTCCTGCAATATGACTTTATGTAATTGTGCAGATGACAGTCTATTTTAACTATCTTTCTATGGCTTTTCCTTTTTTCCTCTCTCTATTACAGGAACATTTCTCCAGGTTCTGCACCCAAAAGCCTGGAGTCATTTTGGCTTTTCACTCTTCTTCTCTCACATTACAGAGCCCTGTCAACACTGCTACCACTTGTTCCTTCTACTCTATTCACGATGTGACGCCTTCTTATTTCGTAGTGGATCTTGACTCATCAATTCCAAGCTCATCGTAATATAGTCCATTCATTGTTCATCGCGTCTCAGTTCTGCTCTAGGACCTAGACTGGCCAGACACTACCCACAGAGACAGTCTTAGACCTCTTGGCACAACGTTCACAGTTCCGCCTAAGTGGATTCCACTTTACCGTCAATGTTAACTTCCATGGTTTCCCAAGAGGATCTCTCCAGATCGGGTGGCCTCCTTACAATGCTACCACTGTTTTCCCTTGTTGCTTCCACTACTTCCTGGAGCGGTTCCAACTATAAGTACGTACTGCTGTCCTGCTACACTTAAAACAGATTTTACCATCTTTCGAAGTCCTGCTCAACCTGTAAATTCTGTAAAGTCTTTTCTTTTCTGAATCCTCATTGCTTTTCTCTTTTCAAAGTGCAGTTTAGCAATGTATTTCATCTAGTTGTTTTGTCTTCCGATTGTTTCCCTGTTGTAAAGCCCAATATTACAAGCCTATAAGCTTGACAGCAAAGGATGTCTTTTATTCCTTAAAACGAACTCTCAAAATACGTAATATAGGGATTAAATGTTATGCTTATGTGCTTATGTAACCTGACTTTCTGCAGGATTAACACTTTATTTTTACTGAAAAATAGATCTTGATAACTGCTTCTGACATCAAATGTAACTTCCATAAGCTTCTTTAAGTCTGCTTTTCCACTATTACATTTTTTTTACAGTGTCTAAAGGTTACACATTACACTCCTAGTGGCTGTGTATTTCTGAAAATATTTATTTTTAGTTAGCATTCTAAGTCTATCAGAAATCATCAAATCTGAATTTAGTATTTAAACCTATTATATTTCACAAATCCTATCCCACTTCTTTGCAAAGATTTGACTGCACAAATTTTTATTGATGTCTCATTGCTGAAATATAAGTAGATTAGCGTATATTTATTAGACGATATGAAGTATCCCCTAGTTAATTTAAATGACATTTACAAAAGTGGATAATGTGAAAAAATATTAAATTCCTACTTCAACTATTACATTACAAAATTCAGATGAATTAAATGTAATCTATATAATATATAGTAAATGTACTTAAGTAAGGATGTAGACATATAAATGAGGAAAAAATATAATTATATTTGTACATATAAATAAAGAAAAAATATAATTAGTATTTGCTCTAGAGTGAAATCAGTATTTTTAAGCATGAGAGGCCACAAGTAAATAATGCTATTGATTTGATTATATTTTAAAGTTTGTAAAAAAAATCCTTTATATCAAAAATACCTTAAACAAAGTCAAACAGGAAAATATTTGCAGAATATTAAGATCTAAATATTTACAAATAGATTAAGGGTTAATAAGATTCATAATATATAAAAACTATTTGCAACTTAATAAGAAAAAAATCCATGTCCATAATTATCTATATCTGTATCTATATCTCTACAGTCACACACCACACAATAATGTTTTGATCAATGATGAACCACATATATGACAGTAGCCCCATAAGATTATACTACCATGCTTTTATTGTATCTTTTCTAGGTGTAGATACACAAATACCATTGTGTTATGAATGCCTGCGGTATTCTGTACAGTAACAGGCTGTACAGATTTGTAGCCTAGGAGCAACAGGCTATACCATGTAGCCTAGATATAGTGGGCTATACCCTCTATGTTTGTGTAGGTACACCATGATGTTCACACAATGACAAAATTGTCCAACGATGCATTTCTCTGAACGTATGAGTTAAGTGGCACAGGACTGTATCTATATCCCTATGTATCTCCTGCATCTTTTGCAACACTCTATGGATTGATGAAAAGAGATTTACCTCCCAGTGCTATTTATCGCCTGCTTTATGTTTTTCATTTACTCAATAAGGATACAGAAACTTTGTGGAAATGAACTTGCTACTCTGAACTGCAGTAAATGCAGAACTTCTTGGCACCTAGAATCTGTAGTAAAAAGTGTACAGGCGGCATCCAGCTAGACTTTAGGACCACACATTGGGCCTGTGCCCCAGCTCACGTACACCTGTTCTTCACCATTGTGAAACTTACACCTATGTCTATGAGCAGAAGGCCCACTTGTAAGGAGATGTTTATATACAAAAGGTCCTGCAACCAAACCTGTCTCATCGAGGCCACATATACACAAGGGAGAAAAAGCAGAGTCACTGTGCTGGTGTCCTCGAAGTCCATCTCTGCCTTCAGTTTTCCTTATACCCTGAGTGACCCATTTCTTCATACATCCACACAGAATAAGGGACAGAGGCAAGAACTGGCAATTCACAAAAGAAGAAATACAAATGGTACATACATGTGAAAATGTATTCAACTCACTAATCAAACGAATACAAATTACAACAAAGGTAAGACACGTTTCATCGGTCCAATTGTCAAAAATTTAAAGCATGGAAACACTCCCTGTCAGTGCCCTGGGGGAAAAGGCACTTTTGTATACTGTTGGGAGTATAAATTGATACAAGCTTTTTCACACTTTTGACAGAGTGTATCAAAAGCCTTAGGTTGTATAGCCCTTTGGCTCTGAAATTCCACTTCCAAGAATTTATCCTAAGGTAATAACAGAATTAGAGGCAAAGATTTAGCCACTGAGATCATTATTGCAGAATCACTTATAGTAGCGAAAGTTCAAACCTGGATGTCCAACAGTAGTAGATATGTTAAATTATGATAAATCATGGCATGAAAAAAGTACTATGTTATAGAAAAAAATCCAATAGCATGTGGAAACTTAGGTGAAAACTGAAGTTGGGGCTGGGCGCGGTGGCTCACGCCTGTAACCCCAGCACTATGGGAGGCCGAGACGAGCGGATCACGAGGTCAGGAGGTTGAGACCATCCTGGCTGACACGGTGAAACCCCGTCTCTACTAAACAAAATACAAAAAATTAGCCGGGCGTGGTGGTGGGCGCCCGTAGTCCCAGCTACTCGGGAGGCTGAGGCAGGAGAATGGCGTGAACCCGGAAGACGGAGCTTGCAGTGAGCCGAGATCGCGCCACTGCATTCCAGCCTGGGTGACAGAGTGAGACTCCGTCTCAAAAAAACAAAAACAAAAAACAAAAAACAAAAAACAACTGAAGTTGCAATGTTTATTTTTTTAAAAATATACACACACAAAGATTAAGAATAAAAGTGTAAATCCTAAAAGAGAAACTAGTGTTTATTATCCATCTGCTTATCTGTGTTGCCCAATAAACATGAAATCCTAAATCACATCATAGATAACTTAAGGGCATTGATTTAAACACTCAAATGATTTATTCTTAAGTTCATTTGATCTCAGGTTCCACTTTTATCACATCTGTCGTATCCCATCATTTTACTTGGGGTATTAAGACAGTACATTACAAATAATGATTAGATGCTTTAAAAATTCCAGTGATTATGTGAAAGCACAAACTCTTTAAATGGGTTCATTTAAATAATTTGGTTCACCTATAGGCATATTTTGTACTCTGCCATCTATACAATGGTACTCCAGTCACAATAAATGAGACACAGTCCATTACAAGAAAATATTTTGTACTTGTTTTCTGTAGCAACTGATATTTCATTCAACTACTTTCAAATCCCCTAGGAATCTTCATCTGCTGTATGCTAAAATTTTAAGTTCTTTCTTTGTGAACATTAACACTCCTATATTAACCAGTTGGAAGGGGAACCATACTTCACACTGATTACTTTATATTAGCCAGTTTAGTCTTAAAAATTTTTTCACAAAGTCATAACTTTCCAAGTTTGCAATATGCAAATAATAACTATCACTCTGGCTTTTAAAGGCCTATTTCTATTTCTCTTGGATATATCACTTGTAAGTAGGTTTTATGGTTACCTTTTGTATACATATTCTTTAAAATAATGTTTGTCTCGAGTGTTCATTAAAAACTTAAATCTGATTATATAATTTTATGTTTATAAACATGCATTTTTTTTTAAGCAAAAGAACATTGCTAGTGCAAAACTATGTGGCAGTTACTAAGGAGGAAACTTATTTCCTAGCTATTAACTTAGTCCTCAGGCAAAGACTATAAACATGCATATATATGTATATATGTACATATATGAATATATACATATACATATTCATATATATACACACATATATCAATATATACACATACATACACACATATATGAATATGTACACACACTCATATATATATACACACACATCTATATGAATATATATAAATATCACATACTCACATCAAGGATCAAGGAGAGGAAATCAGAAGTTACCTATGTCCCTGGACTAGTCCTGACAGCAATCCTATAGTTCTGGCTCCAAAGCTAATAACTGTTTTCCATTAGAATCTGGATGTGTAATTCCAGTTTCACAGTTTTATAGAAGGATTTTAAGTAAAATGTCAATTTTGGATAAGAATGTACTGCTCCTCCAAAGCTTCTGATGACATGGTCGCTCAGTTCCATCAAATATTATCAATTTATACTACACTGACTTAAAATTGGTTATGATTTCAATCAATCTTAGACAGAAAGGTATCTTTTTCAGAAAAACTTTTCTATAGCAAACACCAAATTAATTATGTATATAAAGTTGTGAGATGAAAAGTACCTTAAAAAATAAAAGTTTTTCAGGGAGGAGCCAAGATGGCCGAATAGGAACAGCTCCGGTCTACAGCTCCCAGCGTAAGCGATGCAGAAGACGGGTGATTTCTGCATTTCCATCTGAGGTACCAGGTTCATCTCACTAGGGAGTGCCAGACAGTGGGCGCAGGTCAGTGGGTGCGTGCACCGTGTGCGAGCCGAAGCAGGGCGAGGCATTGCCTCACTCGGGAAGTGCAAGGGGTCATGGAGTTCCCTTTCCTAGGCAAAGAAAGGGGTGACAGACGGCACCTGGAAAATCGGGTCACTCCCACCCGAGTACTGAGCTTTTCCGACGGGCTTAAAAAAACGGCGCACCAGGAGATTATATCCCGCACATGGCTCGGAGGGTCCTACACCCATGGAGTCTCGCTGATTGCTAGCACAGCAGTCTGAGATCAAACTGCAAGGTGGCAGTGAGGCTGGGGGAGGGGCGACCACCATTGCCCAGGCTTGCTTAGGTAAACAAAGCAGCCGGGAAGCTCTCCAACTGGGTAGAGCCCACCACAGCTCAAGGAGGCCTGCCTGCCTCTGTAGGCTCCACCTCTGGGTGCAGGGCACAGACAAACAAAAAGACAGCAGTAACCTCTGCAGACTTAAATGTCCCTGTCTGACAGCTTTGAAGAGAGCAGTGGTTCTCCCAGCATGCAGCTGGAGATCTGAGAACGGGCAGACTGCCTCCTCAAGTGGGTCCCTGACCCCTGACCCCCGAGCAGCCTAACTGGGAGGCACCCCCCAGTAGGGGCAGACTAACACCTCAAACGGCCGGGTACTCCTCTGAGACAAAACTTCCAGAGGAACTATCAGACAGCAGCTTTCGCGGTTCACGAAAAACCACTGTTCTGCAGACACCGCTGCTGATACCCAGGCAAACAGGGTCTGGAGTGGACCTCTAGCAAACTCCAACAGACCTGCAGCTGAGGGTCCTGTCTGTCAGAAGGAAAGCTATCAAACAGAAAGGACATCCACACCAAAAACCCATCTGTACATCACCATCATCAAAGACCAAAAGTAGATAAAACCACAAAGACGGGGAAAAAACAGAGCAGAAAAACTGGAAACTCTAAAAAGCAGAGCACCTCTCCTCCTCCAAAGGAACGCAGTTCCTCACCAGCAATGGAACAAAGCTGGACGGAGAATGACTTTGACGAGTTGAGAGAAGAAGGCTTCAGACGATCAAACTACGAGCTACAGGAGGAAATTCAAACCAAAGGTAAAGAAGTTAAAAACTTTGAAAAAAATTTAGACGAATGTATAACTAGAATAACCAATACAGAGAAGTGCTTAAAGGAGCTGATGGAGCTGAAAGCCAAGGCTCGAGAACTACGTGAAGAATGCAGAAGCCTCAGGAGCCGATGCGATCAACTGGAAGAAAGGGTATCAGGGATAGAAGATGAAATGAATGAAATGAAGCAAGAAGGGAAGTTTAGAGAAAAAAGAATAAAGAGAAACGAACAAAGCCTCCAAGAAATATGGGACTATGTGAAAAGACCAAATCTACATCTGATTGGTGTACCTGAAAGTGACGGGGAGAATGGAACCAAGTTGGAAAACACTCTGCAGGACATTATCCAGGAGAACTTCCCCAATCTAGCAAGGCAGGAACATTCAGATTCAGGAAATACAGAGAACGCCACAAAGATACTCCTCGAGAAGAGCAACTCCAAGACACATAATTGTCAGATTCACCAAAGTTGAAATGAAGGAAAAAATGTTAAGGGCAGCCAGAGAGAAAGGTCGGGTTACCCACAAAGGGAAGCCCATCAGACTAACAGCGGATCTCTCGGCAGAAACTCTACAAGCCAGAAGAGAATGGGAGCCAATATTAAACATTCTTAAAGAAAAGAATTTTCAACCCAGAATTTCATATCCAGCCAAACTAAGCTTCATAAGTGAAGGAGAAATAGAATACTTTACAGACAAGCAAATGCTAAGAGATTTTGTCACCACCAGGCCTGCCCTAAAAGAGCTCCTGAAGGAAGCACTACACATGGAAAGGAACAACTAGTACCAGCCACTGCAAAATCATGCCAAAATGTAAAGGCCATCGAGACTAGGATGAAACTGCATCAACTAACGAGCAAAATAACCAGCTAACATCATAATGACAGGTTCAAATTCACACATAACAATATTAACTTTAAATGTAAATGGACTAAATGCTCCAATTAAAAGACACAGACTGGCAAATTGGATAAAGAGTCAAGACCCATCAGTGTGTTGTATTCAGGAAACCCATCTCACATGCAGAGACACACATAGCCTCAAAATAAAAGGATGGAGGAAGACCTACCAAGCAAATGGAAAAGAAAAAAAGGCAGGGGTTGCAATCCTAGTCTCTGATAAAACAGACTTTAAACCAACAAAGATCAAAAGAGACAAAGAAGGCCATTACATAATGGTAAAGGGATCAATTCAACAAGAAGAGCTAACTCTCCTAAATATATATGCACCCAACACAGGAGCACCCAGATTCATAAAGCAAGTCCTGAGTGACCTACAAAGAGACTTAGACTCCCACACATTAATAATGGGAGACTTTAACACCCCACTGTCAACATTAGACAGATCAACGAGACAGAAAGTCAACAAGGATACCCAGGAATTGAACTCAGCTCTGCACCAAGCGGACCTAATAGACATCTACAGAACTCTCCACCCCAAATCAACAGAATATACATTTTTTTCAGCACCACACCACACCTATTCCAAAATTGACCACATAGTTGGAAGTAAAGCTCTCCTCAGCAAATGTAAAAGAACACAAATTATAACAAACTATCTCTCAGACCACAGTGCAATCAAACTAGAACTCAGGATTAAGAAACTCACTCAAAACCGCTCAACTCCATGGAAACTGAACAACTTGCTCCTGAATGACTATTGGGTACATAACGAAATGAAGGCAGAAATAAAGATGTTCTTTGAAACCAACGAGAACAAAGACACAACATACCAGAATCTCTGGGACGCATTCAAAGCAGTGTGTAGAGGGAAATTTATAGCACTAAATGCCCACAAGAGAAAGCAGGAAAGATCCAAAATCGACACCCTAACATCACAATTAAAAGAACTAGAAAAGTAAGAGCCAAACACATTCAAAAGCTAGCAGAAGGCAAGAAATAACTAAAATCAGAGCAGAACTGAAGGAAACAGAGACACAAAAAACCCTTCAAAAAATTAATGAATCCAGGAGCTGGTTTTTTGAAACAATCAACAAAATTGATAGACTGCTAGCAAGACTAATAAAGAAAAAAAGAGAGAAGAATCAAATAGATGCAATAAAAAATGATAAAGGGGATATCACCACCGATCCCACAGAAATACAAACTACCATCAGAGAATACTACAAACACCTCTACGCAAATAAACTAGAAAATCTAGAAAAAATGGATAAATTCCTCGACACATACACTCTCCCTAGACTAAACCAGGAAGAAGTTGAATCTCTGAATAGACCAATAACAGGAGCTGAAATTGTGGCAATAATCAATAGCTTACCAACCAAAAAGAGTCCAGGACCAGATGGATTCACAGCCGAATTCTCCCAGAGGTGCAAGGAGGAACTGGTACCATTCCTTCTGAAACTATTCGAATCAATAGAAAAAGAGAGAATCCTCCCTAACTCATTTTATGAGGCCAGCATCATCCCGATACCAAAGCCGGGCAGAGACACAACCAAAAAAGAGAAGTTTAGACCAATATCCTTGATGAACATTGATGCAAAAATCCTCAATAAAATACCGGCAAACCGAATCCAGCAGCACATCAAAAAGCTTATCCACCATGATCAAGTGGGCTTCATCCCTGGGGTGCAAGGCTGGTTCAATATATGCAAATCAATAAATGTAATCCAGCATATAAACAGAACCAAAGACAAAAACCACATGATTATCTCAATAGATGCAGGAAAGGCCTTTGACAAAATTCAACAACCCTTCACGCTAAAAACTCTTAATAAATTAGGTATTGATGGGACGTATCTCAAAATAATAAGAGCTATCTATGACAAACCCACAGCCAATATCATACTGAATGGGCAAAAACTGGAAGCATTCCCTTTGAAAACTGGCACAAGACAGGGATGCCCTCTCTCACCACTCCTATTCAACATAGTGTTGGAAGTTCTGGCCAGGGCAATTAGGCAGGAGAAGGAAATAAAGGGTATTCAATTAGGAAAAGAGGAAGTCAAATTGTCCCTGTTTGCAGACGACATGATTGTATATCTAGAAAACCCCATTGTCTCAGCCCAAAATCTCCTTAAGCTGATAAGCAACCTCAGCAAAGTCTCAGGATACAAAATCAATCTACAAAAATCACAAGCATTCTTATACACCGATAACAGACAAACAGAGAGCCAAATCATGAGGGAACTCCCATTCACAATTGTTTCAAAGAGAATAAAATACCTAGGAATCCACCTTACAAGGGATGTGAAGGACCTCTTCAAGGAGAACTACAAACCACTGCTCAATGAAATAAAAGAGGATACAAACAAATGGAAGAACATTCCATGCTCATGGGTAGGAAGAATCAATATCGTGAAAATGGCCATACTGCCCAAGGTAATTTATCGATTCAATGCCATCCCCATCAAGCTACCAATGACTTTCTTCACAGAATTGGAAAAAACTACTTTAAAGTTCATATGGAACCAAAAAAGAGCCCGCATCGCCAAGTCAATCCTAAGCCAAAAGAACAAAGCTGGAGGCATCACGCTACCTGACTTCAAACTCTACTACAAGCCTACAGTAACCAAAACAGCATGGTACTGGTACCAAAACAGAGATATAGATCAATGGAACAGAACAGAGCCCTCAGAAATAACGCCGCATATCTACAACTATCTGATCTTTGACAAACCTGAGAAAAACGAGCAATGGGGAAAGGATTCCCTATTTAATAAATGGTGCTGGGAAAACTGGCTAGCCATATGTAGAAAGCTGAAACTGGATCCCTTCCTTACACCTTATACAAAAATCAATTCAAGATGGATTAAAGACTTAAATGTTAGACTTAAAACCATAAAAACCCTAGAAGAAAACCTAGGCATTACCATTCAGGACATAGGCATGGGCAAGGACTTCATGTCTAAAACACCAAAAGCAATGGCAACAAAAGCCAAAATTGACAAATGGGATCTAATTAAACTAAAGAGCTTCTGCACAGCAAAAGAAACTACCATCAGAGTGAACAGGCAACCCACAAAATGGGAGAAAAGTTTCGCAACCTACTCATCTGACAAAGGGCTAATATCCAGAATCTACAATGAACTCAAACAAATTCACAAGAAAAAAACAAACAACCCCATCAAAAAGTGGGCGAAGGACATGAACAGACACTTCTCAAAAGAAGACATTTATGCAGCCAAAAAACACATGAAAAAATGCCACCATCACTGGCCATCAGAGAAATGCAAATCAAAACCACAGTGAGATGTCATCTCACACCAGTTAGAATGGCAATCATTAAAAAGTCAGGAAACAACAGGTGCTGGAGAGGATGTGGAGAAATAGGAACACTTTTACATTGTTGGTGGGACTGTAAACTAGTTCAACCATTGTGGAAGTCAGTGTGGCGATTCCTCAGGGATCTAGAACTAGAAATACCATTTGACCCAGCCATCCCATTACTGGGTATATACCCAAAGGACTATAAATCATGCTGCTATAAAGACACATGCACACGTATGTTTATTGAGGCACTGTTCACAATAGCAAAGACTTGGAACCAACCCAAATGTCCAACAACGATAGACTGGATTAAGAAAATATGGCACATATACACCATGGAATACTATGCAGTCATAAAAAATGATGAGTTCATGTGCTTTGTAGGGACATGGATGAAATTGGAAATCATTATTCTCAGTAAACTATTGCAAGAACAAAAAACCAAACACCGCATATTCTCACTCATAGGTGAGAATTGAACAATGAGAACACATGGACACAGGAAGGGGAACATCACACTCTGGGGACTGTTGTGGGGTGGGGGGAGGGAGGAGGGAGAGCATTGGGAGATATACCTAATGCTAGATGACGAGTTAGTGGGTGCAGCACACCAGCATGGCACATGTATACATATGTAGCTAACCTGCACATTGTGCACATGTACCCTAAAACTTAAAGTATAATAATAATAAAAAAATAATAATTTTAAAAATATATTTAAAAAAAAAGTTTTCAGGGACTCGCAGTTACCCACATTCATACTCCAAGGACCCCTTCACTCCTGATTCTCAGAGGTCAGACGCTTTTCATTTTCCCTCAATCGCCTCTACTCCACCTTCTTGTTGTTCTGCCGCTCCGTCCCTTTCCTTAAGAAGATGCTGAAATGTCCTCCAATTATGCAAGTACCTCCATCCCTGGATCCCTCAGCCACGCTCTCTCCTTCCTTAGTTGAGCTTTGGAGAGAATAATCTCCAGTTGCTGGTGCCACATTTAAGGTTTTGGTTCCACTCTGAACTACCACGATTTGACTTCCACACCCACTATACCTACATTATCCTCACTGGAAGCTTTTTCTCTGAGATGGGGTCTCACTATGTTTCCCAGGCTGGTCTCTAACTTCTGGGCTCAAGCCATCCTCTCACCTCAGCCTCCTTTCTGAGTGCCGGGACTACAGACACGGGTATTGCTGTACCCAGCAACTTTTGGAAGTTTTTGACTCTGCTGATCACAGTATGTCTCTTTTGTTGTCTTTTGTCAATTAATCTTTTGGGTTTTTTTTGCCTCTATAAAAGGTCCTTCGTTTCTTTTATTGGTGCTTCATCTATAACCTTATGTTAAATATTGGTGAGCTTAGGATTCTAGCTTCACTCCTCTTCTTTTCTCATTCTATTTGCTTTCAGAAAGAGGTTTAATTCTGCCCTGTGGCTTTAACTGCAATAATATAGATCACAGAGTAAATATTTTTACACAAAATCTAATTGAATTTCATATATATATATATAATATATATATAATTGGCTAATAAATTACTGAAACTTGATGGCCCACAGACACATCAAACACTATGTCTTCTCATGTGAATTACTAACTTTACCATAGACAAAATACTTTAACTTTCAACTTGGATTATACCATCACTCACTGAGTCTCTCATGTTGGGGAAGACAGTCTCTTTAAATGTTTCTCTTCCCCCAATTAATCATCAAATCTTGATTCTACTTAAATGGGTCTCCCTTTCCTTTCTGGTTTTTGATCCAAACTTTTCTATTTTCCTATGTTGATAATTATAATACTATCTAACTGGCCAATTTGCTTCCAAGTTTGACCTCTAAGTCAATTATTTTCCATTCAACAAAACCTTTATTTCCAGGTTCAGGTATTAGGTGAGGTGAGCACAGAGGTACAACAGTGAACAGGGCCATGTCCCCAGGGAGGTTGCTCTCCTTGAGGAAAGACAGTTAATATTCCACACTGCTTTCAGGGTACTCTGTAAAACGGAAACATGACCATACTATTCCTCTGCATTAAAATCCCTCAGAGCCTCCCCATTACCTGCAGGAAAACGTGCAAATCCCTTAGCATCACCATGAAGACTTTGCTCGGGGGCTACTTTTGTAGCCTCATGTGTCCCAGGCATCAAACTCCTTGTGGCTTTTGGAGCATCCCCAGGGAAGTTACACATTCTCCTTTGCTGTTCTGTCTAAATCTCGAATTTCTCCACATCCTTTAAGCCTCTGGTCCAACGCTGCTTCCTTCCTTCTTTGTGAAACATTCTCTCCTCTCCTGCCCCCAGTCTCTGTTGGCAACAATCGGCTCTGGGCTGACACTGACTCTGCATATTCTGTTGTAATAACACTAACCACATTAAAACCTAATTACACGCCTACTTGCCGGTTTGCCCAACCACCCTGTGAGCTTCTAGACGTCAGGGAATACATCTTACTCATTTTTGTTTTTCCAGCACCTGGTACCATATCCAGCATTTATGATTCGTTGAATGAAGACTTAGTTGATATACTAAATAAGAAATCTATTCAATAAGTTACCCTTTATTTAGTTTTCAGGTTCTGCGTGACTAAAGTCAAGGCAATAGTCATCAGACATTTTTAGTTGCTCTTTTCTTAAGTGTATACGCATTTCTATCCATTTTAACATGCATTCAAATAGGTTTCACGTTTAGTTTGCGTACAGCCTATTTATTATGGAAAACGATCTCGTCAACTGATAAATATAAGAAAATTTCAATATACTGAAGTTAGTATTCAAACCATTCAGTAAATAATGTACAAGATAATCATGTATAAAATTATATGTGTATGTAATGTTAATAAACAGAATTATTATGATTTGAGAAGAATATTCTTTAAACAACACCAAAAAAACCCTCAGTTAGCTGCTTTTCCGACACTTGAGTGCTCACGGAATGGCAAATAAACGAAGGTTCTATGGCTCTAACACTTATTTTTTCTATTTCAGTGATAATTACATCAATAAACCTGATTCAGCACTCACTGCTATTCAATTCATTAATTAAAACAATTTTACTGCTACCACTGTGATTTTTCAAGGATATCAAAAACACATTCAAAAATCAAAATAGCATACATCATCAGTTTTGGTACATTCATAGCATGCTTCACTTTAATTTCAACTCTACAACTAAAAGAACATTTAGAATTGAAACAGAGATGGCATATATTCTGTATACTTTAACAAAAACACTTAGAACACAAATCGAGCTTAATAGAAATGGCAATTTCCATGTGAAGCATAGCAAACTGCCAAGCTTTCTGAAAATCCTCTTAGAACAGAAAAATATGAATGTATATAAATACTTAAGCCTGTAGTAACAACAACAGTAGTGAACTTTACAGTTGTTTCAGTTCTAGTTTCATAATACTAAATTTTTTAGGATTTTATTTAAATCGTAACTTTTTTTTTTTTTTTCCAGCTGGAGTATCCCTGTTGTTGCCCAGGCTGGAGTGCAGTGGCACGATCTCGGCTCACTGCAACCTCCACCTCCTGGGTTCAAGCCATTCTCTGCATCAGCCTCCCGAGTAGCTGGGATTACAGGCATCTGCCACCATGCCCAGCTAATTTTTGTATTTTTAGTAGAGATGGGGTTTCACCATGTTGGCCAGGCTGGTCTCAAACTCCTGACATTGTGATCCACCCGCCTTGGCCTCCCAAAGTGCTGGGATTACAGGCGTGAGCCACCACGCCCAGCCAGTTAAATCATAACTTATTATACTAAAAAGTGACTTGTACATACCCATGAAGTGAATCTATTTCATCCTTAAATGAAACAGGGAAGCTTTTGCTCAAAGAATGACAAGTCACTATTGAAATTGTAAATGTATATCTATCAAGGCAATGTAGTTATTTTTATATATCAGGAACTATTTGACGGCATTTTGTAAAGCAGCACTTTAATTCTGAGCCTGATTTAGGAAGCCCACCGACATATTACGTTTGCTATTTTTGACATTCTAGTGCACATAAAACATAAAATATAATTTATCACAGGAGACCATGCCAGAAATGACCATTACATGCCGGAAGAGGGCCCACAGTGAAATTTATATTCAAGCTATAGTTTAGTATGTATAATAGAAACTCATAAAATTAGAATAACACTGAAATGCCATGTGTTTCTTACAGCAACAGAATTCCATTTTATGTCTTTCAATCAACAACCAAAGTAGGCTCAGAAAAGGTTCCTGGATAAAGCTGAAGGAATGGAATAATGCTAGTGAGGTGAAAAAGTACACCTCTCTTCAAATCATCTTCAGAATTCTAAGACAGTACCCCTTCCTCCAAAGATCTAGGAGAGATGTGGCATTTGTGTTGTCCTAGAATGATCGCAAGTACATGACATAGCTGGCTAGCAGTTTCTCTCAAACTCTCCTAGAATTTGATCAGCACTGGAAGAGCTACAAGTCCGTCTATTTCCTCACTCTCTCACCTATCTGCAGTTGTTCAGGAAGAGAAGAAATGGCACTGCCCTCCTTTCCAGATAACATATTCTGCTTGACAAGAAAATCTGGATTGCAAAATAGCTGAAGTTCTCTCTTTAGAGATTGATGGAAATGCTATCACTACAGTCATTTATCAAATTGGTTTGAGGGGTACGCCTTTTTCCTCTTAAAATACAATAATGCAACTTTTAGACTTTATCTCTCCATACAGAAAGTAGACTTAAAATACCATTTCAAAGGACAAGTGAAATTGGTTCCTTGAAAAGTGTTTCAGCTGTGCAAAGTGTCTATTACATTTAAAAAGACTGCACTTTAATGTTATACCCTTTTTCATTAGCCAAATTAGCCCATAATACTTCAGTATCATGCACAATTAATGTGGCATTAGTGGGGTCCGACAACAGGTACATTGCTCAAACTTAGGTGAGAAATGAAGTCTTCTTGGAATGATTTATTTTATTGTGTGAACTGATGAGCATCAGTTAAATTGCCTGTTAATTGACCAGCTGTCTAAGTAACATGCCTTTGAGGGAAACACTAATTTTGAAATTTTCTTTGGCCAGGAGGGGAAGGAGCATGCTAAAATCTTTGAAGTCTACAACCATCAGACTAATTATCAGCACCATT
This sequence comes from Homo sapiens, assembly GCF_000001405.40. Lineage (NCBI taxonomy): Eukaryota > Metazoa > Chordata > Mammalia > Primates > Hominidae > Homo > Homo sapiens. The sequence goes on along the minus strand of NC_000004.12, from coordinate 182,352,308 downwards.
CAATGTACATTCATTTAATTACAGTAAATTAAAAGGGATGTGGGGTTTTGGAGAAAAATAAGAGAGTCAATAAATGGTGACAGAAATTCCAGACTGCACAAATGATCAGCGCCCTTTCTGGAAGACACCGTGAGTTCTCCTCCATCTTGCCAGAACACTTGATGAATGCAGCCCTGGGGTGGGGTGGGGTAAGGAAGGAGGAGTGGGGGAGGGGAGGAGGAGATATCTATTGATATCTATAGATATCTACCTAGTCCAAACTAGGTAGGCACTTGATATTGTTTATTTAACTTAATCTTCATAGCCACATAAACAGATATAATTTTCCACCTTTTACAAATAATAATAAGGGCACACACTTATTCGGAACTCACTAGATGTCAGGGAGTTTTGTAAGCACCAGGCATACCTGAACTCACTTAATGCTCACAACAGCCCTGACCTCATAGGACTAGAGCCCTGTTTACTGCTGTCCCTGTTTTACAACGTGGAAACCATGGCACGGAATGGTGAGCAACTTGCCCAAGGTCTCAAAGTCGGGAGGTGGTAGTGCCCATACAAAACCAGGAGTCCCGCCTCCGGGCATCACATTCGCAAAGACTGTCCTCAATGGAGGCTCTCGGGGTCCTGAGTCACGAGGAGGTGGAAGAGCAGCGCCAACGCCTGCTGGCCTGCCTTACATCAAAGGTCATCTTTCTCCAAGAGGGCTAACAGGCTGAGGAGGCTGGAAGAAGGAACTAGACTCCAACAGGAGAGCTCCGCCCCTCCAGAACTCGGCAGGCAGCTGAAGGAGCAGACAAGGCATGCAAGAGTTGACAACTGCCACTCTAGGTGATTCAGGGGGTAACTGTCACAGGGGATGAATGAAAGAATGTGAGCCCTGACCAGTGTGATTCCAAATCCAGGCACCTGTGACAACGTCGCACCGGCTGGATGACAAAAAACAATAGATGCCTGGCTGCTTCTGGGAAGCGATGCATACGCAAACATTTTATTTATTTATTAAATCACAAAACTAACTTTATTACATGTTTTCCCACTTACATTTCTTTGCTAAATATCTTCACTGTCCTGATGACTTCTGGTTCTTATTTCCTTGATACCAGGGGCAACCTTACCCTTCTTTGGATTTTCTGCACATCTCTTGACACTGAGTTACTCTCCATGGAAACATTTTTAAAGCTTAAAGACTGATGTTTTGAAAAAATAAAAAAAAGCCCTTTGTTCCTGACGTTTAAATAGGTATTTGGAACTGAGGTCAGATTATAGCACTTGCAAAGCTGGGTGGTGGGACTTCAGTCACGGCTCTTTTAACAACACGTCAGTGGCCGGGCGCGGTGGCTCATGCCTGTAATCCCAGCACTTTGGGAGGCAGAGGCGGGCAGATCACGAGGTCAAGAGATTGAGACCATCCTGGCCAACATGGTGAAACCCCGTCTCTACTAAAAATACAAAAATTAGCTGGGCGTGGTGTTGTGCACCTGTAATCCCAGCTACTCAGGAGGCTGAGGCAGGAGAATGGCTTGAACCCAGGAGGCAGAGGTTGCAGTGAGCTGAGATTACGCCACTGCACTCCAGCCTGGGCGACAGAGCAAGACTGTCTCAAAAAACAAAACAAAACAAAACAAAAACCACATTGGAGACAGGAGAGATGCCTACAATAAACCAGAGCACACTGAGAATTCTACCTTTTACTGGGGTATCCCATCACACTGATTTTATAACCTTTCACCCATTTTTACTCAAACTGCTGTTAGTAGGTGATCCCAAATCACCGTCTCTCCAGAACTTGCCCTGGTGTGTGGCAGTCCACTACAAAAACACCACCACAACAATCAATGGGTGCCAAGAAAGGGCTTCTCCCATATCCTTCATTTGGAACAAGATTAATATTTGGGATTACACAGGAAACTCAATATATACTGTAAAATATTTTTTTCCTCAAAATGCTTTTTAATGTCAACTCCCCATGGCTGGTGAAAAGTTAGTTTTGCAAAAGAATAAATCTTATCACTTGTTTTGACTCTCAGCTAACAGAGAGCTGTGTGACACGGTCCGAATGTTCTCTTACTCTTGTGGGAGGCTCGGGCCATCAAAATTTCATTAGCCTCACAGCAGTTCTAGCACCTTCTTAACTTGAACTGTTGGCCTCTTTATCAATAAATAAATGGAATCTAATCCCTTTTAGTGACTAAATTCTTCTTTGAAATTGTAGCTAGAACATCAGGCACTCTGCTTGCATAATTTTACAATGTTGAATAACATTTTTTTTTTTCTGGGAAAAACAGCCTCATTCACAGTTATTTCAAATGAAGAAAACAGTCAAGGCAAGCTCTCATGTTAAACCAGATGAAAACACATCAGCATCTGGCTCTTAAATTCGTTTCCTTTTGGTGAGTTATTTCATCCATCTCCTTCTCTTTTCAACCTTTAGTGATACAATAGAACTTCCAAGAACACATCTCAAGCTAGTATAAAAATGAATAAAAGAGAAAATGAAAAGAATTGAAGAGTCAAAAGAAAATATAACCAGAAAATCTATAGCTTTTTAAGTTAGAGCAATTAAAAACACCTGAAGATAGTAGAATTGAATTATTTTTGTTAACTTTATATTAGAATTACTTGACTAAAAGTAGTAATATAGGTAAAAATGTGAATTAGTTTTGAGACGATTATTTATAAAGTTGTTAGAAGAACCTATGTATGACTGCAAATTTCACTTCTTACTATAACCCAGCTTAAGGGAAAGACACATAATTTTTTAATATCAGGAAAAAAATCCTCAGTGCTATTGTTTAATTCCACAATTCAAAATTATAAGGTCTGCTAAATACTTCAGAAAATTATGCTTCCCTATATCTTAATGTAATTAATTACATTAAATGAAATCTTGTTCCTTCTAAGTAATCGCTGAAATTTCAGAACAAATAAATTAATCTGAAAAGTTCCTATGGACATATGTTTGAAATATATGCAATAGCCAGTATTCATTAAGACAACGTATCTATTTTATTTCCTCTTTTGTTTCTTTCTTTAAACTGCTCTCATTTGGAATTCTTAGACCATCAAAACGTTGTTTAAAAGTACAACCACAACCAAACCTTCGGAAAAAGAGTAAACACAAGTTTAAGTCATCATGTTGCCCAGCTCAACAAACATTGCTTTTGACACTTTATACTCTTAACTTGGCTGACCTATTTACTCTCAACAAATGCTGCCAAATGTTCTGAATTTCAAGGCAAGGCCCTTGACACTCTCCCTGTCTCTCTTCATTCTGCTTCCTAGCCACTACTTGGAGAAATTAAAGAGTGCAACTTTTCTTGCCTTTACATCACTCTAAGAACAAGGTCTACAAGATTCCTGGGGAAACAATTTCCTCCTCTAGTTAATATTAATCCATGCGAATGGTGAGGGCAGTGGTATGAGAAACTCACAAGTCTTCCTTCCCTTCTCCCTAACATTTGGATATTATGTGTCGTTAACTAAAGGTTACAAAGTTTATATTTTCCAAAAAGAAAAAAAAATACATATGTTTGGGGATCCACCATGAGATCCTTTTAGCAGATGTATAATTTTAAAAATCATAAAATTAATTTATATTTTACCAATACAGATACCATAACAAGACACCTTTGTTATTAGAGAGAAAGGATGAGATGCCATAGAAGGTTTGTTTGGAAAGTGCACACTGACCCAATGTTAAAACATATTTGATAGCTATGGATGTGGATGATCTATGATGCAGATAATCAGAACTGATCGCATTATCCTGCTGCATTCTAGTCTTCTATAACGTCAAAGATTTTATTGTGTATTTTAAGAAAATTAAATGCTGGGTGCTACCTTTGAATATGACCATGGTACCTGCCATTGCTCAAGGAGTGCTATGTGAAGTACAGCTGGACAGGAAGCAATATTTATTCCAAATCATACGTATTTAAGGTTAGTGACTTCTGAATCCACTATGAAAATGGATAGAAACACAGGATTTACTGAGGTGAATGGATTAACTGAGAGAAATGTTGGCATCCTGATTCTGAGGCTCATTTTATCAAAATAACTGTCCTTGTTTCTTCTTTTGAATTGGAATAAAGCCAGCCTCCACCAAGAACTGAAACTTCCAAATGAAGATATTGAGTATATAGCTATTATTTGATCTTGACTTTGGTTTAATGCACTAAGATATTCTACTTAGGATAAGAAATTGATTGCATTGGTTTAAATTAGACCTTTTTTCATGAATAGAAAGAAAATAACTAATAAGCCTTAGGTGCTGCTTCACACTGTGACTTAGCTGAAACTGAAAGCTAACAATAGATCCGCTTTCCTATTACAAAGCAAAGCTGACAAAGTCACCCAATAAATAATAAAATTGAAATATCATTGATAAAACAACCATTTTTCTTTTCAAATGTCATGCAATTCTTTCATTTTAATTTTCTCTTTGCTTTTTGATGCATAGGATATGCATAGCATTAATAACTAGACTGAAATAGCAAGTGCACTGTTAATATTAAAAGCGGAAGGAGAATTTTTTGTTTGCTGCATTGCTGCTGATGCCCCAATTCTTCCTAGAAGCAGCACTGACTAAAAATTAAGTTTTCTTTAAAATGTATTATTGCATATAAATTAACTTTTAAAAAATCATCCCGCATTGGCAATAGGAAAAAAAAAGTCCCAATAATTTATAAAGACTTTTTTTCTTACAATATACAAAAAGCTGCTATTTGGATATCCTAAAATCCAATTTTTGTGTGTGGATTTAATTGCTTAGTAATCCAGTCCCCAAAGAACATTAAAGGCCACACTCCCCCTCTTTACCAAGATTTCAATTGCTCTCATCAACTCTTAAGTTTAAAGCATGATCATATTTGTTCTTCAATCACTAGAGCCCTGTTAATAAACTATTCTGCGTGCTCACTCATCCATTCTAAGATTTTGCAACTTCTTTGAGATATCTTCAAGAGGAATCTACAAAGACATCTTTGATTGCAAGACGGCTCTGGGGTAAACTTTATCAACACGTGCTTTGCCACCCCACAGAAGACAACAGGTGACATGGTCCAAGAGAAGTCAAAGCTATTTTTTTTTTCTGTAGATGATTAACCTGTTTTTCAAAACTATAGCCAAAACATTGTAGACTGCTTGCCTAATTTAACAATCTGATGTCAAATATTGATTTTTTTTTCCAGGAAAAAATGCATTATTCAAGGACATTTCTTGAGTTCTACTACATTAAAACAAAAAGAAATGGACAAGAAAGAGAGAGAAAGAAGGATGAGAGGAAGGAGAGAAAGAAAAACATCCCCCCCCGCGGAGTCAACCAAAACAGACAGAAGCACTGAATGCCAACATTATAAAGCCAAAAAGGAAACTTACCATTCTCACTGTCGGACTTGTTTTCGTGCTCCGTATCTGTCAGGGTGAGGGCTGAGTTGGACCGACTTGACAGGCAGGAGCTGCGGCCTGATTTGACCCCCCTGCCCCAAAGTCTCATGGCATGCTCTGGGGACATCACTGCTTCATTTTCAGTATCAGCATCTGACCCTGCACTGATAGAGTAACCTCTGTGAGGGAGCCCCATTTCCGCACAAAATGCCAGTCCTCTTCGAGTTGCTGGTTCACAAACTCCTAACTGCCTTAGGGTAAAATTCTGTCCTAATTAGGGGGAAAAAAAGATAACAACTAGTGAGTATATGTTCAGTGTTAGTTTCTTTTCTTTTTTTTTTTTTTAAGAATGTCTTTCAGAAATAAACACTCAAACATTTAGGCTTTTCAGCGATCAGCACCAGGCGTTTACAGTAGCGTCACACGGCATAGGATCAAGTGGGCGCAATTATGGGAGGAGGGCGGGGCCCCAACTTAGAGCTCCTTTGTCAACTCTTTAAGCCCATAAGTACCTCCAGAGAGATGGGCAAGTAAAGTGGCCCCAACCATGAGAACTCAACCCAGAGAAAGGATTAGTGCAATGATAGAATTTTGTTTAGCAGACTTGTGAGGCAATGGAAATTGTCAGAATTATTTTCTGTGTCCTGGCTCGAGTCCCCAACAATAAAATTTTCCCACCCAGATGTCACTCCTTTGGAAGAGAAAAGTTTCCCTTCAAGAATAAGTTACTCAAACAGTAGAAACAGGAGCTTGGTCATTCTTCTTATATTTTTCCGCCTTGACTTAGCAATCAACATAACACGTAGTATTTTGTATGTATGTATGTATGTATGTATGTATGTATGTATGTATATATGTGTGTGTGTGGGGTGGGTGTATATACACATTAAATGTTGGAGTATAACGTCTAAAAAATTTGCTGCATATTTTGTACATTTTTGACTTTCTAGGCTTTTTGCTTTACTACACACCTGAAAACATCTGTATTGATCAGAGTAAACCAATCTTTGCAAATAAAGTGCACTCTAAAAATAAAGTGGGAGTATTACGTATTTAAAAATTAATGATAAAATCAAGTTCCCTGAAAAATAAATGGCTGTGAACTCTGCAGGCCTTTACTAATAAATTGAGCATAATAAAACTCATGACACTGCAATAACTTAAAGCAAAAGTGTTTAAATTAGGTGACACTTTAAAATGACTGCTGTTATTAATGACTTTTCCAATCCTGTATTTATTCTGGAAATTTCACGTTTTATACTACTATGGATGAGAAGAGTGAGAAAAATGTTTGCTTGTCATGCATACATAAAGCTTTTCTATTTCTTGTCTCTGGTTGACATGGTAGAGTGTGAGATTTAGGTGCCAATCAGAATCAAAATATAGGTAAAGAATAGTAACCTACAAAGACTGATTTAAATGCTGCTATCTCATAACCAAACCTTTTAAGTATATTAAGCATTTATATTACTCATAGTTTTGATTTCCCTACTTCTACCTCTTAAATCTGTGAACATTTTAATGCTAATAGGTTGATATGAGAAACATACATTATATTTTTTGAAAGAGGGTATTATAAATTATTTGTGATAAAATGATACCATGTTGAATCTTCTCGGAAATAAATCAAACCTAATGGACAATGTAGTAAATATTGGGTTGTAAAGATATTAGCACCCTCCAGGCTGCCACACATTTTAACTAGTGTGGTTAATTGCTTTATTGCTGTGGTCATATCAGAAGTTGGAATCAGCTTTATCTCGGTCAGACTTCCAAATGGATTCCGACAATGACACTCATAAATAATGAAAATCAGTTGCTACAATTAGCTGCAAATCAAAGTGTGCTTATCAGAGAGATGTGAACACGTATCTGAACCAAAAAGTATGTCAAAAGAAGAGTAAAAGAAGAGAAAAAAAGGAAAAAGCGCCTGTGCGTTGAACAGTGAGAAGGCAGGCAAGCTCACTGAGATGAGACTCAGTATTGTTAGCATGTTAAAATCATTACTGCAGATTGTACTTATAAAAGTAAATCTGAACAAGGTCAGTGTCCACATGAACAGTTAATGGAATTGCTGTGGAAGAGCTTACCCACTGCTATTTATATGTCACTTGTAACATACGGGAGGACTCTAAAACGTGTAGATATTGCCATCAAACATGCTGATTTTTCAAAATAAGGATGCAAAATAATTTTTAAAGAGGGAAAAATAAATAAGATCCTTTGTTTTTTGCCTCTATTTTGAGAGGTGCCCACATTCAGAAATGAAAAGAGAAATAAAAGGCCAGTAACAACTCTCTTTCTAATCTCTACAATGTGGCTTGAAACAATTTCCAAGTGATTGGCTTTTCACACTATTGCCATCTTGATGCAAAAAATCTATGAGGTGAAGGAAGCAGAAAACTGTAATCTTTGTTACCCAGGTATGTAAACACAGTTCACTTTGCAACTAAAAACACAACACATCATCCCTATGAATTGATATACGTATCCCAAACTCCATAAATACTTCCCTCCATCGACTTCCCTCTGAAGTCAATGTCTTACAATGATTCAAAATTCTCCAGGGCTGCTTCTGAAATGAAGCTATGATGCAAGCACCATAGCAGGAGTCCCTGTTAGATTTCCTTACTGAATTAAAAAGTTTGTTTTAGTTTCCCCTAGGAGAGAAAACTAAACTTGGCCTCAGTTGGACTCAGGTTAAAGCCACTCACTAGCTCTGTTTAAGTCACTTTACACTCTATTTTTTCATCTTTCAGGGCTGTCCTGACTTGGTTTAGGAGATGGTTTATGTAAATGTGACTCACACAAAAAAGGGCTAAATGAAAAAAATCACTTAAAAAATAAATACCTTGACAAACGTAATTAATAATCACAGAGAAGTGTATAGTTTGAGAGTAGGGAGAGGATCATTTTCAACTCATTTTCAAATAGCAACACCACCACCAAAGTTGAGTTTTACTTAAGTAATTGCCTTTATTCAAAAACATCCCTGCTCCAGACCTCCCTCAGTGCTTCACATTCTATTGTTGTCACTTCTCCTCAGTGGTTAAGAAATTTTTATTTTTAGGATCCCTTATTTTAATGCAAACACCCCTGGAAAGATCTAACCTTAAACTAGAATAAATTAGTCTATTCGATTATTTCTTGCAATCTAGCAGTGTTTAGCAAGATACACTATGCTGATGGAAAACATCTGCAGTTTTGACCAGTGCAGGGAAGATGGAGAGAATAGAGCTCCCTGACTGCGACAAGCGGTGTGGAGGAGGGCGGGAGGGCTGGGCTGGGCTGGGCTGGGCTTGTAGTAGTGGGGAGGGCTTTATGGCAGTGCAGAGAAGTGGGAAGAGGCAGGACAAGGCAGCTGAGATGCCCCTGGGACCAGGCTGAACCCTGGACAATCCTATGTAAAGTCAGCTTTGGCTTCAAGGAACAATACTTTATTCTCATTTTCCATGTTTTCTTTACATTGGAAAAGCCATGTTCTTTGCAGTAGTTCTAACATTGCTTTAATTTCTTTCTTTGCCTTTTACGGTCTTTATATTAATTCTGCTTGGCCATAACTGGCAAAATAAGTATTTATCTCCTGTACATTGAATTTTGGTAACCTTGATCAGCAGAGCCAACAAGAGTTTCCCATTACAATTTGAAACAGGACCAAAACAATAAATTGTAGCAAGAACAAAGTACACCTGAGGATGGAATTCACTGTGATTAAAAGGCAAGGTTAGCTCGGATTATATTAGGCATTTTTGTTTTATGACACTCATAAATGTGAAAATCTAGAAAAGGAAAACTGAATAAACACAACCTAGGTGGGCTGCATCATTTTTTTTAGGTTCACGTTTTAAAAAACGAGTGAGGGTATTTGACAAAGTAGAAAGGATGGTGTAAGGACAAATATTTCAAATGAGATTGGCACATAGCACAGCTCCCTCTTTAATAAAAGAAGGAGATTGGGAAAATGGGTTAGCTATTTGTTCTTTTTCTCATAGAAATTTGTTCTATTTGTCTATAACCTAGTTGGAGCAGTGAGGGATTTTTCAAAGCCACAATCAGGGTGATGTTCACCAATGGGTAACACATCTACTATCTCTTGTATGAGAAACAGATTCTACCCGAGGGACTAGTCTCAGAGGTACATAGGATGACGAAAGCACCCCACGGGGAAGGCATTCTCTCCTCACTAATGTCTGGATTTCTCTAATATCTAGATTTGGCTTTCTCTCCTTCTCTCTTGGTCTCTTGCTTGTTTGTTCCTTTAAAAAAACAAACAGTTTTATTGAAACATAACTCACATACCACAAAATGCACCCACTTGAAGTGTACACTTTAATGGTTTTCAGTATATTCAGAGTTCTGCAACTATGGGCACAATTAATTTTAGAACATTTTTATCACCCTAAAAAGACACCTTATACCAATTATCAGCTACCTTCTATTTTCCCCTCACCCCTCCCACCCCCAGCCCTAGGCAACCACTCATCTACTTCCCTTCCTGGACATTTCAAATAAAGAAGATCCACAATATGTGGTCTTGTGTGACTGGCTTCTTTCACTTAGAATAATGTTTTCAAAGTTCTTCCATGTCATAGCATGCATCAGTACTCCATTCCTGTTTATGGCTGAATAATATTCCATTGTATGGACACACTATCATTTATCCATTCATCAGTTAATGGACATTTGAGTTATCTCTATCTTTTTTACTATTATGAGAATGCTTCCAGGAACATTCCTGTACAAGTTTTCATGCGTACATATGTCTTCATTTCTCTTGAGCATATCCTAGAAGAGGAACTGCTGGGGTATATGGTAACTCTGTATTGAACCTTTTGAGGCACTGCCGGACTGTTTTCCACAATGACTGCAGTGTTTTATATTCCCACTAGCAGTGTATGAGGGTTTTAATTCTGCACAGGCTCATGAACACTTGTTATCATCTATTGGTTCTCTTTTATACCACACTTTATGTGGGACTTGGAGTTCGCAATGAGGGCTTAAAATATAGGTCATTGGTATTGAAATTTAGAGGGCAAACAAGAATCATTGTTCCCCTGAAAAGCAGCTGATTCTGTGAGTCTGCTATGCAAATTTATTATTTTATTCTATCATTTTTTTCTTTGCCTTCTATTATGCTGCTTTCACTCCATGTAAAATATTTTTCTATTAAAATCAGAAATATTATTTAGCATAGGAAATCTACCTTTGGAACTATATCCTATAGAAATAAAATCACCTGATCTTAAATATACAGAATGTTTATTTAAACAAGTTGTTTACTACAGCATTGTTGCAAAATTTTAAATAACCCAAATGTTGGCCAGAAAGAGAATGGCTGGAAAAGTTGCATGCCCATGCTGTGGAACACTGTGGTTAGCATAAAGAATGAGTTGGACCCATGTCTTCGGATCTGCAGGGAAGCTCGTTTGTATATATTTTAAGTAGAAAAAGAATGCAAGTTGTAGAATTATGTATATAGTATAATCCCACTTTTGGAAATTAAGGAAAAGGACCCACAGGTTATATAAGTTGAATCTGAATAAAGGTGAGGAAGGAGATATATAACTGTTATAATGGGTCATTTAGAAAAGGTTGTAAATGAAGGAAATTAGTAATTTTCTATTTTATAGTTTTGAATTTTTACTTCTCATGATAATTATTTCAATAATTTAAAAACATAATAAAGAAAAAATTAAAGCCTATCTTCTTTCTAAAAAACAAATATATTTTCTTGATTTGCTGTTTAATAGCTTCTACTCAATAATTAGAAATTTAATTTATTGCCTCTTCTAGGGGAAGCTCAGTTTTAAAAATCCTTCCTCGTTTATTGTAAAGAAATGAAACTTTGTAAGATACATGGGAGCATTTTCCCCTCCATTTCAATCCTTCCCTTTTTCTTCATCATATATGGATTGTTTTAAAGGAGAATAACCATTCATTTCTCCTACAGTAACCCCAAAATTGAATATGGGAAAAAATGGATGAATAAATATAAATTAAATGCACATAAATAAAACAATCTATAGCTGTCTTTAATTATTTTCCTTGGTTGTTGTGAGCTTGAATGGAATTATTTCTTCTCAGGCATGGAGTGACTCTCCTCCATCAGTCAGGCAGAACACAAAACTACAAACTGGGAAAGCATTTCTTATTAGGTGCTTGTTGAATCAGTGGCACCACCATGTCTTCCAGAGTTCTCTCTTTTGCTGTATTTGCAAAATCGTAAGAAGATTCCACAGCAAAAGAAGTATATGTAATTTTATTTCCAAATACATATTTTATGGGACATTCCAAACTCTTTAACCTTTTATGTTAAATGTGTCACCATTTGAACAAAATACCCATTCTTGAACATGCAATAGAAATTTCAGTGAGGCTACAAATCTTTATTCATAAGGCCCTACAAAAAACAGGTTTAAGAAACTAACTTAAAATCCCACTAAATACCTTAAGGTCCCCACCCCATTTCAACTACTTACTTGATTTATCTATTAATATGTTGTTAATACCCATAACCACATATTGAAACCCATGAATTTCCAGAGGACGCTGAAAATGACCACTGGACACCATACTCATAATCTAATTGATGACTCACAACACAAGTCTAATGGAAGCCATTGCAGGACATCCCCTCGGCAATCATCACAAATGTAGCTTTCAATGGAAATTCCAGGCTGGGCACTAAGGTGAACTTGAGGAGGTGGGTAAGAAAGGGAAACCCTAGGTATATCTGCAAGCTGAAAAGCCAGGACTAGAATGAATGGCCCCAGAAAAGATGCATTTTCTTCAAGATAAAATTTGTGAGGCCTCCAGGGGAGGACGAACATATGCATATTGAATGGAAGGTTTGGTGGCCCAAATAAGAAAAATTAGGTTGTGAGTTGGCTGACGTATAAAGAAAGAGCATGTCTTAGGTCTGGAAATGAAGGATTTAATGGGGCAACCATAAAAAAAGCTTTAGCAAACATTTGTAATTAAGAAATAACTTTAAAATAGCTTTTTTTTTTAAATCAAAAACATTCTGAAAATAAATTTGCTTCTTATGTTTACTTAGAAATGACTTCTTTAGAACAATCCAAGGCCCGGCAATGATAATACGCCTGCAATGTATCTGCTGATATCTGATAGTCGAACTGCAGTAGGTATTGGTATAAATACGCCTATGGTTTGGCATAAAGCGGCAGGTGTTTAATAATTGCGACTGAAGCAGCACCGCGGTGAGTCACACTGTGGATCCAAAATGGGCAACGTGGCAAGGAACCAGATACAAGTTGAGCAGTAAGCTGGGGCTCAACACATCAGACCAATGAAGGCCGAGGCAGGGGGAAAGGATTACCCCCACTGCGTCCTGAGGAGGGCTGTAAGCTACATCTATCTACTCACACCTTCTGGTGGGTAATCCACAAAGCAGGTTGGCTGCCGAGCCTGAAAGAAGCCCTTGCCTACTTAACAGCCAAAATTAGTTAACAATCAGTTAGGCAGGGGAGCTAAAAGAGGGAGCTAAGAGGAAAACCATTAACATGAAACAATGATAAACTAGAGCTATTTAACTTGTGTCTTTAAGTACAGAAATGTAAGGTTGAGTAAACATGACCATCTAAATCCTTTAATCCTGCCGCTGACATTTATAGTGACTGAGAAGGATTAATCATTTTGATCTCTAAATGAATCATTTTAAGCAGTTAATATTTAAAAGTAATAAACTTTGGAGTTGCAGTAATTAGCCCAGTGGATCTGATTAATGTTTCAGGTTTTTGTCTTTTTTCATAAAACTCAATTCTCACAAAAATAAGCTTTCTCAGCACCAGTATTTCAGAAAACATGAAAAGGGGTTTCAGATTCCTTTCGTTTTTGTCTGATGACAGAGGTGAGGGGGAACACTGGGGAAATGAAAAGTTTGGGGTCTAACTGGAAATTCATGGCAGCATTAAGTACTGAATGGTAGGACCATATGGTCATATTTCTTTTGAAGTCTCGGATCAGTTCCCATTATTCACTATAATGGCATCCAAGACTAAACTAAATCTCAGTCTTTAAAATTAAAAGCATTTTCCTCTTGGCTCTCAAATCTTCCTCTTTCACAATTTCCAACATGTCTGAATGGTTAATAGATTTTCATAATGCAAAAAAAATACAAATAAATAAAATAAAAATAAGAAGAGTAACAAAAATAATTTATTCCATTTCACATCCAAAGCAGGATAAAATGGTGCAGAGACATTATTATTTTAATCAAAGGAGTTACTGACACTATTTTTATATCTGTCCAATGCTACCAGTGACATTCTAAAATTATATGTACAACTTTCATGTTATATATTTAAGAAATATGATTTCAATTCTTTTGACCTAGCCAGAACATACAATATAAAGAAACATTTAAAAACCACTTATCATTTTAGTAATATTCTAATAAAACTGCCTCCCCCTCCCCCAAAATAAGTAGTCTATATCTAAGAGCTTAAAACAGGCTCTTTTTTATTTGGAAACAGATGAAAATATTTGAAGATCTGGTCCCATCTATGACACAAACTCTTTATTCTCTCAGTGCAGTCCTGGATATGTTGTATATGTTATTATCTTAATGGGCAAAATGCCTTTATCCAGCAAAACATTATAGTGCGATGACAGCGGAGGTTGTTTTTGAAAGATTGTGGTTATGGTTCAGTAGAGACAGTGCAACTCTGCTCTTGGCACCAAATCAAATCTTACCCCTGTGGAAGCCGGGAAAATACAAACCCAAAACTTTCCATGTTCAACTACAGTTGTTTGAACATGCTGATTTTTGCTTCTGTTGTATTTATTAATATTTAGGTAAATTTCATAGGCAGTGACATACATAGATCTAAAGTGGATACTTCCATGAGTTTTAACAAATGTACCCACCATGACCCCAAGCAAGATAAGATCACTCCCACAAAGCTCTCCCGTACCCAGTCAATCCCCACCCAACAGGCAACCACTGTCCTGATTTCTTCTACAGAAGGTTAGTTTTGTATGTTCTTGAACCTTATATAAATGGAGTCATACAGGATGTACTCAGGATCCTTTTGCTCAGTGGATATTTAAGATTCTTCCACATTGTTGCAAGTATCTGTAGATCACTCTTTTGTGTTGCCAACTCATATTCTATTGTATTAACATACAATTGTTATATCCATTCTCTTGGTGATTCCAATATGGGCCTATTATGAATAAAGCTGCTATGAACTTAAGTTTTTATTTACTTTGGGTAAATACTAAGGAGATGAATTGCTGGGTCCAGTGGGAGATGTTATTTTTAACTTTATATAAGAAATTGCCCAACAGTTTCCAAAGCAGTTGTGTCATTTTACATATGAAAGTTTCAGTTGTTCCACATCCTCAATATTTGGTGCTATGGGTCTTTTTTAATTTTAGCCATTCTGGAAGATGAGTGGTAGTATTTCATTGTGGTTTTAATTTTCATTTCTCTGATGGCTAACGGTGCTGAGCATTTTCCACAGGCTTATTAGTCACTTGTGTCTCTTTTCTGTGATGTTTCTATTAAAAGTTTTTTGCCCATTTTAAAATTTGGTTATTTATCTTTTGTTGTTGATTTGTAGAAGCTCTTTATATATTCTAGAGACAAGTCTCTGTGATAGATAGATAATTTTCTCCCAGATTGTGGATTTGCTTTTCATTTTCTTAAAGGTAATGTCTGATAAGCAAAACTTTGTAATTTTGATGAAGTCCAATTTATCAATTTTTTTCTTTTATATTTATTCCACTTAGGACCTTTCTAAGATATCTTTGTCTATCTCACATTTGTGAAGATATTTAAGAACATACGTAGCTTTTTACTGCGGTTTTCTAATAGAAACTAGAAAGATAAAAGAGTAGTGTAGAAAAATGATTGAAATTTGATTGTAGTTTTCTTCTGGACCTAGAACTCACCAGCTGTTGTCTGAGTGAACACTTTAACAAGTTTGAGTCTCATATTCCTCATGTATACAGTGGACTCAGAGGCTCTCAAAGATCTCCCAACCATATCAGTTTATGCAGAGGCAGAAAAAAGGCAGCACAATGGAACACAAGAAAAAAAAAAAAAAAAAAGCTAAGAATAATAGCATCAACAGTCCAAGGAGAAAAATGGAAAAGAAAAAGTTAAAATTTCCTTCAGCATTGGGGACTTTTGGTTTACATTTCATCCCTAAAATAAATCAAAAGCACAATGCTATGTTCTTATCTGGCTCCTCCCTTAAACACCATATCTGAAGTTCACCCTGAATTGAAAACCAAGCCATCAGGGCAGCAGGGACATTAACAAGCTAGATCTGGCCATCTGGAAAGGTGCTTTTCTTCTCCAACCCCCAAAGGGTAGAACCAACCTGCTGCAGTTCCGAAGCAGGAATTATTTTTGGCCTTTGACCTTTTGACTGAAAATCAGAAGGTGTTCCTTCACAGCCCCACTCTCAAATGCACCCTCTGTGAATATTTTGCAGTTTTTTTCTTTCAGTTTTTTGTGTTATTGTTTATTTCACACACTATAATGAGAGCTTCTGTGTAAAGTTTTGAGCACAGCTATTCATGAATTGCTTTTTTTTTTTGGCTTCTTCCTAAGCCAGAACTTCAAAAACTATATAGAAAGTTCTCACTTTAGGAATTTGTTGGGTTTAGAAGTTGATAAGAATCAGTATGCATTTTCCCATGAAAACAACATGGAGGATGCCAAGATGGAACACACAGGTCTTCTGAGTTATCTGTGTCTGAATGAAGAACTGGATGAATTGTACTCTAGGGCATGGCTTCCATGTGTGAGACTGTCTCTTTGAACAAATGTACCAATGAGGAAGATCCCGCCTACAGTAGCCGCTTCCATTGATTTCCTGCTTACCAAGTGGGGAGAAACTTCCTAGGCATATTCCCTGGATATATGAATGCTCAATGAAGGATGCCAGGATAGGGGCTGTATAGTAGGGATGTAGAATTTGGGATTAGCTACCGCCTTTCCCACACTAATAGGAACATCGATTCTCCTTTTCACGTTTACTGACCGTGTGAATTTCTCTTTTGTGAATTGTCTATGCATGCCATTTCCCATTGGGCTGTTTATCTTTCTGTTTTCAAACTGTAACAGTCATTCAGTATATTATAGATATAGACATTATATATGTCATAAGAATTATAAACATATTTCCCAATGTAGTGATTTTGTTTCTGGGTATTTTAATTTACATGTAAAAGGTTTTAAATTTTAAAACTAATCATTTAAGTCTATCTTTTCTTCTGGGTTTTCTGTTAGAAACATTCTAATTTTCTATTGCAAAATTTCTCCCCTACTATTGAGTCCCTGGGATCGGCTGTGTGGATTCAAACCACTTTCTTCTTGCCACCTTTATTATAAGGACTGGAAAGCAAAAATGGCAAATGCTTCGTCTTTTTTTTTTTTTTTTTTTTTTTTTGAGGCGGAGTCTCGCTCTGTCGCCCAGGCTGGAGTGCGGTGGCGCGATCTCGGCTCACTGCAAGCTCCGCCTCCCGGGTTCACGCCATTCTCCTGCCTCAGCCTCCCGAGCAGCTGGGACTACAGGCGCCTGCCACCGCGCCCGGCTAATTTTTTGTATTTTTAGTAGAGACGGGGTTTCACCATTCACAGGATGGTCTCGATCTCCTGACCTCGTGATCCGCCCGCCTCAGCCTCCCAAAGTGCTGGGATTACAGGCGTGAGCCACCGCGCCCGGCCGCTTTGTCTTCTTGTGCAGCTAAGTATGGTCAAGTATAACAGCTCTGAAAAGAGAGGGGTAGCGAGAAGTTTCAGGGGAGTAAAATGAACTAGTCCAAAGTAGAGAAGGCCTTCCTACCTGTGCGTTCATTCTTACTCCAACAGGAATATGAAAGCACAGCTGCCACCTGGGCACCAAGGGGACAAAAGCTACCGGCTAAGAATGACAAAGATGAAAAAGATAGAGAGATGCCTTAATGATATCTTTACGCCCTGGCTAGATAGTCTATCTCTGGACTTCGTGTTTTATAAGAAAATGATTCTCTTCAGTTTTTAAGCTGAAGCTTTCTGCTACTCATGGCTCAAGTCATTCCTATCTTAGTCTCCCAAATTAACTTCTAGAATTCTTGCTTTATTTTTTACATTTGTCTTTAATCCATCTTAATTTATTTTTGAATATGCTGAGAGATATGGGTCCAATTTTATATTCTTCCAGATGGATAACCAGTTGTGCCAGCACCATTTATCAAATCCCACTGAATAGAAAAACCTTTTTTTTGTTTTATGTTAAATTTACCTATATACTAGGATATATTTCTGAAGTTTTTGTCTATTCCATGAATCTACTTGTCTTTATTTATGCCAATATCATATAGACATGATTACAGCAGCTTCATCATACTTTTGAAAATACATATTAACTCCATTTTGTCCTCACTATTTGACTTTTAAATATGGTTTCGGCTATTTCCAGAAATTTGAAAATACGAATTTTATGATCACTTGAATTTTAAGATAAATTTGAAGATCACTCACGCCAATTAAAATTAACTCTAACCCACCGGAATTCTATTTGATATCCTTAACTTCTATGCATTAATTTGGGGAGAATTAATATTCTTATGGTATCATCTTCCCATCCAAAAACATTGATTATTTATTTAGGTCCTGTTTTACGTTTTTTAAATAATATTTTATAGGTACCCTCACATTAGGTCACATAGCATGCTTGCAAAATTTATTCCAAAGAATTTTATAGTGTCTGTTGCCTTTGTGATAGGATTTTTTTTTCTGACTTCCAAGCAGTAGATATTAATAACAGGTATCAGGCATTATTCTAAACAGTTTACATATATTAACTCATTTTATCCTCAACAAACTACAGCACAATCTATGAATAATGAAAATGGAGGCATAGAGAAATTATGTAACTTGTCCAAAAAAGTTCCTTGGCCAAGATTAGGTAAACTGCCAGTCAGCTACGGCAAGGCAGACCTGGGATTCACACACAGGTCATGTGGATTCAGAACCTATACTCTCAACCGTTATACTATATGATCTACACTGTCCATATATTTATTTTGTATTCATCCAAATACCAAATTCACTTCAAATTCCTTTTTTTTAATTTCTAGAGACACATGGTTTTTGTATGCATACAACCATATCTTTAACAAAAGTACTGATTTTAACTTTTTCCAAAATATATATCATTTAATTTTCTTATTACAATTGCTAAAACATCTAAAACAATTTTGAATAATAATTGTGAGAATAGGTAAACCTTTCTTATGTTCCTATTTCAACTGAAATGTCCTAGAATCTCAGTTTTTAGAATGCTGTTTAGTGTCTAGAGTGATCATGTCAAATATTACTACCATATTGAAGTGTTTTTTCTTCTTGTGAGTTTATTTGAATAAAGAATCCTTTCTAAATTTTTTCCAAAACGTGTAAATCATCTATTGATAAGATCATGGTTTTCCCCTTTGATTTATTAATCTAATTATGTTAGTAGATTTCTGAACACTGAAAAATCCTTGTATATTCAGCAAGGATTAGTAACCACTTGGCTATTAATTTGGTCTAGCATATTATTCTTTTTATATATTGCTGGATTCTTAAATGCAAATACTTGTTTTGAATTTTTACACACCTACTGAAAAGCAGTTTTGGTAGGTGAAGCAATTTATGTATGATTTCTTTTTTTGTACTACTCTAATCAAGTTTAGTTATTAAGGTCATGCCAACTTCATAACATGAACTTTGATGCCTTCCATCTGTTATGAAGGGTGGTGTTGAATAGATTTTTAAACATTAAACTTAGTTGTACTTTGAAGGTTATGCAAAATGTACCTAGGAACATATCTGGCCCTTGGAAATGGTCTCTCTTTTAATCACCTTTCTCATCTTGTCTGAAATAATTGGTGTTGACAAGTTTGCTCCATCTTCTGAAATCTTTTGGGGTTACTCATATTTTCTGAGAAAAAATAAATTCCTCTAGATTTTTCAAATTTATTGCTTGGAATAATAGCACCTCTTAGTTGTTACAGTCTTTTTAGGATGTCTTATTTTTGTTCTCATTATTTCTTAATCAGGATCATAGGTGCTTTCTATTTTACTAGCCTTTTTAAAGACTTAGCTGTTTTGTCTGTTTTAAATTTCAGTTATATCTTATGTACCTCTTCCTACTTCCTCTGATTTATTTTCCAGACATTGTACTCTACTCATTTCTTGTCTTTTTTTTTTTTTCTTTTTTCTTTTTTTGAGATGGAGTCTTGCTCTGTCGCCCAGGCTTGAGTGCAGTGGCGTGATCTTGGCTCACTGCAACCTCCACCTCCCGGGTTCACGCCATTCTCCTGCCCCAGCCTCCCAAGTAGCTGGGATTACAGGCGCCCACCACCACGCCCAGCTAGTTTTTGAATTTTTAGTAGAGATGGGGGTTTCTCCATGTTGGCCAGGCTGGTCTCGAACTCCTGACTTCAGCTGATCTGCCCGCCTCGGCCTCCCAAAGTGCTGGGATTACAGGCGTGAGCCACTGTGCCTGGCTTGAACTCATTTCTTAAATATATAGTATATTCCTATTTTGTTAGTCTTTGTTCCTGATTTCTTCACAATGTTTTCCCTATGATTATGACTTTCACTGTCTCCCATACATTTTGGAAGTAGAATTTTCATTGCTCTTGATTGCTTTTCATCACAGTCAAGGGACATCATAATCCAAGGGGCAAAAGTGCTTTTCTTCATTTATCTTTTTGTTATTTATTTCTAATTATCTTTTTGTTATTTATTTCTAATTTTACTACATTTTATGATAAAATGTTTTGGCTTATAAAATCTATTTTCTGAATTTTTAATGTTTCTTTAGATGGCCAAATACATAATCAGTTTCTGCAACTATCCTATAGAAATATAAAAAATTGTATCATTTCTGACAGTTATAAATTTCTGTATATATACCTTAGCTGAAATTTTCGATTAATATTATGTAATTGCTGTCTTATTTTTGTCTTTCAGATCTGCCTGATTCTAAAAGAAGTGAATCAAAATATCTCACTACTAACGTGTTTTAACAATCTTTCTTTTTTTAATAGTTTTTGCTTATAAATTTAGCTACTATATTATTGTTTAAGGTACGCATTTTAAGAATGTTCTTCTTCTGCACAGTATGCCTTTCATCACTTACCCAGTGGTCCTTTTTATCCTACTGAGAGTTTTTCATCATAAATTCCATCTTTCCTGATATTAATACTGCCATTCCTCCTTTCTTTTTGTTTGTATTCACCTAATATATCTTTATTCTCAACCATTTTCTTTACCATTTTAAGTGTATGTCTTAAAAATACCAATAACTTTTATGAAACAATTGAGTAGTTTATGTCAAAATGCAGTACATGTATTTATTTTATTTTTTGGAGACAGAGCTCACTCTGTCACCCAGGCTGGAGTGCAGTGGCATTGATCTTGGCTCACCACAACCTCCATCTCAAGGGTTCAAGCGCTTCTTGTGCCTTAGCCTCCTGAGTAGCTGGGACCACAGGCTCCTGCCACCACACCTGGCTAACTTTTGTATTTTTAGTAGAGACCGGGTTTCTGCATGTTGGCCAGGCTGGTCTTGCACTCCTGGCCTCAAGTGATCCATCCACCTCGGCCTCCCAAAGTGCTGGGATTACAGGTGTAAGCCACCGCACCCGGCCAAAATGCAGTACATTTAAATTTTAGGTGATAGGTAATAGAGTAGATTTGACTCCTTTCATCTTGTTTTTTGATTATTCATGATTTTTCCTGTTGCCTTTTTTTCCTTGGAGCTGTTTTTGCTAAATTGGTCAGACTGCTAGTCAATCCCTTTCCTCACTGCTAATTAGGTGGGTCTATTGTCCTCTTTTCATTGTATTAATGATTACCTTCCCACTCCTGACATTCATATTCAAATATATGTTTGTCATTGTCATATGTATGCAAGATAGCAATTATTTCCCTCCACTAAAGCTCTATTTCATAACTGTTTCCCCACTCTCCCTCTTCAGATGAGATGAGAATTTGGAACACTTTTACTTTTCTACTTTCCTCCAACTGCTGGATTTTGCTGAGATAGGTAAATGCTTTTAGTTCCAGCCTTCTGTTAAGGTTTCTCTTGTAGTGCTTCTGACACATTTCCAGTTGCTCTGTAATCATCGTTTGAGATTTAACTATATACACTGTAGAGTTGCTTTCTCATCATTGTCTCCTCTTCGGAGGCCATGATTCTAATTCAGTTGGTATTTCTTCTTGAGTACTTCCTTAGACGGTGTGTGTACACTGTTGACGTGGTCTCTGAATCCCAGCATTACCTAAGTATCTTTCATTTACTCTGAGAGATAAATGCTATTGATGGGGTTCAGGACATGCTACCCAAAACATGGCACTTGGCATTTGAGAAAACAGCAGAAGCAGGAAGGCCACTCTCACTTTCCCCTTGACCTTCTCCCCTGAAGCAGGACATAAGACCCTCATCCAAGAGGTGCCCTCCCTATACGAGGAGGAAGCAACAGCCGTATCTCTGAAGACACAAGGACACAGAGAAGAATCTGAACGAGCAGACCTTGCCCAGTTCCTCCCAGTTTATCACCATTCAATCCCTGTGTTCAATCACACTTCCCCATGACTGTCCCCTCTTCATCCAACCTCACACAAAAAAACACAAGTTTACCTGTTTCTTTGGGCATTCATTTCCTTATAAAGGTTCTTGTGTCACCGAAAACTTACATTACATGAATTTGTGTGCATTTCTCTTGTTAATCTGTCTTTTGTTATAGGGGCCTTAGTCATGAACTAGTGACGCATGGGAAAAGAAATCTTTCCTCTCCTACAGTATCTTCTCTGCAAATAAGATCCCTGGGTTGCATTTTTTTTTTCTCTCAGTAGGTGTTATTCCACTGTTTTCAAGCTTTTATTGTTGCAGATGAGAAATTCATTATTGGTGTTATTTATTTTTAGTAAGTAAAAAAAAGTAACCTGCCTTTTCTCTGTGGCACCTTGTAAACGCTCTTTATCCTTGAAGTTAAAGAATTTTTCTAGAATGTGCCTCAGTTTGTGTGTGTGCATGGTGTTGTCTTCTTAATTTTATCTGAAATTCTCTTTTCTGTTTTGAGTTGTTTCTTCTACCTGGTCTTCAAAACCATTAACCTCTCTTCTTCAACTAATCTGCTGCCATTTTTAGTTTGTAAATTATGATTTTAATTTTTTCTCCAGCATTTGGTGGCCATTGTTTGTTTTGTTGTTGTTGCTTTTTTGTTGTTATCATTCTGGGATTTCTGCACATGCTTTAGTTACAATGTTTTATTTTGGTTCAGGTTGTCTTCTCTTATCTCCATTGTTCATTTTCATTACAAGCTTCTTAGTCTATTTCTTTTACATCTTATCCCACTTCCTGAATTCTGGGTGCCATTAAATTTGTTGTTTTCCTGAGGTGCTTTAAGAAAGAGCGGGAAATCGTGTTAGATTCCTGGGACCAACATCTCTACTATTTGGTTTTCTTAGATGGCATTCTCACCCTATCAGAGGGAGAAATGCATCTGTTCAGGCTTCCCCAGCTCCTGAGGGGCCAAGGAAACCAGCTGCTCCCACAAGGCAACATTTGCCCAAGTGGGGGCCATGGGAGGGGCAGGTCAGCCTCTCTCTGGAACCACCAGGCCACAGCATTCTTCTTGACCTTCACGTTAGGGCTTCACCCCATTCCACACTCTCTTCTGGCACAAAGCGGAAAACACTTGCGCCAGCTTGGTCCTTCACGATCCTAACAGAGTTGCAGATGTCATGTGTACCCTCGATCACTGCTCAGCTCACAGGAGGTAGCGAGTCTGCTGGGAGATGAGTGGATGAGCCCTCATTCAAGCCACCATCATGCCAGGGTCCAAGATACATATTTACAGGAACATTCAGACTACTCCTCTAATGTCCTTTTGTTTCCTCACAAGGGTTATCCTTGGTAAGGGGCAGGTCTAGCATCTGGAATGTTTGCATACAAGATGGGCTAGCGCTCAGGATGCAGCCCATAAGGGAGGTCCGGCAGTGGGGAATCAGGCCTTGTGGGATCTACTTTCCCTCTTCTCTTTCTTTCCTCTCCCCAGTGGGATCCCCCAAACTACACTTGAACTGGCCTTGAACCAGCAAGGGCAGGAGGTGAGAAGCAGAAGCCATGCTTCTGGGGGCTGGGAGTGCTCAGCATTACTGATGATGGTAAGAATGAAGAGACGGCACGGCCCAAAGAGGGGAGTTTCTGGGAGTGGAGCCACGCTGTCAGCAAAGACCAGAGATGAGGCACACTTAGAAATCAATCAGTGCCTGTCGTTCTCAAACTGCCTTCCTTCTTCCTTCCCTTCTTTGCAAATTTACTTTCTGTTTTAATTTCAGTAACGTACAAACATAGATATCACGGTGTTTTTCAAATTTAAAAACAGAGTCCTGGCCGGGTGCAGTGGCTCACGCCTGTAATCCTAGCACTTTGGGAGGCCGAGGTGGGCGGATCACCTGAGGTCAGGAGTTCGAGACCAGCCTGGCCAACATGGTGAAGCCCCATCTCTACTAAAATTACAAAAATTAGCTGGGCGTAGTGGCAGGCGCCTATAATTCCAGCTACTCGGGAAGCTGAGGCAGGAAAATTGCTTGAACCCAGGAGGCAGAGGTTGCAGTGAGCCGAGATCATGCCATTTCACTCCAGCCTGGGCGACAGAGTGAGACTCCATCTCAAAAACAAAAACAAAAACAAAAAACAGAGTCCTTCCTCTCCATTGCCACTCTACAAATAAAGAATAAGTGGTAGTCTTCAAATGTTAAAATTCTGAAATTCACAACCCCAACACTGATTATTGACTAACTCTTATATACTTTGGGTTAGGGCCCCAAAGTGGTTCTTTTCAGGCTTATGATTCAGTGGAACAAATGTATTCTTACTTCCAGACATCGTCTCTTTTCAAGGTTCACCCTCACGGGCAGCGTTCCTTGTTGGAATTGATAAGTGTTTGGTCAAGAATACTACAGAACATGTGCATAGCCCACAGAGCTGCAGCAGAGGAAAAATGTTCTTTTATTTTACCACTTCTCCAAAAGCTGTGGGATGATCCTATGCAGCTGTTTCATAAGAAATTTGTCTGAGACCTGATGGGATAAATTTTCTTCAAAGATTAATAAAAGAAAATAGCATCTAAGAATGCAAAACAAGCCATTGTTACCCTAACCTCACCCTCACCTACAGCAAAAGCTCCACAGCTGTTCAAAGAGCAACATTTCCATCACCAACAAACTACATGAAGAGATTTAAAAAGAGAAAGAGATCAATGTGAGATCCCGTCAAATTACACAATGACTGTGAAGAAGAAATGATCCCCAGCATTATGCTACCTAAATATAACATGTAATTAACAGTAGTCACCTGCCAGTCAGTAAAGCCATACAAAACCATTAAATTCAAGTTTGATAATTAGACATAAAATTGGTCAATTAAAAATATAAAAACATCATATTTCTCGATTTGAATTCTCCATATAATCGCACCAACGGAAACCCTGCTTGTCCCTTTCTCCAGCCGAAGTTGCATTTCCCTGTGTCATTCAAGGAGTAAATGGATACAGGACTGATCAGCTGTTTTAAAACTCCATGGACAAAAAAAGCTAAATTAGCATGACTCTTTGGAATTGTTTCAATGATATTTGGCTACTATGAATATTTTTAATCTTTCATTTTTATGACCTATATGATGTCAGGAGCTGTGGCAGGAAGCACATTTTCTCAATTAAATAATTAATCCCATAGCATAATAGTCCGTGAGAAAAAATTGACATTTGTCAGGTTCAAAGAAAATGAAAGCCTGGAAGGATTTCTCATTATGCTTGCTCAAGAAAAACATAATCTGATAGCAGACTTTCCTTACTCGTTTCTCTCCTACACCTACCACTCCCGCTACAAATACTCCGCATATCAAACCACAGGAAGGAGAAAGCATCCGCAACGCCACCCTCACACTCGTCCTCATTCACCCAATTACAGAATCATATCAATTTTATTTCCTAAATATGCCTACAGTTTGCTCACACCTCACTATCCACACCATGAACATTCGAATTCAAAATTGACTAAAATGGGCTGGGCGTGGTGGCTCAGGCCTGTTATTTCAGCACTTAGGGAGGCCCAAGTAAGAGGATTGCTTGAGGCCAGGAGTTTGAGACCAGTCTGAGGAACAAGCGAGACCCTGTCTCTATTAAAAAAAATGTCTTTAAAATTACCCTGGCATGGTGGTGGTGTGCACTTGTGATCCCAGCTACTCAGGAGGCTGAGGCAGGAGGATTTTTTGAGCCCAGGAGCTGTAGGCTGCAGTGAGCTATGACTGCCCCGCTGCAGTCAGGCTTTGGCAACAGACCGAGCTTGTCACTAAATTAATTAATTAATAATAATGATAATAGACTTAAAAAATTGACTGCAATAAATCAAAGGGTGATATTTTACTGAGTTGCCTGTTTTCCACTGTGGCAACTGCACAGAGATTAGAAGCCAGGCCAGAACCAGGCAAGCCTGGGCTCAAGTTCCAGCTTAGTTCTCAGGAGCCATGGGGTCTCCAGCCTCTCCAAACCTCATCCGTCTCAATCTGTGAAAAGACTACGCTACCGGGACCCACCTCACCAGGGGAGCTGCCTCACACACCTGCCTAGCGCACTGACCAGCACGCAGTAGGGTGGCAGCATTAGCTGTAACTAGCAGTCCATCCCATTTACGTTTCTACAAAGTTCGGATTCATACACATCAAGTGACCTGCGGCACCATCACACACTGCGCGAGCGCTTCTCCATTCACTTCTGCTCTCCAACAAGGCCTCCCTGGCCGCCTGGCGCCCTTTCTCTTTCCTCCGCCCCTTTGGATTCTGCAGTCCTTGGCTTGGAAGGAGTGAGGAATAACACTCTTTGGCCCCCTATGAACCTCCGTTTCAGGGCTTCTACAAATGCTACCGCCGGGTTGTCAACAACAGTCTGCGCTGGATCAAGGCTGCCTAGGAGGAGAACAGTTCAGTGCGCTATTTTTAACCTGTGTAGGCATCGTCTGTGCTGCCAAAAAGAAATGCTTGCCTGGTGTGGAGATAACCGGGGTGGAGATGACCCCCAGTGCATCTCGCCACATGTGCTGCTGTTTCCTTCGAATAATATTCCACAATGTGGAGTTTGGGTTTTTTTAATTTTTTTATTTTTTTTTCGTTTTCCAACAGGGCACTAAAGAGTTATTTTTGATACAAAAAGCAAGACTTCACATTTGGTGCAGATTGCATGCATTTCTACACTACTTACTATTTTTTAAATTGTTGAAAAAATGTACACTGATAATCTATTTCAGCTGTGCAGACAATATGAAAAAAATGGGTTTAAAATTACAATACATTGTACAGTCAACTAAGAGTACATACCTCAAATATGTTTTGTATCTCCCCTGAAAAACGGATTAAAAATGTTAAGCTATTTTGTCCCTTTTCATAAAATTTGATACCAGTAATTAGTAAGGCATGCTTTAGGGTATAAAAATCTCTCCTTAGCGAATCAAATGAGTTTTCTTTGATGTAAACCGGCTTGGGTGAGTGAACACTATTTCAATCTAGTTACAATGGCTCTTTGCACAATGCAGGGAAGAAAAGAACCATGGAAAATTTTCCAACTTTTGAACGATTTATTGCATTATTACTTTTTCTTAAATGTGTTCCTGCCCAATATCAGACTGTTAGTCACACTGTCTGTACGGTGATTGGAAAAGAATGAATATATTCTTTATTATTAAAGTTTAATTTATTTTTTCTCATTTCCAGATTAAATTAGCTAAAGAATGCTAAGTTATATGTAAATTATACTGCACATTACAAATGTAAGAGGATTTTATTTTTATTAGTAATCTTGCCCACATCTCAAGACTGTATTAGAAGAAACAAAATATAACTATGTATGTCTAATAAAAAATAACCTACTGTCTTAAGAGTAGAAATGGGTAGGTTTAGGAGAGTGAAGTAAAGTTACAGGAGTCATGATTCCACTGGGAGCATCCTCAGGCCAAAAACAGTGTAAAAATGTTCAACAGATAGACGCGAATGACCAAGCCCTAGTGGATTACATTGTGGGAAACTAGGAAGTGTTAAGGTATAAACTTAATTTACTAGGTTGCCTGGGAGAAAGACAATGGAACCTTTCCGTGGCAGGCTTTTGTGTGAATCAGACAGAGGCAAACAGCAGGACTGCTTGGGTCCTGAGATGATCTGGGGTAATAAGCCACACTTTCTTGTGAGGGAAAGATGGGTTTCTTCACCAACAGCTCCTGTTCTCCTTGTACCGGTTCTAGCCACAGACACAATGTCTGTGAGCACCTTCATTCAACTAAAAGGGAGCCCCAGAGACTGGAGTTTCAAGTTTACACAAGTTTGTACAAACGCTTGGGCCACGTGCAGAATCATAAACCTCACGTATAGCAGGTGAGGCTTCGGAATTCTCCACGTGTCAGTGCCTGTGCCTGGGGCACCAATGTGCCCACCGGTGGCTTTCTATCTCTCATCTGGAATACTGCATGATGATCTAATATCTCAAAATCAGAATCAGCAGATGGAACGCCAAAGTCAGAAAACAGACATGTCACCTTGAGGGGAAAATCACGACACCTACAAGTTAGTAACGTGAGCATTGCCTTATTTTACTAGGACAGTTACCCACCTTGTCTAGTGAACTCGTCTGCTTCTCTGTGAACCAAATCCTTCACTCTGTTGCCGTAAAGCAGCCGCGAGGAATCATGATCAAAAGCTTTCAATGTCTCGCTGGAACTGTAGGACTTCTGTGTGGGTACCCGGCACTCCTCATTGTCTGCGGAGGAATTTGTGTAGCGCCGTTCCTTCTCTCGTCTGCTCTTGGTCAGGGAGCAGTAAGGCCTGCGTTCTTTCACATCCATACTTCATTCCTTCTGTGTGCACATCAGTCCTGCTGGTGACAACTTAGGCTCAGGGTTCAAGTCTCATTGGCCTCTCTGTGAAGATACAAGGTTTGCATGAGGTCAGCATGACGTTCACCTAAAAACTGGCTACTCTCTACCCTTCTCAATCTGGGATGGTAGGAAACAATAGTATTGCTTATCTAGGAAACTTGCTTTCAACAAGAAATTAGTATTTCTGAAATCAGTGTAAAATACATTGTATCACCAAGAGGTGAAGCACGCTTTCTGCTGGTGAGTGCTATGAGTGTTTATTGAAGCTACTGTATCTGATTTTCCCCATTAATACAAAAAAAAAATTGTAAGCTCACGCTGAAATTTCACTACAGAAGCCAGCTAAAAATTGGCTTCAATAGTTTGTTAAATTTTCCACAATGGAAAAGTTAGAATGGCTTTTTCTCTTTATAGCATTTCTCCATTCAAAATAAATTCCCTTTCATTTTCTTATAAACGTACACTATTTTTTTCTTTTTCAATGTATTCTAAAGAGCAGGAACAAATTGGGAAATTCTTGCCACTGAAACTTTGTCAAATGCATTGAACTTTTTTTTTTTTTTTTTTAATATATCTTACAAAGACTCTTTCTTCAGAGGGCACAATTTTCATGTTTTAAGAACTCAAATGTCTTGAACTGTGGAAAAAGCTGGTCCTCCTCCCCATACCATTCTGCTTAAAATGGATTTTCCTCTCTAGCAAATGAATTTAATCAGCGCAAATCGTGATATTTAAGGTAATTCAAGGGGCTAATTTGATGGGGGGAGTTTCCTGCAACTGCACGAATAAGCGAGGCAAATGGTGTTGCTCTGCTTAAAAACTCTCTATTTCCTGAATTTGCTGAACTGACAGTGGAAAGGGTGGGAGGAAAGGGTCTGCCGGCAAAAGACTGGGGCCTTCAAGAGGGAGAGTGGCCCGGGGCGAATCCGCATTTCAAATGGTTCTCCTTTATCTTTATTCCTTCTCATGTTGTCTCTCCTTTTAATCTGAAGGACCCCGAAGGCTTTATCTTCAGCCCTTCGTGTTTTCCTCCCACCCCACTAAAATCACTTTTTGGTAAATTCACTTTTTCTTTGAGTGATTCCATAGTCAACTTGAAATCAATGGTTCCCAACTGGCCTCAGGCCTTCTCCTTGGTTCCTGTAGTATCCTTTGGCCGTGACCGCTGTTGAGATAGTAGTTTCTTCACCTCCAAAAAAAGTGAGTCCCTCTCTCAAAGAATCAGTGTCTCTGGTCTCAGTCTTGGTCTGTCTCTGTCTCTGTCTGTCTCTGTCTCTGACTGTCTCTCTCTTTCTCCCCCACTCTCTCGAGCATGCACTGTCAGTATACACATCATACAGCTCATTAATGTGCTTCCAACTTGGAGCCTTGTGGCTGACTCTCTCCCATGTCAACTCAGCTTATCCTGGAGTTGTCAAGAATTCTTGATCCTTTCTGTTGTAACGTTACAAATGTACCCCTCACTTTCCAAGTTTTGCCTTCCATCAGCTACAAGAAGAGTGGCAAGACTCCCTGCGCTGGAATAATCACAGAGTTCCACAGCCCAGACCTGGGAAGGTTTGGAGTGTTCCTCCCTGCTATGTCTTCAACCAAATTATACCCTCCTCTCTCCATGTTGCCAATGAAGGGTTCCCTTGTGGGGTTCCATATTTCTCTGCTTCCAAATACCGATATGGCTACCAAATACTGAGCTGTTCAAAGTAGTTGCTAATATTTTAGTTTAGTCTTGGAATATATCTTGATTTCTCTACCTTTGTCTTCTTTTCCATGAATTTGGTTTTTATTTTAAAAAACGATTTTTCACTGACCCCTCTGATTCATTACTCCATTATTACATTTACAAATTCTTCCAATAGCTCTTAAGAGAAACTGAATTTCTCATATTGTACCTTTCCTTTCAAACTTAAATTGAAATAATAAACAATTTCAAGGTATGGTGACAGACTATTTTTATACCAAAGGATTAAAACAACAACACACCAATTCACTCTTTTTATTCCAACAAAGAGAAGTATTATTTATTTATTTATTATTATTATTTTTTAGACGGAATCTCGCTCTGTTGCCCAGGCTGGAGTGCAGTGGCGCGCTCTTGGCTCACTGCAACCTCCGCCTCCTGGGTTCAAGTGATTCTCCTGCCTCAGCCTCCCAAGTAACTGGGACTATAGGAGCTCACCACCACATCCGGCTACTTCTTTGTATTTTTAATACAGATGGGGTTTCACCATGTTAGCCAGGATGGCCTCCATCTCCTGACCTCGTGATCCGCCCACTTCAGCCTCCCAAAGTGCTGGGATTACAGGCATGAGCCACCACTCCCGGCCAAGAGAAGTTATTTTATTATTATTATTATTATTATTTTGAGACAGAGTCTTGCTCTGTTGCCCAGTCTGGAGTGCAGTGGCACAATCTTGGCTTGCTGCAACCTTTGCCTCCCAGGTTCAAGCAATTCTCCTGCCTGAACCTCCCGAGTAGCTGGACTTACAGGTACCCACCACCACGCTCAGCTAATTTTTGTATTTTTAGTGGAGACGGGGTTTCACCATGTTGGTGAGGCTGGTCTAGAACTCCTGACCTCAGGTGATCCACCTGCCTTGGCCTCTCAAAGTGCTGGGATTACAGGAGTGAGCCACCGCGCCCGGCCCCAAGAAGTTATTTTAGATGAATATTTACTGGGTGACTACTATGTGCTAGGCTGCCTTCTAGGTGCTGAGGACAAAGAGTGGATAAATGTTCCTGTCCTTATGGGGCATACATTTAGTCAGGGAAACAGGTACATTCTTTCTGACAGAGTGAATAAATATGTCTCAGTTCCAGGGAAATTTTGTTTCCAAATCATCTTGATCTTTTTGGAGGGAGGGCCCTATAGACCGAAAACTAAATGATCATTAAAAAGCTTTTCATTGATCAGAAAAATATAATTCGAGCATTTTTAGTAATAAAGATTCGGGATTTGAAGTCATTATAAAAGTTTCATTTCTTGCCCTAAATTGACATCTATTTTAAAATAAGTGTTGCTATATATACACATATGTATGCATTTTGGTACTTTAAAACTGAACTGATTGAAGCAAGGGGAAATCGTTTTCTGCTCTGCTGCTGTTTTGCTTCAATTAGTTGGACCAGGTATTGACTGGCAAACTCTGCCAGCCAAATCGGATCCACCACCTGTTTTTGTAAGTAAAGTTTTTCTGGAACACAGCCCTTGCATTTGTTGACCTATTGTCCTTGGCCATTTTCATGCTACAAAGACAGAGCTGAGTGGCTGCAATAGGAACTGCAGTGGTTTGAATTGTGTCTCCCCAAAAGATAAATCTTAACTGAAATCTTAACTCCCAGTATCTGCGACTGTGATCTTATTTGAAAATGGGGTTTTACTTTTATTTCTGCAGATGTAGTAAGATTATGATGAGGTCATACTGGATTAGGGAGGGCCCTAAATGCAATGACTGGTGTCTTTATGAGAGACAGGAGAGGAAAATTTGGATACAGGCACACACAGACACATAGGAAAGAAGGCCAGGAGAAGACAGAGGCAGAGATTGGAGCAATGGCCCTGAAAGCCAAGGAGCACGAATGGCCACCAGCAACCAACAGAAGTCAGAAGAGAGGCGCGAAGCAGATTCTTCTCTGGACCGCAGAGGTGTGGCCCTTGACCTCACACTTTTTACCTCCAGAACTGACAGAATAACTTCCTGTTGTTCTAAGCCACCAGGGTTGTGGTCATTTCTCACTGCAGCCACAGGAAACTAACACAGAGACCTGATGGCCTGCAAAGTCTAAACTATTTGCTATCTGGTCCTTTAGAGAAAACAGTGTGTAAACCTCTGAGTTAAACCATCCGTCTTTCCATTCTCTTTGGATTTTTTTTTTTTTAGACGGAGTTTCACTCTTTCACTCAGGCTGGATTGCACTGGTGCAATCTCAGCTCACTGCAACCTCTGCCTCCCTTGTTCAAGCGATTCTCCCACCTCAGCCTCCCAAATAGCTGGGATTACAGGCGCGTGCCACCACACCCGGCTAATTTGTATATTTTTAGTAGAGATGGGGTTTCACCATGTTGGCAAGGCTTGTCTCAAACTCCTGACGTCAGGTGATCTGCCCGCCTTGGCCTCCCAAAGGGTTGGGATTTACAGGCGTGAGCTGCAGTGCCCGGCCCCATTTGGATCTTCAAGGGCAAAAAGTATTCTCTCTACTGTATCATTTTCATGATACCATTTTATAATCTTGCAAATTAGATAATCAGTACGTTCTTTAACACAGTAATAGCAATTAAAGATGCAACTTTGTGGTAATACTTCTAAAGTTTATAAATCAATACCAACTAAATGTTAACACCTAGTAATGGAAAGATGATTTTAGGTATTCTTAAGCTTTCTAAAACATCTCTAGCATCAAATATCTGAGTTTTCTTTATTTGTGAAGCAATTCTCCAGTGCCACAATACATCAAGATGTAGTATTTGATTATGCCATCAAAGATCGAGGCAATTTGATCTTAGACTGTAAACAATAAAAAGTCCTCTGTATCTCCTTTTCATTTTCGTACATAGTTCAAACTCTTCGAGGATTTAATCTACACTGCAATATTTGCAACTACTGATATGCTTCATTGATGGAAGTCAGTGAGTTCAATATGACTTCAAAAGGCAGTTTTCTGTGTTATCTCTTCCACTCAAGGCTGAAGACGAGAAGGTTAAGAAATGCAGCTTAAGTAATGCCAAATTGTTAGAGCACTTTGATAGTGACTGCACAGTCCTACACAAGGAAGAGGGTCACTGTGTGCATATTTAGCAAACAGCATTTAATGAATATGACATTAGCTGCATCAGTGGGCAAAGCCTTTGAAAAATAAGGAAAGCCATTAGAAAGGTGACAAAAAACAAAAAACAAAAAAACAAACAAAAGAAACCTTTTGATTGGCCAGGCTCAGTGGCTCATGCCTGTAATCCCAGCACTTTGGGAGGCTGAGGTGAGAGGACTGCTTGAGCCCAGGAGTTCAAGACCAGCCTGGGCAACACAGTGAGACCACATTTCTATAAAAAAATCAAAAATTAGCTGGGCATGGTGGCACATGCCTGTAGTTCTAGCTACTCAGGAGGCTGAGACAGGGGGATCGCTTGAGCCCAGGACTTCAAGGACAGAGCGAGCCATGATCATGCCACTGCACTCCAGCCCAGGCAACAGAGTGCGACTCTGTCTCAAAAAACAAAACAGATAAAAAACTTCTGATTGAACTGGCTACAGCAAACACACAACAATATCAAGCTGAGTTGGTTAATTTTCATTAGCTCCTTGAAACGCAACTCAGCTACTAACCATAGCACTCCTCTGGAAACCACAGCTGGGCTTAAAGCAAGTTGGATTACTTGGTTATTTGCTTCTTCCCAACACTCTGCAAAGTATTTGACTGAATGAATGAATGGGCAGGCAATCCCTGCCTTATGGACACTAAACTTAGGTTGATCCTATCCTTTATTTCAGATGTATTATTTAAATATATTTTGAAACTTGGCCAGAGAAGTTTCGTAATGTAATGATGTAATGACATCATTACATTGTTTTATAACATGTTCCTAATCCTGATGAAATACTTTTAATTGTATCTTTAGAAAGTAACTTGATTTTAACTGTAAATTTTGTATCTTTAAAACCCTTGATGCCAATGATTACAATTTATCAAACATCCCTAACATCAATTGTAGTTCTAAAATTCCATAAGGTTATATATATCTATGTAGAGACTGAAATATAACAAATATCCAAACCCAAAAGATTAAATAACCTCTAGATGAAACTCACTCATGCTTCCATTTTTATCTGTTTTCTGTACAAATTACAAAGCCTTGAATGTTACCTTGGATATCTCTATATAGTGTCCTCCTATCTTTATTATAGTCTGGAAAAGCTCACCCCCACAATAACCAGACTTCAAAGCAACACTAATTTACACCAACACATTTTAGATTAAAGGTCTAAATTAAGTTCTTTGTACAGAGTACCAAAAAATTTTTGCCTTTTGTTACTCACAATTTGTATTTTCACTAATGTTAGTATTTATGATTTATTGCCAGTTATATCAATTGAACAGTAAATACAACTTTGCATACCATAAGAATTTCAAAGCATTTCCTTTATTGAATAGCTAAAATAATTGAGGAAATCAATTGCTTTTGTTCATTTTAGAGAAAATTATGTTTCCTGAGGCAAATGTATAAATCCAAAAATTGAAATAATTAAGTACAAAAATAAAATCATATATATATATATATTTTTGGTAGTGCTAAATTCAAGCATAACTAGAATTTGAGCTTATAGTTTCAAATAGTAGAACACAAGAGAATCTAACTATCATGTTAGCGGTAAAAAGTTAAAACACAAGGCCAGGCATGGTGGCTCACACCTGCAATTCCAGCACTTTGGGAGGCCAAAGCAGGAACATTGCTTGAGCCCAGGAGTTTGGGACCAGCTTGATGAAACCCTCTCTCTACAAAAACCAAACCAAACAACAACAAAACAAAAAAAAACAGGCACAGTGGCACATGCCTGTAGTCCCAGCTACTTGGGTGGCTGAGACGGGAGGATCAATTGAGGCTAGGATGTGGAGGCTGCAGTGAGCCATGACAGTGCCACTGCACTCTAGCCTCGGAGACAGAGTAAGACCCTGTCTCGAAAAAACACCCCACAAAGACTGTGAAAGGAAATATAGGAAAAGGGGAATCTACTATGAATATAAAATGTGAGACTTGTTGGGAAGATTCAGAGACAGAGAAAAATCAATATAATGAATAGTGATTGAGGAGGTTAAAGTTGGGCAGGTTGTTTTCTTTACACATGACAGTAAACAAAGAGAACTTTTGACAGCAATAATAAATAAGAAGCCACCTTTTGCTTCCAGCCAAGATTGCAGTAACAAGAACTGGATTACCCTGATAGCTAAAACATAACAACAAAAAGACAAAATATCTGGAACAACAGTTTTCAAGCCATTGACATCAGTCAGTGAAGGACAGTGAATCCTGAGAGATGAGAAACAATTAAGCTGTGCCATGGATCACACCTGCTTACTGCCTTGAAAATTTCCAGACTGTAGCACAGGAAGGGGGACCCAGGAAGAGTCCAGAAGACCCTCACAATTAGAGGTGAAGCTGAGCCCCGTAGAACAGGTGGTAAGAATTTGCAGGACAAGTTGCTAGAGAAAAGAGAGCCACTTGGAGAAAGAATTCTGAGGATCTGCCAAGGGTCCCTCTGGGGTGTTCCACAGAGTACTGATCGACACAAGTGTGTGAGGAGACCACTGGAGGGCACAGAAAGAATGATCTGAAAGGACTGTATCAGGGTATCTCAACCTCAGCACTACTCACCTCCTTGAAAGAAAAATTCCTTTTTTGTGGGAGTGGGGGCATTTTGTAGTAGGATGTTGGGCAGTATTCCTAGCCTCTACCCACTAGATGCCAGGAGCAGCCCCAGTCATGACAATCAAAAATATTTCTAGATATTACCAAATGTCCCTGGGGCAAAATTTTGCCTCTAAAGGACCACTGAATCACAGGTAAAGTAAGTATACAGGGCTCACACAAGGCCAAGAATAGTGTCTGTTTCCAGCAGCCAGATTGGGAAAAAAAAAAAATTCATACTTCACTGGGCGATGTACTCAGAAAGTTCTTGCTTCAGTTGCGGGGAATAATTAGCAGTAAACTAAACACAGTTCTGGTTCTACCTAGCAAAACTTAAAAGCAAGACCAGGAAGGATCTAACTGTTTCCAAGTCGCTTAACTTCTTTTTGCACAACAGCAAAGCTTAAGAATATTACAGAAATATAAAAATATCCATCATTCAACAAGATAAAATCCACCATGGTTGACATCCAATAAAAAATTACCAGGTATGCAAAGAAGAAGGAAAATAATATAGAGAAAAATCAATCAATTGAAACTACCCAGAAGTGATATTGGTGTAAGAATTCATAGAGAAGGACATGAAAATGGTTATAATAACTGCATCCCATACAATCAAAAAATTAGAGACATGGCATATATAAAAAGAAGGCTAAAGTCAAACTTCAAGAGAAAAACTTCAATGTCTGAGATAAAAAATATACTGAATAGGATTAATGGCAGATTAGACACTGCAGAAGAAAAGAGCAGAGAACTCAAAATGGTAATAGAAACTACACAAAATAAAGCACAGAAAAAGAATGGGTGGATAAATAAATAAATAAATCATCAGAGAGACACAGGACTACTTTAAGAGACCAATATACATGTGGTCAAAATTCCAGAAGAAGAAGACAGACAAAAGTGAACAGAAAAAAATGTGAAGAAATAATAACTGAAGATGTTTCAAAATTGATGAATATTATAAACTTACAGATGCCAGTAGCTCAACAAGCCCCAAACACAAGAAATGTGAACAAAACTACACCAGGGCATTTGGTTATGTTTAACTGCTCAAAACCAGTGATAAAGAGAAAATCTTAAAGGCAGACACAGGAAAAAGGCATCATCACATACAGAGCTTCTCACAGGAAATAATGTAAGCTAAATGACAAAATCTTTAAAGTACTGAAAGAAAAAAAAAACCCTAGAATTTTATATCCCATGAAAATAACTCTCAAAAATGAAGGTGAAATAAATACCTTTTTGGACATACAGAAGCTGATCATCAGCAGACTCTCATTACAAAAAAATGTAAAGGAAGCCCTTCAGGCAAAATAAAAACAAAATCACATAGAAATAAGTACCTATACAAAGGAATAAACAGCACTTGAAAATGGTATGTGGTTAAATATATAAGATATTGTTCTTACTATTTAAATCTCCTTAAATATAGATAACTAAGCAATCATCGTAGCCGTGTACTGTAGCATTTATAACATGTGTAAGTAAAATATATCTCAATAATAGCATAAAGGAAGGGAGAGGACATGCAGAAGTACACTATTACAAGGTATGTGAAGTGACCTAATATCACGTCAAGGCAGACAGTGTTATATTAAAGATATACAGTTTAAACCCTAAACAGGGCACTGAAACAGCAAAGCAAATAGTTATAACTAACAGTCACGAAAGGGGAAACAGAAATTTTAAAAATGGAAGCATAAAAATATACAACTAATCAAAAGAAGGTAGTAAAAGGGGAAAGTTGAACACGGAAAATATGGTACAGATCAAATGCAAATAGCAAGATGATAGACTTAAACCCAACTAGGTCAAAAATCACATTAAATGTAAATGGTCTAAAAACTCCACAAAATGCAGAGATTTTCAGATTGGATAATTTTTAAAGATCCAATTAGATGCTATTTCCAAGAAACACACTTAAATATAACAACACAAATAGGTTAAAAGTAAATGAATGAAAAAAGAGAATTCTAACTCTATCAATAATCACATTAAACATAAATAATTTACACACACCAATTAAAAGGCAGAGATTGTCACACTGGATGAAAAAGCAAGACAAGACCAGATAGAGGAATGCTGTGCAGTGATTCAAAAGAATGCAGCTGATCTGTATGTATAGACATGAAATTGTGCACAAAGCACAGTGACCATTGATTTCTTTACTTATTCACTTATCCTACATGTATAAATGCTACCAGCTGTCATGGTGACATGACATTGTAAGAAGCAATGGGAATGCAGGAATACACAACACGTAGCCCCTGCCCTCTTTTTTTTTTTTTGAGACGGAGTCTCGCTCTGTCGCCCAGGCTGGAGTGTAGTGGCGCGATCTCGGCTCACTGCAAGCTCCGCCTCCCAGGTTCACGCCATTCTCCTGCCTCAGCCTCCCGAGTAGCTGGGACTACAGGCGCTTGCCAAAGCGCCCGGCTAATTTTTTTGTATTTTTAGTAGAGACAGGGTTTCATCATGGTCTCGATCTCCTGACCTCGTGATCTGCCTGCCTCGGACTCCCCAACTGCTGGGATTACAGGCATGAGCCACCACGCCCAGCCAGCCCGTGCCCTCTTTTAATCTGAGAAAGGAGACAGAATATAAAGAAAATCAATGTATTTATAATTGTATAAATCAGACTTTTAGCTTAGGAAGATCTCTCTGGCTGAAGGATGGAAAATAGGGGAAAAGGGATGGAGTGGAGATTTAGAAAAATGGATGGATATGAGAGATAGTTAGAGGTGGCATCAGCATGACTGTGATGGGCTAAAATGAGGGTGAGGAAAAGAAAAGAGTTGAGAATGATACCAACTTTCTGGCTTGAGCAGCTGAGTGAAGAGGAAACTCTCCTGAGAGAGAGAAAACAGGAGGCCATCCCCTAAGCACTGTTTAATACACATTCCCAATATTTGCTGTTTTTTTTTCATTTAAAATATGTATTAAGCAGGTAATATTTTTTCCTTCTGGAAACTGGAAAATGCAGATAAGACAAAAAATAATAATTGCCCTCCTAGCTTTTTGGTGTTCACCTTTTCAGACTTTTTCCATGCATATGCTGTATGTATATATGAACATGTGTGTATATATATATATTTAAAATGGATAATCTTGTAACCCATTTTTACTTAATATATTATGAACATTTTCATGTTGATAAAGATATATTTATGTTGTTATTTTTAGTATAATGAACAGAAAACTTATTGTTTTAAAATTCAAAACTACTCATCATGGATGAATTATCATGAATAAACGTAAATTTAGGTAATAAAATATATAGAACTATAAATAGTATATTTAGGAAATATATTAAAATAGCTACTGAATAACTGTGAATACTGAAAGATTTTTAATTGGAAAATATATAGAACAGTGCCTTAGGCTATAAGAAAAGTGGCTTAACTCTCATCAATGCATTAAAAATTTTTTCAAAAATATTCCTATGTAGAAGGAAACAAAAACTGAAAATGATCAAAAAAGAAAAAAATAAAGATAATAAGGTTAATTTACTCAGTAAAGTGAGAATATATTCTATGATTTCAAAACAAAACAATTCATTTGCATGGTTTGAAAATAAAAGTAATTCTGTTTTTCCTGATAAAAATTATGGAAAGAAAATTTAATAGACACTAGTAATATATATTAATCCAGTCATTTAGTTTGTGGTTGCAAACAGAGGAATAACTACAGGGAAGAGGTCATAATTTCTATACTTAGAATAGATGGGAAAAGGCACTCAAGGATCCAATACAGCTGAGCCAAATGCAGCTTTCCAAGCTTGCAGACCTTTAGGGTAAAGTGTAAATAATACCTCTCAATTTGTCTGCCTGCCTGGATCAACCAATATCCATCATACCTATTTACACATTTCTATGATGGCTTAAATCAGACACCCTGAATATAGAGGCCACTACTTTTTTCACCTGCGCTTCGGCATGAGCCAGGACTTTGAAAATTTTGCCAGTAATAATATCTGGTTCAGAGGGAAAAGTAAGAAACACAATTATATGTCATTCAGATAATACTGTGGTATCCGAATGGCCTCAAACACACTAGGTAAAAAAACAACCAAATAGACAGTTTGATATCACTCCAGATGTCTTATTCTGATTGAAGTAGGTCATTCCATCTTCGGCTGAACATGTCCACCTCAGTGGACATGCCAGGCACAATCACACACACAGTAATAATAATAACCTCTATTTATTCTATTTTATTTCTTTATTTTTTGAGACAGGGTCTCGCTCTGCTGCCCAGGCTGGAGTACGGTGGTACGATCACAGCTCACTGCAGCCTTGAACTTCCAGACTCAAGCAATTCTCAGGCCTTGGCCTCCCAAAGTACTGGGGACTACAGGCGTGAGCCACCACACCAAGCCAATAACCTCAATTTATTAAACGCTTTTTCATGCTGGGTATTTTACACATTGCATTTCTAAACCTAACAGCAACACAGCCAGTTTGTGTTATTGCCAGTTATAGAGATGAGGAACTATGACAACTAATAAAAATGTTCAAGTCATGCAACTAACCAGTAGTGTGGCTAGGCTGGGGCTCACACCCCCATATGGTGCTCTTCCATTTATTTCTTGGAAAAGTTGCCAAACGGTAAGACTTGTGTAGCATCAAGTCCAAATTCAAACCTTTAGTCGTAATGAGAGAAAAGCAAGTTTTCTAGATGACTTCAAAACAACTACAGCTTTCCATATTTAAAAAGTGCCTTAAAGATGGGTCTCACTGGCCCAGTGATAGTTGGGAAGTCTGTGTGCCACTGGGGGAGCTTCTTCAATGAAGAGCTCATGTGATTTCCCTAAGTGCTGGGCATATTCCTCTCTTTCAGAGTGGACATAAAAGCTCCTTGACGAATTATTAATTTCAATCTTGATTATTTATTGAGTGCTTAAAATATGCCAGGTGCTTTACATATATGACCTCACTTAATCCTCACAACAACCTTGCTAAATAAGAATTATCAACTCCATTTTCGCATGACAGAACTGAGGCCCAGAGAGATTCACTGGCCCATCCAAGGTCATAGAGTCAGAAATCACCTGAGCTGAATTTGAACACATTTCAGTTTCATTCCAAATCTCTCCTCTTAACCTCTGGACTATACTTCCAAACCTTAGAACAAAGAGGAGATTTAAGAGATAAAATTTTTTAAGAAGTAAAAAAGAGAGAGAGAGATGACAGCAATGAGTTTAACAAACCATGTCAGGATGTCAACAGATCCAGTATTAACAAAGTCAATGAAGGCTGTCATATTGAAAATTACATTTGCAGAGATCACAGCTTTGGGGATGCAAAAATAAAAGCCAAGTGAAATTCAACTCAGGAGTAAGAAAGGTGTAAAATGTAAGACCAAGAGGATAAAATCTACTGAAAACATTTTCAAGCTGCTTCTTCAGGGAAAAGACGATTAGAGAAGAACATAAATGACACCCTGGTGTGATATTATGTGTTTCAGAGGGAGACGTGCTCACAATTCTCTTTGCTTGTCTGTCATCCTATGTGGTTCAGTTATCAAAGGAGACAGGCTCTCTTCCATCACAGCCTTGGTAGCTGTACTAATTTTGTTTTGTGGGCCAGGCACAGTGGCTCACGCCTGTAATCCCAGTACTTTGGGAGGCCAAGGCGGGTGGATCACTGGAGGTCAGGAGTTCGAGACCAGCCTGGCCAACATGGTGAAACCCCATCTCTACTAAAAATACAAAAAACATTAGTTGGGCCTGGTGACACACGCCTGTAGTCCCAGCTACTCGGGAGGCTGAGGCAGGAGAATCGCTTGAACCCAGGAGACGGAGGCTGCAGTGAGCCAAGATCGTGCCACTGCACTGCAGCCTGGTCAACAGAGTGAGACTCTGTCTCAAAAACAAACAAACAAAAAAACCTGTTTCATGTATTTCCCTGAAAAAAAAAAACACCCTTCCCCCACATGGAGACAAAGGGGTTGGGGTGGAACAGACCCCAGTCGTGGGGTCCAGGAACAGCCTGAACAAAGTCTCAGGGACTGGTTAAGAATGAACATGTGACCAATGAGGTCAGTCCTGGGACATCTGGTGAAACTACTGGGAATGAGCCTACTCTTTTCATTAGAGTTGCTAAGGGGAAGATGTAAACTTGTAGCTTGTTTACATTTTTGCCGTCATTTGGAGAAAGCCTGCCTCCTGCTCACTGACGTCTACGTAGAAGAAGCAGACCTCAGTGACTGACAGAAATAAATGATTCTGAGAGCTGTGTATGGTGGCACGCACCTGTAATCCAAGCTACTTGGGAGGCTGAGGCAGGAGGATCACTTGAGCCCAGGAGTTTGAGACCAGCCTAGGCAACATAGTGAAATCCCATCTCAATTAAAAATAAATAAATAAAAATAAGAATTTAAAGAAAAAGAAATATGCTTCTGAAATAACAAGTTCTTACCCTGGATATTTCAACTGAAAAAACTATATCAATACAACTGGGAAGGAGACAGAGAACAGGTTTTGTAATCAGACAAAACTATGTCTAAAGTCTAGCTCCACTATTTACAAATGATGTGACACATGGCCTTGGACAGGTTACTTAAGCTCTCTGAGGCT
Organism: Homo sapiens; assembly: GCF_000001405.40. Lineage (NCBI taxonomy): Eukaryota > Metazoa > Chordata > Mammalia > Primates > Hominidae > Homo > Homo sapiens. The sequence goes on along the minus strand of NC_000004.12, from coordinate 182,310,014 downwards.
TAGTTTACTACTTTTAATTATCCAAAAAGCATATGACAATACCTTTCTAGCGGAGATATTATGAAGATTAAATGAGATAAAGTTTTTTAGGGCATTCAGCACAGTTATTGGCACATAACATAATGAGTACTTGATAAAGGGCAGCTACTATAATGACATCAAGTACATTGCCCGGTGTCCGAGAATCATGTCCGCTGTCATTAGGCTTAAATCTCAGTAATCTGGGGGAGCTGGTTTGCGAAAAATACACCAAAGCCCAGTCTATACGGTTGAGAGCAAGAGATTATACCTCTGTTACGAAATTGCTATTTTGCTAAAATGTGTGAATAGAATTTGAGTTTTGAATTTTTATGAGCTTATTCAGAGGGACTATGTCATCAAATAAGAAAAAAATTGTTCCCACACCAATAATTTCAAAATGATTTCATGTCTAATGTTATCCAAATATTTTTGTCTTGGTAGTAGAAAGCAGTAGGCAGACGCTGGCAGGACTTTCAAGAGGAGGAATGAAACTGATGAAGAGTCTCCAGACTGAAGAATGCTGGTAGGCTTATTTTAGTAACTAGGTGAAGACCTGGTAACTACCCCCAAGTATTTGGAGAATAAGGGATAACTGCAGTTATTCATGCCTCTGTTACCCACAGGCAAAATTACTATAATAAACATATACACTGTCTACTGCCCACCAGACAGCTCTCATCTTAGTCTGAAAAGCAGCAAACCAGCCACACGGCACCTTCCTCACGGATCCCTGGAAAGTGGGAAATTCGCACTCAGCGATGCGAATGCAGGTGTCTCCGTCAACATGGCATCTGTCAGTGGACAGACGAATTCCCAAACCCCACTTCCTCCTTGAAGGAGGTAAGCTCTAGGGGATAGATAAGTTCCAGAGTAGATTCAGGATCCCAAAAACCCTTTGGGTTCAGTCTGAGTGTCTGATTCGTCCCAAGAACTGAGGAAAGTCTCTGAGCTTGCTGTGGAGACAGTAGGGGCTAGGTCGGTTCTGGACTCAGTATCAATGTGTAGGGGAAACAGCCAGCCTGGCTAGCGGTCTGTGTGCTTACTCGGAGGATTCCATTCTCTAGAATATTTTTCTTCGTGGGTGTTTATTGTTTGTTTTTAAACACATTGTAATGCAACAGTATTGGGGAATATAAATATGCTTGACTAGGTATAGGCTCACACAGAAATATACTGTTTGGACTTCTCAAGTTTAGTTACACACCTTAAAATGCATAGGCACAATACACTCAAATATTATGACTTTGTATAAATACTGCCAAATAGTCAAGTAAAAATAGGAAACACGTATCCTATACCTTTGTGGTTCTGGATTTCCTAGATGATTTATATCATAAAGACAAATACATGCATAGGTTGGGCACAGCGGCTCACACCTGTAATCACAGCACATTAGGAGGCTGAGGCAGGAGGATCACTTGAGGCCAGGAGTTCAAGACCAGCGTGGGCAATATAGTGAGATCCCATCTCTACAAAACAAGTTTTTTTGTTTTGTTTTGTTTTTTAATTAGCCAGTCACGGTGGCACATACCACCTGTAGGCCTAGCTACTCAGAAGGCTGGGGTGGAAGGATCACTTGAGCCCAGGAGTTCAAGGCTGCAGTGAGCTATGACTGCACCACTGCACTCCAGCCTGGGTGACAGAGTGAGACCCTGTCTCATAAAAAAAAAAACCAAATATGTGCATAATCTATAATTTTAAAAAGTTTTCATGGGTCAGGTAGACAACGCCCAACCCAGGCATCGGGTCATCTGCTGAGGGGGTTGGGGGGCTCAATCCAGCCTGTGCTTTGCGGTTGCCCAGTTCAGCACCCCTAGGAGGGGGCTGTGTCTGCTCAAAGGAGGCACCTCCCAATAATGGACACAAAGGCTCTTGAGTAAGTGGCCCAATTAAATTTGTTTCAATGCTGTTACTAGTGGTAGTTATAAACCACGGCAGAGGATTAAAATGGACCTAGTCAGTAGATAAAAATGTTGCGTTCTCAGATGTCTGCTAAAGTAGGATTCTTCCAAAGCTCTTCCTGACCACAAAAGGGGAGTGCAGGCAAGAATGTTCCAGCAGGCACAGAGAGCAAGGCAGTTTCCTTGGTTTCCCATTGACTGCCTGCCAAGTGGAGAAGCTGGACTTTTGCCACTGTATTTCATACCTTGGTGATGTATTCTAGACAACTGTTAAAAACCACACTTTCAAGGTAAGCTAGTAAATTGTGGCTATTCAATAAATATTAAACCACAACAACAATTTGGAGTAAGTCAATTTGGTCTACGTTTCCTCAAAGGGAGGCATTGCTAAAATGCAGTCGTCACTGTTGAGAAAATATGATCTAATTTTGCCCACCACGGCTCTGCTTTAAAGTAATTCAATTTGCTGTTCAGCTCATTACAAAATAGTTATGATATCAATTAATAGTTACAGCTATAATCCCTATGTCAGGAGGATTTTAAATTTAATTTGGATGGAGCATTAAGGAAAGGACTCTAAATTCATGAAAATACCTTCCTCAGGTGAGTGCTACTCTACATTTCCATCTCTTTCCCAACTGGGTGTTGGCATTTTGTCCTAGTCCAGAGGCAACCCTTCTGCAACCAGGAGGTGTAGAAGGGTTCTTTGTGCTCATATAATTTTTGGTCTCTCTACTTTCTAACTACCAGTAGGGGGCCAATTAGCACAGATTACGATGATTATTTTGCACAATGGACACCTGTCACCCATGAACCGGACTGAGACCACAAAACCAATTTCCTGTGGGTCACCAAGTAGTAATGATTGCTAGTTTTCATCAGTCCAGGCTGCATTCCTCTTCATCTGCCCCACTTTCCTCCCCCTTCACAATTACCATTATCCTGTATGTACAAGTGTGTAATGGTGATACCACTTTGGAAAGAAGAAATTGTGAATACGTATCATATCAAGATTTCCATATTATTTTTGGAAAATAGCCACATTTCATTGGATTATTTCTACAGTATGTGGTAGTAAACGTGTAATGTGGAATATATTTTAATTGCTGTGATGTAAATGAGACTTTGGGGTCATGTTACAGAGTGTTAACTGAAAGATCCAGCTATGACTTTAGCATGCCTGCAGGCCTTTTAAATTGTTATGGGAAATTGCAGCATTCAATTGAGTAGTTTCAACACTGAGCTCCCCTAAGGCTTATTACAGTTTGGCAACATGATGCCAATTTCAACTAATGTACATAATGCCTTTCTCCTCTCATACTTTATCTACAGAACCTTTCTAGTATGTACAACTTGAAAATCATGAAACCCTAGGCAGATGAAGAGCATATTCTTGACACAATCTACCATTATGTTATTGGCAAGAGTCCTCAGATACTACAGGTTTCTGCTCAGATGGGGTTCAGAGCACCAGGAGTATCACAATATTTATCCAGTAATAATAAAAAGCAATAAATGGGAAAAGTTCAAATTATTATAATGAAATTTCCTATTAAAACATTTTGTTATAAACTCTCCTTAAGAAATGCATCCAGGTAACTCAAAGATTCAAGTAGGAAACACCTATCTACTTATGATAATAACATACATATAAAATGTATTATAACTTATAAACATTTTCACGTATGCTTTCAAAGTAACTTGGCTGTACAAACCTGATTCAGAAAACATCTTTCAGGCTGGACATGGTGGCTCAGGCCTGTAATCCTAGCACTTTGGGAGGCTGAGGCAGGAGGGTCACCTGAGCCTAGGAGGTCAAGGTTGCAGGCTATGAGGGTGCCACTGTACTCCAGCCTGGGTGACAGAGGAAGACTGTCTCAAAAAAAAAGAAAAAAAAAGAAAGAAAGAAACTATCTTTCAAATGTAAGTATGGTTCACTATCATATCACGGGACAGAGGAGGGGGCCCTCTTTCTTCTCCTTGGGTGCATGAAGTACAGGTTTGTGTAACTTCCTGGTGCTGAAGGGGAAAAGATCAGCCAGACCCACCACCTGACCAGACAGGGCCAGGCACCTCCAGCTCCTCCCATATGGACGGTGCTTCTGCCTTGCACACTTCCCAGATGGCTAGGGTCACCCTCCCTTTGGCCAGATCTGCAGGATTCAGGGTGTTAATAACAATGGTGTACGAAATTCTTTCCCTTCCACCATTACTAAAGAACGTAAGAACATCCAGGATAGCAACGACTTCCTCCCAAGCCCTACATGAAATGGGCTTCTGTGAAGTAAGCACCACGCATCAAACTGGCATTGGGTATTGCTGCAAAGTCACATACACAGGACACAGTCTGATCATTGAATACTCTGCAGGGGGTTACCCTTCCATCCAAGGCCAAGGCAGGAAGGCCGCAAAGAGCCGCTGTGCAGAAGTAGAGGCGTGTAACCGGGAAAGAGAACTGGGACACACATCGGAAGGACCTAGTTTAAGAACTGTAGTGAAAGAGGATAAATTATGGCTAAAATATCAGTAAAGTGAATACCATCAAAATGCAGATTCTGAATAATAACTCTCTTCCATGATCTGGGGATGGATCACCACAATAACATTTTTAGTCTGACTACACCTAGTTTTCTTGTTCAACAAATCCTCCAGCACAGTATTCACGGCCTACTTCGAAATAAACATTTTGGTGGCATGTTGGAAGGAATAAAAGACTCAAAACAACATTGAAAAGCCACATCCAATTATAATGCAATTAGTTTTACAGTAAATCAGCACCTTACAGTATTGATAAAGAAACAAAAGCTGTCTTACTTGCTGGCCTTCAGAACTTGTTATTTGTTAACAATCTGTTCCTTTTGTTTTTGTGGTTTTTTTTTTAGATCTGTTTACTGCCTTGACCATGTCCTCTTCTATACTTCCAGAGCAAAAACCTCACAGATTTCAGTAAATATGTCAGAATTGCTGTAGTGGACCTGAGTCTAACCCTCAGTGGTAGCCAAAGATACCACGTTCACAAGCAGCAAAGCTCAGCTTTCTGGAAATTAGACCTTACCATCCACCTGTGTCTCCTGCTACAGGAATAAAAAGAGAGAAGAAAAGAGGAGAGGGGAGGACAGAGGAGGAGAAGAAGAAAAAGAAAAAAGAGAAAGAAAGAAAAACCCCTCGACAGACTGAATCACTGTCGTAGCACCTGTCATTCACGTGCAGCACATCAGTAAGCCGAAGTACGGTGGCTGCAAACCACTGGAGGACAATAAGGGATCTACACAACCCCACAAATCCCCTATCCATGCCAAACAGTTTTAAGCTGTGTCATTCCCGTTTCAGATTCAACTCTCTATTGGACACGACAGGTGAGAAGCAGGAGTGCTGATTGTAACTGAACTTTTATTGTGCCATCATTTTCCACCCCCTCCTCTGCTTCAAAATTCACAGTCATCCCAACAGAAAAACCTACTCCAGTGTTGCCTGCCTTTGTGTCTTGTACACAGCAGGTCTTCAATCATCAATAGTATTTCCTGATTGATGTGAACTTTGATGAGACAATACAGCCAATTTTAATTAAAAAAAATTATCTTGGCCGGGCACAGTGGCTCATGCCTGTAATCCCATTACTTAGGGAGGCCGAGGCGGGTGGATCATGAGGTCAGGAGATCGAGACCATCCCGGCTAACACGGTGAAACCCCATCTCTACTAAAAATACAAAAAATTAGCTGGGCATAGTGGCGCACACCTGTAATCTCAGCTACTTGAGAGGCTGAGGGAGGAGAATCGCTTGAACCCGGGAGGCAGAGGTTGCAGTAAGCCAAGATCGTACCACTGCACTCCAGCCTGGGCAACAGAGCAAGACTGCGTCTCAAAAAAAAAAATTTCTTGAAAGAGAAAAGATAATATAATATTGTCTTCAGGGCATCTCCTACTTGCTACTACTAGATTTAGCTCATTTTCTTTGACTTCTTTTTTTTTTTACTTGCCAATCCCCTATAGTCTTCATAGTCTATTTTAAATTTTCCTCTCGAATACTGGAAATGTGATGATCTAGCAAAAATGCTATTCTAACAAAATCAGGCTATCACATTTATATGTCTCCATGACTTTTATTATGGTAAAATTTCTATCTTGAAAAAATAATCGTTGAGCAGGATATTCTAATTATAATCTCGCAATATAAAAACAAAAGAGGAAAGCTTCGAATTAAAAATTAAACCATTAAAATGAACACATACAATTAATCTGAGGATCCTACGGCCATGTGGTGCCTAGAAAGTTGTCAAATAGAGAGTTTAAAAAGTTTAATGTCCATAGCTAAAATGTATTGAGTACCTCATTAAATGTCCACTTTACATGCCTTATCTCATTGAAATTCTACAACAAACTTAGAAGGTTGGTTCTTTTAATAACTTGTTTTTACACATAAGGAAATCTAGACTCAAGAGAAATTAAGTCACCCCCCCCACCAAGGTCATACACCTGTTAAGTAGACAGCTACGGCTCAAAACCAGATGCGCATGATGTAAAATGTATACATTGGACAATGACAGCGCGTTGACTATCAGGGCAGGTATACACAGTTGCATTGGATACAATGAAATGATGGGTCATATCAATTCTTACGCTTTATTGTGAAAGCTTTTAAAGCAAAGATGCTCATCCACCAACACAACAGAAATATGACTCTTATGTCATAATATGGTTCAGTGGGACTTTGGTAAAATTCTGAATCTGCAAGTGCCCAGTGGAGCAACCAGTCAGTGGCACGTCCCAGCACAGTAACCAACGTGTGAAATCACACAGTTGAGAAGGCCAATGCTCCAACATTAGAGCAAATGCAAATAATTTCAGCTATTCATTTCTATACTAAGTGATGATAAAAAGCATCTATCCTAATTTCAACAAGCTATGTTTAAATGCAAAACAGATTCTCCCTGGGGTTTATGACATACTTTATGAGAGAAACAGGTTTCATGAGTGAAATTAAGATAGGTTCCCATCACCGAGAATGCCGCAATTCCCATAACTAATCACCCATAAAACCTATTACAAACAAACACTAAGAAAAACTCAGAAAGCATATAAGAGTGATGAAATTTCCACTTCGATGACTGATAAAGTGAGATGTATCAAAAATCAACTGAGCTGGAAAAATGACACACTGTGAAGAGGTGCTTAAGATGATATGTGGTCAGGATCTTCCATTAGTCAAAGTGATGAGTCTCAATACATGGATATCTCAGGACTTCATACCTGGAAGCTCAGTTCTTAATGACAGAAGCCTGTCTTCTCACATGGAAATGAGAAAGAATGCCTCCAAAACCAGCACTCTAAAGGAAAAATGACTGTCAGATGAACAGCTCTCATTCTGAATGTTAAGAAAGCCCTCACTATCCTTCCATTTTAGAATTAGATAGAACAAATTTATCACACGCTCCTTAAATATTGTTTTCCAAAGCAGTTTCTTGGCTTCAAGTTTTATATCTTCTGTTATCATTATTTTGGGCTGACCATTATGAATGATGTTTCTATTCAACTTAAAAAAAAAAGACATTTAGTTTTGTTAGAGGGAAAGATGACCAAATATCCTATGCTACTTGTCTTACTTTTAAACCACTTAAAACACAAACTCTCAGCGAAGTAGATCCGTCTGTTGAACACTGGTGGATGCTTCATAAAAGTTTGCTAAATAAATACATGACTGAAAGAGTGACCCAAAAAGAATCACCCATAGGGAACCCCAGCTTTCTGTCCAGATCACAGAAGCATCTTTAACATGACTTTCACCTTCCACAGGCATCTACATAAAACGAAATGCTAACCTTCCTTTATGGTGGAAAGAGTACTTACATCACACACATGAGAACAGGTGGGGTGGGGCGTGAAAATGAGAAAAGGCTAAGGGAGGGAGACAATCTGTGGGCAAATTCAAAGAAAGCTCCCTTTTCTTTTTTGGATGGATTTTCTTCATTTAAAAGTTTTTGGCAAAATAATCATTTTTTTCCAGTAAAAGCAATTAATCCAGACACTCTAATTGGCTAGCAGGGTTGATAAAACAGCTTACCAGTCTTTAAAAGAAAATTGTATTAGTCAAGTGAGTCCTTTTAGGCCAGAGTATTTTTCCCATGATATGGAAACCCAGAAGGCACCCGAGCGTGTCCCAAGGAAGCACAGCCACTGAAGCTTGCCCTTCTGCAGAACTGGATCGCTGGCTGTTTATCCTTCTCAGTATAGGCCCCCGAATTCCCTGTCTTTAGAGTTGTGTGCCACACTTATTCCCAGTGCGATAGTGTAGCCAGGTTATCACTGAAAAGGCAAATTGCCTTTTATGACTGAATATGCTCAACTTCCTCTTCCCAGTGTATTCATTCTGTCACTTCAAAAGAAGCATCATTAAAAACCAAAAAACAAAAACTATGTCATCTGCAAAAAGCCAGTGGTGTGTTCTATTGTAGATAGTGTCACAAGAGGCTTCTCTCCTCTGACGCACCTAGGAGTGGGAATTTTCAAGATGCTCTTAAATGTGCATTTCTTTTTCATTTAACTGATTATTCATGAGTTTAAAATAATTAAAGAAAAAATCTGAAATTGACAGTAATATTTTTCTTGCTAACCTCAATTAACTTCAGCCTCTGTTCTAAATCTCATCACGCTACCTGTCAAAACCGTACCTTGTGCTGAATGGGGGGAGGAAGTGGATGGAATAAAAGCTAATAATATGGGGAAAATATATTATTTGTATCAATGTTATTTTAAAAATAAAAACAGTTTCATACAGGCAAGCTGAGAAAAATTTAAAGTTTAGTTGCATTTTTAAGTAAAAGAAGGAAAAAATTTCAGGGGCACGTAGAGGGGTGATGGAACAGTGTAAGCTTTGGTTGGCATATGTTTGACTCTATCTGACTGCAAAAGTCCTGCCAAAGTAAAGAATTTTTATGAAAGTCAAAGGAAATATAGGAAACGGTGAAAGGAAACATGTATATACCTTTTTAATCATCCTTTTGCTACAGAGGCTTAATACGCATAAGATGCAGTCCTCTTCATTCTTCTTTCAAATGTATACTTTATTTTTCTTTTTAAAGGAGAGCTTTAAAATTCAAATGCAACAGAAAACTAATGAACAAATAAAACACTTTTTTAAAAATAAATCATAGGCTGGAAATGCCAGGCTAAGAGAGGTCAAAGGTCTTTTCAGCACAAAATGAAGTCAATTATTTTGTAATTCATCATTAAATAGAATTGTGTATAAAATGGAAAGTCCATCATCATGTTTCTACCCTTTTTCAAAATCTCACTGTTTTGTGGAAGTCTAGGGAGCCTGTGGATTGTGGAGAAGCCTCAGCCTTCCAACCACCATGCTTGCAGTATGGAAGCTCTGGAAGCTATGGACAGCAAATATGCCAAACGAGCTAGAGAATTCTACAGCTGAAAAGGTAAAATATCAAGTCTCATTTGGTGTGGAGACATAGCAAGTGCAAGGCTGCAGAACACTGATCTCAGCTTCACTGGAGTGGATCCCTACCTCCCATCCCTAAGGCCAAAGGTAGGCACAAGCCGTCACCAGGTGTCCACTCCAGTCAGTGGCAAAATCCTCCAGGTGTTTAACTCGACTGTCAGACCTGTGACCTGGTAACATGTACCCAACATCTTCATGTGAAAATGTGGGACATCAGATCCCATAATTCAACATACAGAAAAGAACAAGTCAAGGTAATTTCTGTCCCCTTTTCAACTGTATGGCCTGAGAGACCAATTGTCATGTTCAGCAGAGGTTCCCTCCCTCCCTCCCTCCTTCCCTTCCTTCCTTTCTTTCTGTTTCCTTTCCTTCTTCTTCCCTTGCTTCTTTCATGAAGAAAACGATTCTCATAAATAATTATCTACTTGAGCTGGGCGTGGTGGCTCACGCCTGTAATCCAAGCACTTTGGGAGGCAGAGGCCTTGTGCACTTGAGGTCAGGAATTCAAGACCAGCCTTGCCAACATGGTGAAACCTCGTCTCTACTAAAAATACAGAAATTAGCCAGGCGTGGCTGTGAACACCTGTAATCCCAGCTACTCTAGAGGCTGAGGCACGAGAATCGCTTGAACCCAGGAGGCAGAGGCCGCATTAAGCCAAGATTGCGCCACTGCACTCCAGCCTGGGCGACAGAGTGGGACTCCATCTCAAAAGGAAAAAAAAAAAAAAAGATCTACTTGAATACAGCAGGTCTTTTCTTCTGTTCATATCAAAATGGGAAATAATCACCCTGCTCGTGCTGTAATGGAAGGCACATCCTAATAGCACACTGGGGCCTGGATTTTCCTAACCCTTCCCTCCCTCCCCCCGTCCTTGGCATCCTCCGCCATCAGTCACTTTTCAATCACCTGACCTCAGCAGGTAATTTAACTTACTTGTCCCATCTCTACAATGGGGGATAATAACACCTTGACTTTCTGGAAGTAAAGGGTTGGTCCAAATTATCCTGAGGTGCCTGCTAACTCTAAGATCTGTAATTTAGAGATTTCTCAAAGACAGTGTTCCTTCCTAATTTCTGTGACCTTGATGCACACTAAAATGTCAACCTTCCTGTGTAACATGAGCAAAGATAAGCAGCATTCATTCTGTGGCACCTTCTGTTTTGCCTTTAAAAACATTTTTATTCTTTCCTTATCTTGTACTATGAAATAATTTCCGAATCTATATTCTTCCATTAGAGGAGCACAGGCTTCCTTTTCCTTTCCCCACTTGCTCCATATTGATTCAATGAAATTGTAAGAGTTGTTTGTAAAGTCTTACTTTAGCATTTCAGAAAGTGGCCAATCAAAAAGACTCTTTGAATTATAAATCTAGTTTTACAAAGAGATGTACGCATGCCCCTGCTTGAATCTGTTTTTCATTTTTCAACAAAGTGGATGTTAATAATACTAGGAGAAACTAGTGCAATTGAGAATTTGTTACAGATTATTAGATAATCTGGTGTTTTTAATGCCCCATTATTCTTTCAGTCCTCAGTAAGCCCCAGCCAGTGGTTTCACAACTCTCCTACCTCTGAGTGACTGAGAAGCTTCATTTCTCAATCTGCAGTGGCCAGTCCATTACCTCTTTTTTTTTTTTTTTTTTTTTTTTTTTTTTTTGAGAAGGAGTCTTGCTCTGTTGCCCAAGCCTGGAATGCAGTGGTGTGATCTCAGCTCACTGCAACCTCTGCCTCCTGGGTTCAAGCGAGGTTCAAGCCATCCTCCCACCTCAGCCTCCCGAGTAGCCGGGATTACAGGTGGGCGCCATCACGCCCGGCTAATTTTTATATTTTTGGTAGAGATGGGGTTTCACCATATTGGCCAGGCTGGTCTCAAACTCCAGACCTCAGGTGATCCACCTGCCTCGGCTTCTCAAAGTGCTGGGATTACAGGCATAAGCCACCATGCCCGATCCCATTACCTCTTTTTTAATGTGCTTCAATTGTTGAGTGTCATTTTCTCCAATCTTCACTTTGATATAGTTCTTCCTTTCAAGTACTTGATTCCCATATATGCTTTTCTACCTTGTTATTTAATTCCAAGACTGCACTTTCCCAAACAATCTTTAAGTCTTTCAATCTGAGGTCCATTTTTATGTAATGTTTCACTGAAAGTTTCCTTTCTGCTTACAATCCATTTCCTTTTAACAACAAAGTTCCCCACTGTAGGTGGGGCATCCAGACTAACAGTTCAACTCTTTGTATTTGAGAAGAGAATCTACTCTGAGGAGCTTGGAGTGTCTGCCATGGCATCACAGGCCCTTCTGAGGCGTTTCCACCTCATTTCTATATTTCTTTATCCAACAACTATTTCTCAGGGACTAGGATATGGCTGGCACTGCACGAGGTGCTAGGGCTGGAAGGGTGGGGAACAGAGATACGCTGGTTTCATGCAGCTTTTAGTTCAGTGGGGGAAACAGACAACAAAATAAATAATCAAATACAAATAATTAATTATAAGTGGCGACAGGTGCTATGAAGACATCAGGTTCCTAAAATGTAGAACAGTGAGATGAGTACATGTGCCGGGATGGGGATGATGCTCTCTGAAGGAGGTGACGTTCAACGTAAGATGCACCCCTGGGTACAGGCTCCGAGGAAGTGCAGTGAGTGACCAAGGTGCCTGGGCAGAAGCCGCAGCACAGGCCTCGTGTGGGAGCAGCGCAGGCTATGGGGCAGAGGAGAGGCCTGAGAAAGTCCATGAGTGTGAATGGGAAGGAGTAACAGAGGCAGAGAGAGGAAATGAGTCACTCGAACTTCACTGAGGCCCAGGCCTGGGACAGAGGAACTGAGCTATGCTTGGATCCTGGCTATCCACCTGGCTGCCCGGTAGCCTGTTCTATACTCCACTTGTATCACACAATAAATAACAGCTAATGAGGCCATCTACCCTATCTAGACTTGTCATCTAAAAGACCGTGAAAAACACAAATGGGGAGCTTCCACACTACAGGAGCTATTCTTAGTATAGGGTTAATACATGGTCCTGGAAATTCACATGCTGGTGTGTCTGACGTAAGGCAGCTTGGGAGCCTGGGACACTGAGGATCAGGGGACGCTTTTAGTCTTCCATCCAAGAAGTAATGAAGACGAAATCTGAAACCACAGGATGGTGAATTACTATTTTCATCCTGTATTGAGGAATGGAAGTACAGAAATAAAATAATCCATTCAAAAAGCAGCACCTTCCTACTTCAAAGATCAAGACAATTCAGAAAAAGAACTTATCCATATTATCTGAATAATTGTATAAATTATTTATTTCAGTATTGGGTGGACCATAGGAAACTGCCAATATTCTACTGTTTTTCAACTATGCAAGTGACAGTGTCACCTGCATAGTGAATCCTGGAATAATCAGAACCAGTCTCTGATAAACATGACTTGGCTTTCAGCTGTGGCCCCAGTTATATGATGGGAATTTGAGTTCTCCACCTGGAGAGGGAGAGCAGAAAGGACTGTAGCCAGGCATGGTGCTGCTGTTCTCCATAAACTATTTTACTTACTCCTCATAAGGAGGTGAATAATACTATTGGCATCTTAAAGCTAAGAAGACAAAGGTTTAAAGAGATTAACTATAAAATATGGTGTAAGATGCGAATAATCTCTATCTTCCCTTCTTTGTGTATGGCCTCGATGTCTTCTCGTTCTAGTATCTTCTTTCCCTTCCGAATCAATGGAAATCTATGTTTTATTTTCCAGGAGGCCATGCTGTCAAAATCAGAAACAAATGAAGAAATATTGCCCAGAAAACTAAGGGCAAATTAGCACCAGCAATTTGTGTTTTAAAAAATCAGATCTTTGTTTCCAGAACTCCTGAGGAAGAAAAAAAAATTGAGCTCTTTTGTTTTAATCCCATGATAATATTTAGAAGTATTTTGGTAAAGACAAATTAAGACATCATACTCAAAGGCAGCAATCTAAAGATGCAGACTTCTTGCATACACAGCAGTGCTAAACACGTTTCTGTAATGGCTTCAAAACAGGAGGTCTCTGAGCTTGATTTCAAGTCAATGCAATCTAGAAACCTTAATGTCCCCAGCTCATCTGACAAACTCCACTAGTTACAGCCAATTAGCGTCCAGTAAATCTTTTGGTAGATCAAGGCTTGCCCTGATTATAAACCTCTCTGGTTTGGAAGTTTTTTTCATGATGTCTAGCTTGCAGATCCACAAAAGTAACCCATAGCCTTCAAGTACAATTGAAAAGAAAAAGTCCCTTATGATTTACTTTGTATCGTTATCAAGAAAGATCAACTTTGATCAGAGATCCTAAAAGAGTTTTCATGTCTTTAATAGTGAAACAAGTATATTGGAGTAAAATAAAATAGTATATGGGTAATTTCTTAATAACTTAAAAAATAGCCTGTAATCCCAGCACTTTGGGAGGCCAAGGTGGGCGAATCATCTGAGGTCGGGAGTTCGAGACCAGCCTGACCAACGTGGAGAAACCCTGTCTCTACTAAACATACAAAATTAGCCAGGCACGGTGGTGCGTGCCTGTAATCCCAGCTACTCGGGAGGCTGAGGCAGGAGAATTGCCTTGAATTCTCCTTGAACCCAGGAGGTGGAGGCTGAGGTGGGCTGAGATCACACCATTGCACTCCAGCTTGGGCAACAAGAGTGAAACGCTATTTCAAAAATAAATAAAAAAATAATAATAATGGTATGAACTCAAATCACTTAACTATAACTTAATTTTGTTTGTTCCCATCTGGTCAGTTCTCCTTGTTTAACTTTTAGGTCCTGACAACTAAAATATACGTGGTAAACAGTTATGTCTTCCCTTGTGAATGCGTTATCCAGATGTCAAACTCATCTTTTCCATGAAGCAAAACATTAAGATAAAAACTCAAATAGCATTGAAATGAAAAATAATCGGATGAAAGGTTTAATCACAATTTTTACTGCTTCCCCTTATATTATTTGTTTTGCTCTTGCATCTCAGCTCTGCTTTCTGAAGCTTTACAGTATTAACATTTGTTTTTGCTACAAGGGTTAGAATCTTAAAATATAAAGACTAGAAAAGCACATATACCATCCGGCACAGTGGCTCACACCTGTAATCCCAGCACTTTGGGAGGCCGAGGCAGGCAGATCACCTGAGGTCAGGAGTTTGAGACCAGCCTAGACAACATGGTGAAACCCCATCGCTAATAAAAATTTAAAAAATTAGCTGGGCGTGGTGGCAGCTGCCTGTAATCCTAGCCACTTGGGAGGCTGAGGCAAGAGAATCACTTGAACTCGGGAGGCAGGGGTTGCAGTGAGCCGAGATCGCATCACTGCACTCCAGTCTGGGAGACAGAGTGAGACTCCGTCTCAAAAAAAAAAAAAAAAAAAAAAAAGAAAAGCAAAGCACATATACCACTTGTTTCCATATATATTCCGAGTAAATGCAACACTGTGTCTTATATCATCAATAATACGTATCACTTTTTATCTTTCCAGGAAATTTAATTAATTTAAATATTAAATATTACAGGAATGAATGCATGTAAAATCATTTAGCATTCACATAAAATAATCCTCTTAATCCATCACTCAAAATAGAGCAGAAAATCCCAATTCTTTATCAAAATGTCAAACTGTAGCCCCTGCCCCCACCCACTCAACATTTTATGGGCCATTAAATGCACCAAAAAATAAGAAAAGGTGTAAAAAGTGTGAATAAGCATCCCAAAATTATAGCAAAAATAGGCATTGCACCAAGGGGCTTTAAGAAAACAATCGATAATGGCAATGGGCATATACATTATGCTTGTCCATATTCTTATTTTCAAGATTTCTGAGTCATATCCCAGAAAAAGAACACCCCACACATTTTTAGTTTGTGTCTATACGTGGGATCCATATCCATTGATGGGAAGTGATAACATTTGGCGTTCTTGGTAAATGCAAAGCCGTGGTCAGTAGTACAGCAGCTTTTGGTTGGATTCCCAGTTCCTTTCCTTAATCTGGATCTTGTTGGAATGTACTATTTCACTTCTAGCTCACAGGCACTGGGAAACAAAACAGCCTTTCTATCTCTTCACAGAGAAGGCCACAGCAAGACATGACCATGAGGACTTTCAGAGCTGCTTCTCACCCAGACGCTCTCACTTTGGTCAACTTTTTCCCCATGTCAATTCCAGGCTGGAACACAAATACTTCTATCTTTCCCACTTAAAAAAAAAAAAGTCTGTTTAGGGATTTACACTTAGGGTGAAAAAAAACCAGGGTGAACATTGAATGTTTCAGGGCAGCCACAGTTGCTGCTGTGGGGTGGCCCTAGAATCTTCCACCTGGGATCTAGATCTTCAGTCTGGAGATCTTCAATCTAGAAATCTTAAAAATGTGTCACTCAGAATTCTTAGACCTCCACCTCACGAATCTCGCAGGCTGATTCTAAGAAAAGAAAGCACTTCACAACCACGACTGAAGTTTCACAGTATTAGTAGGAATCCTCTTCTTAAGCGATGACATTTTTTTTTTTAACTCAGCCAATTGTCAAAGGCAGAGACGCAGATGGTAGGGATCTGTGATGCTGACTCCAATGCTTCCGACTCCCTGGTAGAGGAAATCCTGAAGTTTACCCGGGCCTGTGATGGCCTAGGACGCAGGGAGCGCAGGAAAGACCCAACCTCCCAAAATATATCTCCCCACACATGCCACTAATTGTCATTGTCGAGGCATTTGGGTTAACAAGCTCCTCTTTTAAAATGCAAATGTCCCCTGGGAGGGTTAAGCCTCATTCATACCTCAGTGCGAATTAGTTTAATTAGATAATCAGATCTAATTAATTGAGGGCTCAGGGAAAGAGAGTTTTGATTGAGGAGGGCCAAAGGGAGAAAAAATTTGGAAGGGACTCGGGGTGGGCGCTTTAAAGCATGTGGAGGAGGCAGCGGGTTACCAGGTGTTGGAGAACAGTAGAAAGGATACGGCGAAAGTCAAAGGCAAACGTTGTCTATGCTTTTGTTTTGTCCAGGGTCAGAGGGTACCAGAATACCACTGATAATCAGCACCATTCTTGCTCTTTGGTTAAAGGTATCAGGATTCCTTTGAAAGGTGGAAAGCTTCATTGTTCTTCAGTTCAAATTCATTAGGTCTCGCCAACTTTGACATCTCAAGAAAGGAAGAAAGAGCAGGAGAAAGAGAAAGAGGAAGAGAGACGCATCCTTCCACCCTCTTTACTGTAAGTGAATTCCACGTAAGGTCTCCAGATTTTCCTGCATGGAAGGTTTGTTTTACCCACTCAGCTTCTAAAACCATGTGGACTCTGATAAGGGACCTGCTGTCGTTTCTGGTGCCACTGTTAGCAAGTCTGGTTTGGATGGAGGCTGGTTTTGAATCCCCTCTGCTGAATCGCCTCAAAGATGCTCGTGGGCAGTGGAGGAAGATGGGCAGCAGACTAGGTCCATGCCCTGACTATGGACTCCACTTGTTACGTCATCCTAGAAGAATTACTTAACTTTTAATGGCTTCGGTTCTTCAGCTAAAAAGTAGGGATTAAAAGACCTAACCCATAGGGTTGTGGCAAGGGTGATGGGAGACAATGTAGTGAGGCACTTAATAAAGTGTGCAACACACGGAAGCAATCAGTGAAGGCAGCTAGAGTGTGTTCATGACAATAAGCCCAGCTCCCAGACGGCACCATGCCCGCTCCCACCTCTGGGTCTCTGAGCATGTTGTACCCTGGGCTTGGGACTGTGTCTACCTCTCCCCCTAGTTAACTCCTCCACATCCTTCAGCTGTCAGCTGTGATGCTCTTCCTTATGGAAAACCTTTGGACAGCAACCACCTGGGCCTAATGTACTTCCTTAGCATATTTACACTAGTGTCACTCAAGTTGTCCTTGTTTATTCATCTGTATCCTCAATTGAGCCCACTGTAAGTTCTTTAAGGGCAGAGAGCGCATCCCCTGGGTACTATTTCCCCAAAGCCCAGCACAGAGTGAGGGTTCAACGCCCACTTTCAGAGAGGGAAAGAGAGAAGAGATCAAAGCATGAAGCATTTACCCACGCGACCATGCGGATCTGTGATCTCAAAGGAACTGTGACAAAAACATATACCTTTTGGAACTGGTGGCTGATGTAGACACAACCCTTTTCAAACAATATAGATAGCAGTCACAGAAACTAACATTTTGTTACACTGGAAAAATAGAACAAGAAATATTTTAGGGAAACATCTCCACTCCTTGGCTAGATCCTAAGGGACAAAAATCTAACTCTGTGAGACAAGCAATCTATTACCAAGATAGGCACTGTTCATTTTTTTGAGGTGAATTTTACATAGAAAATATTCCCAAATGTGTGTAAGGGTGGAATACCATGAAATAACATCACCCCAATCATGGGGCCTCTGAGATGGCTCTGTTTTTGTTTTTCTCTATGTTTAGTTGCAGGTATCAATATGCCCACCTTCTAATATCCTACATTTTTTTACAATAAATCTTTATAGCATCATATTTTTCTCATTAAAAGAAATATAGCAGTGCCAAATTGTTCTTTAGCCTTGCAGTTTGTTCCATAAACAACAGAAGGCACTCATATGGCAAAAACAGCTTTTTCATGGGCTGAAAAAGGAAAAAAGACGAGCATAAAAATGTTTTGGGGAAAACTTTTTTATGGGTCCTTATCTAAGACGTCCAAGTTTTAATAAGATTACAAAGAAAACCATTCTAGGGCTGAATAATAGAAATGTGACGCACATAACATGGTTGGAGTCTGCCTGCCTCCCTCCCAGCCCTACACACACAGCTGAGTTTAAGACCCTAGAGCGCCTGGAGACAATATGCCATGGGAACGCGACCCCACTGGGCTGTCCTGTGTGGGTGTCTCTGCAGCCCGTGCTCTGCTCCTCAGCTTCTGGGTCTGTGTGTATCCATCACATCCTTGGAGAAGACACCATGAGGAGGGACGCATGCATACTCGGAAGTCAAGCTGGCTTTCGTTTCTGTGATGGCTCTGACAATTAATTAGCTGTGTGACCTGAAGCACATCACATAACGTCTCTGAGGCTGCTTCCTCAGCTGTACCATGGGGAGGGTAATATTATCCAGTCTCACAGGAGGCTGTGAGGATTCACTGATGTGACGAGGTACAGGCATCCAGCGCTGCGTGGGACACACAGCGGGGCATCCTCACAACTGAAATCTACACTTCCTTCTGATGTGTGCGCCTTATTTCCTATGATCTCCTGGAATTGCATCTCTGTCCTGCTCTATCACAATGACTCCACATCCCCACATACCAGGCTCTTTCATGCTTTGTCTCCTGGCCTCTAAGTGGCCTTTGGAGACCCTCTTTCAAGCAGCTTTGTAAAACAACCTGGGGTCAGGGACAAATGGGGCCATGGACACACAGGCTCAGGTTCCTGTCCTCCGTGGGAAGCCTGCCGGAGACCAGCCAGCTCGGGGCACACTCCTTGGATCAGCACAGGGATCCTGCACTTGCTTCATATCACTTACTGATCAATCTGAGAGTCTGTGGAATTAAACTCCTCTTTGGCCAGGCATGGTGGCTCACACTCGTAATCCCAGCACTTTAGGAGGCCAAGGTGGGAGGATCACTTGAGGTCAGGCATTCGAGACCAGCCTGGCCAACATGGTGAAACCCCATCTCTACTAAAAATACAAAAATTAGCCAGGCGTGGTGGTGCGTGCCTGTAATCCCAGCTACTCAGGAGACTGAGGCAGGAGGATGTCTTGAACCCGGGAAATGGAGATTGCAGTGAACAGAGATTGTGCCACCGCACTCCTGCCTGGGCGACAAAGCAAGACTCTGTCTCAAATTAAAACAAAACCTCCTATTTAAAAGGCTTTTTGGCCGGGCACGGTGGCTCACCCCTGTAATCCCAGCACTTTGGGAGGCCGAGGCAGGCGGATCACGAGGTCAGGAGATCGAGACCATCCTGGTTAACATGGTGAAACCCTGTCTCTACTAAAAATACAAAAAAATTAGCTGGGCGTGGTGGCGGGCGCCTGTAGTCCCAGCTACTTGGGAGGCTGAGGCAGGAGGATGTCTTGAACCCGGGAGATGGAGATTGCAGTGAGCAGAGATTGTGCCACCGCACTCCTGCCTGGGCGACAAAGCAAGACTGTCTCAAATTAAAACAAAACCTCCTATTTAAAAGGCTTTTTAGGGACGTAAAGCCATTTTTTAAAGTCGCCAAGTTTGGTTTGATGACCATATTACATCTAGCAATGGTTCTAGGCATTGTAGAGATAAATTGGTGGCAGAGTTGTCCCAAGAACGTGCAAAATACAAGCAACTGCTCAGTTTCAGGATTCAGAAACCAGGCCTCTGCAGCTGGAACCAGGTTTCTGGGGCTGCCCTGAAAGCAGTACGGGGAGGAAGTAGGTAAAGTGCCAGCTCACGGTTCATTCGTTCACTCATCACTCATTCAGTCGACAGCACTCATCGCACACTTACCACACGCCAGGTCCCCACTCTGATCTGGAGACACACAGAATAAGACACTGCCCCGCCAGTTAGTCCACAGCGACACAGGAAGACAGCAAGTGGCTGGTCAGCTAACATACAGAGTGATTAGCCCCGGTGAGGAAGGGCATGGCAGAGAGGCCTTCTTGGAGGAGAGGAACCTTGGACAGCACCGTAGGGCACGAGCGGGAGTGACTTGGCTGGAGGGGTCCCAGACAGAGGAATGAGGTATCCACAGGGAGGGGCAGAATGGCAAGGCAGGTTGGTGGAATTGCCCTGGGGTCCTGAGCGTCATCTCTAGGGTGGAGCCGCGGGCAACCCGACACTGAAGCAACTTGGTCAACACGCTAGGGAGTCTGGATTTTATTCTGAAGACATTGGAAAATGAAATCATCCCATTAAATTCAACTTCTACAAGGCCAGGGTTCTGCCTGCTTCATTTTCATACACCTCTAAGCCTCAGATACAAGACTCAGATACAAGATTCTCAATTAATGTTTATTAGACTCAGCAGGTGAAGGAGTTGCTTTCTAAATTGATCTCATTGGCTTATAAAAGAACAAAATATGTATATGATCTTAATTTCCTAAGCTCAAACTTTAACTTTTCAGTAAATGTTTCCCTCAATAAGATTTAGTTAAAGATTTATTGGATAACATAAATCAAACTGGGCTGCTACGTTGGGGCATGTGTACAGGACAACTGCGACAAGTATACATGTGTCCCTGCAGAGTGCCAGTGGCCTCCTGGGCAGGCAGAGGGCAGGGCCCTGCACTGCTCACCCTCCGCCCTCGCACACCCAGCAGAGGGGGCGATGACATATCCAGAGAGCGGGGCCAGGAACAGGCCGCTGTAGATAGAGTAAGTCCTTTATCTAAACTGGACAAATGTTTCATTACACATCATGAAACAAAACATCTAAATGCGTTTTAATATAAATCTTTTTAAATGTTTTGTAGAGACAGCATCTCACCCTCGCCCAGGCTGGAGTGCGGTGGCGCAATCACAGCTCACTGAAGCCTCCGCCTGCCAGGCTCAAGTGATCCTTCCACGTCAGCCTCCAGAGTAGCTGGGACTACAGGTGTGCACCACCATGCCAGGCTAATTTTTAAATTTTTTTTTTTGCCAAGACAGGGTCTTGCTGTGTTGCCCAGGCTAGTCTCCATCTCCTGGATTCAAGCGATCCTCCTGCCTCAACCTCCCAAAGTGCTGGGATTACAGGCATGAGCCACTGCACCTGGCCCTCGCATGAATCTTTAAAATCGGTGGCCAGTTAAATTGCTTAGCACATTTCCAGCCCCCGACCTTTATTTATTTTATTTTTCGGCATAGGTGTGGTGGACCTGAGAGAATGACTTTGTACGCTCTGGTATTCCACCCTGTGCTCCATGAGTCGTCCAGGCTGATGGTAGCAACAGCCTGTTCTCTAGAGTCAGAGTCCACAGCAGCTAATTTCAGTTCCTTTTTCTACTGAACAGCTGTATGAGCTTGGAGAAGTCACTCCAGTCTGAAGTCAACTTCTTCACCTAAAACATGGAAATGGCAGTACCTAGTCTGTGTAATCATTTGACACAATGCCTGCCACGTAGTAGTTGGAGCCAACTGCTGAATAAATCTATCCATCCACTCATTCAACCGCTGTTTATTGAAAACCCACCACGTGCCAGACACATTTTTAGATTCTGGGTAGAGTGAGGAACAAGATAGACAAAATTCCTGTCCTAGAGGAACTTACGTGAAAACTAGTAAACATGTTGATAAATGATGGAGTATAATTCCAGAAGGGATGGGGGCTTCAAGGAAAATAAAAAAGAAAAGGAGGTGCTGGGCACTCACTCCTATAATCCCAGCACCTTGGGAGGCTGAGGCAGGAGGACTGCTTGAATCCAGGAGTTGGAGACCAATGTGACAACATAGAGAGACCCTGTCTCTATTAAAAATAAATAAATAGGCCAGCCGCAGTGGCTCATGCCTGTAATCCCAGTACTTTGGGAGGCCGAGGAGGGTGGATCACCTGAGGTCGGGAGTTCGAGACCAGCCTGACCAACACGGAGAAATCTCGTCTCTACTATAAATACAAAATTAGCCGGTGTGGTGGTGCACGCCTGTAATCCCAGCTACTCAGGAGGCTGAGGCAGGAGAATCGCTTGAACCCGGGAGGCAGAGGTTGCGGTGACCCCAGATCGTGCCATTGCACTCCAGCCTGGGTAACAAGAGTGAAACTCCATCTCAAAAAACACAAAAAACAAAAAACAAACAAACAAAAATATGCCAGGCACGGTACCTCACGCCTGTAATCCCAGCACTTTGGGAGGGTGAGGTGGGCGGATCACGAGGTCAGGAGTTCGAGACCAGCCTGGCCAATATGGTGAAACCACCTCTTTACTAAAAATACGAAAACAAAATTAGACGGGTGTGGTGGAGGGCGCCTGTAGTCCCAGCTACTCGGGAGGCTGAGGCAGGAGAATGGCGTCAACCTGGGAGGCGGAGCTTGCAATGAGCCGAGATCGCGCCACTGCACTCCAGCCTGGGTGTCAGAGCGAGACTCAGTCTCAAAAAAAATAAATAAATAAACAATAAATGAAAAGTAAAGAAAGAAAAGTGTACTAGGAAATAAAGGGATTGTTGAGGAGAGGACAACTACTTGTCCTAGGCTGGTCAGGACAAACATTTCATAGGAAGTGATGTTTGAACCGACAAACGGATTCATTCCTTAGGAACGGAAACGAAGAAGCAGACATGAGGGTCTGGTGAAAGGGCATTTCAAGCGGAAGGAACTGCAGATGCACATTCTCTGAAATAGCAAAAGCTCGGTGTATTACAGCCACCAACAAAAAGCCTGTGAGGCTGAAGCTTAAGGAATGAGTGAAAGTGGAGTGTGATGGAGACAGAGAACCAGGCAGGGGCCAGATCACACTGGGCGATTTGGGAATTTACTTTATTTTAGTTTATTTATTAGAGACGGAGTCTCGCTCTGTCACCCAAGCTGGAGTGCAGTGGTGTGGTCATGGCTCACTGGAGTCTTGAACTCCTGAACCCAAGTGATCCTCCCACTTCAGCCTCCTCAGTAGCTGGAACTACAGTCATGCACCACGGCACCCAGTTAATTTTTAAACTTTTTTGTAGAGACGGGGTCTCGCTATGTTACTCAGGCTGGTCTTGAACTCCTGGCCTCAGCAATCCTCCTCCCTTGGCCTCCCAAAACACTGGGATTACAGATGTCAGCCACCGTGCCTGGTCTGCATTTTATTTTAACAGCAGTGGGCAGTCACTGAAGAGTTTCCGTCTGGACTGTTGTGTAATCTGATGTGTTTCCAAAAGACTTCTCTGGCTGCTAAGTGTAGAGTGGACCACACGCTAGGGAGAAAGGAGGGGGCAAGACTGCAAGTACAGAGACCATTTCAGAGTCTTCGGTAATAGTCCTGGTGAGAGGGGGTGGTGGTCAGTTGGCAAAAAGAGTGGGGTTTTTTCGTATTACCTGGAATTTACCACAAGGGACCAAAGCTGAGGACAAAGAAGGATTGAGAGCCCCACATTCTGAGAAGTGTCAACAATTGAGACCAAACAGTCTCTAAAGCTTGTCAAGAGCTAGGCCTGCTCCCAACAGTCACCACCCACAACCTTCTGCATCTACAGAAAGGGCTGGGGAGGGTAGAGGGAAGAGATGTGGGGGTTGAGGGGTCCGTCAGCGTTGTGGAGATGCAGTTTGTGGTGAGAACTTTCTCCCTCTCAAGTGAAAACCAAAGAAGGGGTATGCTCTGATAGAGACAGGCATGCTGGCAAGAAGTAGAGAACGGCATTCCAATCTCTGGTTGAACAGTTAGGTGGGCCCCTGCCAATTTGCTGATCTATGCTGGGCTTATCTGAGAAGGGAAAAGAAAATTGTAGAATGGCAGGTTTAAGAGAAAGGCAGAAACAGGGAGCTGCCTGCATGGCCACTGTTCCTTGTGGCAAAGACACAGCTGTCTTCATGAATCACCAGGTTGTAATGCAAAGTAGCTGGACTCAAGCTATCTTGCCCATACCCTTGGCAATACCCAGCAAGAAACATGCCCTGCAGTTTAGGGGATCCCAGAAGCAAGAGGTGTGAGGCCAGCTGCCAACCAGAATAGTTGTGATGGGGTACTGCGTGAACAGTTCAAGCCACGATGGATCTCCTGTATCAGGAGACTGTGCTGTGGGGACGCCCAGCAAAGCCCTGGGAAGTAGCTCCCCCAAAAGACATCTGCTTCAGAAAGATGATCAGTGGTTCATCATCAATTTTAATCGATTGTAATTATTATTTATCAATTTTAATCTGCAAGTTGTTTAAAGGCTTATTTTTTTTTCTTTTTATGGTTAGTGGTTTTGGTCCAGCCTTGGTCCATCTCTGAAAACATCACTGCTCTCTGACAACACAGGCTGTGCTTCTCTGGTAGCTCCACGCACACATCCCCTTCACAATTCCACGCTTCCACTGAAGTTCTGACGTTTGCCTTTGACTTCCCAAATCTTCCCATTCTCCAATTCTTCCCATGCTCCAAAAACAGCTCTGTTGCTACATGCTTTTTGCAGCCTTTCCAAACAACTTTGGCTTAAAATGAGCAGTTTCCTCATGCACCTTCTAGAGGACTTGCAATCTGTAGGTCATACAGATCTGTCTTCATGTGTTGCTTCAAAATGGTTTCGTCTACCCAGATAGCTGAGAACTTAAGAGCAAGAACCTGGTCTTATAGTTTCAGTTGTGGACCCCACAGTCAGTATCAGCAGACACATAGTGGACCCTAAATAAACACACGTGGACTGTAAATGTGGAGCACTTAGCTCTTTGCAAAACAAACAAAGACTAAGAAACAGACGCAGAAAACATTATGGTTCAAATTGATATGACTGTTAATTCCTTATACCATATTCTATCTAGCATGCTCACCAAACTGCCCAAACATTTACAAACAAGAATTAACCTAGGTATACTGAATTTTCATCTAATTCACAATCAAATACCATCCATGCTTAACCCAAAGCCTGTAGTATTTAAACCACAAGGGAGAAGTGCAATAACATCAAAGCGTTGGAAAGTAGAAACCCAAGACCAACCCTTAATACTGATATGGAAGATAACCGCGTGGCTGTGTCACCTGCTGAAACAGCAAATCCTCTCCCTAGAGTGTCTTTGTTCTTTCACTCTGCATTTCCAAATATATATATATGCTAAATATTAACTTGTGCCTCTTTGACCCAGATTCCCAAAAAGGTATCAAACAGAGGGAAGGATTCTTCATGGGGTCCACACCACCCAAATTCCCAAAGATGGTTTTAAGAAAAAGATTCCTTTGATGCTTAATAGAATCAGACATTTGGACTAAAACAGCCCTGTCTCTCTCCTCTATCGCCGCCACCACTGCTAACAATTATAAGCTTTCGGTGTTCTGAATAATTCACAATCTCATCTGTTCTACTCAGTGTAAAGACAATGTTGAGAGTACAAGGTCACTTTTTTTTCCCTTCCCAACTACTGGCTTTTCCAACGCGACACCAGTCTGACTGCATGATACACCTAGTGTCTGACACGCTTCTCCTGACAGCTTCGTAACAGCGTTAGTCTATTTAGCTTAGGGTATACAAAATAATCAGGGTGCAGTGGAGTGTCAGATTCTCTCCACAGTAATAAACACAGGTTCAACATTTCCCCTTCATTTTACCTCAATACGCTGAAAACACCACAAAGTTACCTTTTATTATAATGCTGACCAGTACGATCCGCAGATAGATTTAAAATACCAGACTGCCTGGATATTAATGGTATGTTACATATTACCCACATTTTTAAAAAACCAAAATTATAATAACTTTATAAGAGATTAACATCTGTGAATATGCCCCTCTGGGGTCATCTGGAAAATCTTGCAAACGTAGAGTCATGCAACATATAATCTTGGAGTAGAAAGGAAACTGGGAGTCTGGCAATGCTCCGATTTCATGCACTCGTTTTCATCTGAAAGTGATACCAGTCAGAGGAGAGAGGCAGGTTTTGGTAACCCTGAAATAAAACCCTAACCTGAAGTGTTCAATTATTATTTTTTTACTTTAATTAAACTCTCTCATGTCTTATAAACGTAGACTTTGTAAAGGGAAAATATTTTTAAAGTTCTTAAAAGGTAAAAGCCATATAATAAACACTTTCTTTAGGCAGAAAAATTATACCACAAAGTAGCGTTGAGGTAATGCACCTCTCTCTCCCAGACCACAGCTCCACAAACACCATCAAAAGACCCGCATTTGGACTACGTCTCTGGGTTAATATTTCTTAAACCGCTTAAAAATAACTCCTCAGTATGTTTTTATTGTGAAAAATGTCAGAAATCGAAGAAAAATAAGACAACAAACACCCACATACCCATCACCTCCATTCAAAAATGACTGCCCCATCTGCCCATTCTTTCTTTCCTTTCTGAAGTATTTCAAGGCAAATCTCAGAGAGTATTTCACCCCACCACATCCACCGCAGTATCAAAGGATTCGCTTCTTTTTATTCATTCTTGTTAATTTTGGAGAACTCAAATTGGCTCATGCAACTTCTCATTACAGACCATCCTGGACTGAGGAGGAAACTCTACAGATGAGCTCTGCCACTCCATCTTGGGAGCCAACCAGATACATTTACATATATATCTTTATCCTAGAAAGTGTACCGTGGAGTCGGATGGCCTGATAAAGGCCTACCACATCTCCATTCATCCAAAAGATGAATGTTCACACAGCACAGCCTTCTTGGTTTTAATGTCATCTCATCTGGGACTATGCAGAATGACTAAATGGTATCTCTAGAAGAAACACAACAGTGAAAAATAATTGCGAAAAAGCAAGGGACATATGATCTGGGTAAACAAAGGCCCCCGTTTTTATTACCACCATCTTAAATTCAGTCAATTTAACATGAAGAAAAGTGTTTATGAAATAGATATGGTTTATCATATTATTTACGTTTTATAAGAATGGATTCATGTAATTATTACACAATTAAACATAAACGTTTAAAAGGAAAAAGGAGCAGATTACTATTATTTACGTTGAAGTCAATTTTTAAAAATGCGGTAAGTATCCAAGTGGATCAAAATAGGAAAGCCACAGCTTTCTAATATTTCCAAATACCAGGCAGTATTTTCACTGTTAGAAATTGTCGGTAGACTGTTAAAGCGGAAGTAATTCTATTTTAGTCCTTATTTAAAATAATAGTTCATAAAATATATTACTGATATAAGCATGTACTAGGAGATATTTAACTATAAATTTTTTTTTTTTTTTTTTTTTTCTGAAATGGAGTCTCACTCTGCCACCCAGGCTGGAGTGCAGTGGCATGATTTTGGCTCACCACAACCTTTGTCTCCTGGGTTCAAGCAATTCTCCTGACTCAGCCTCCCAAGTAGCTGGGATTACAGGCGCGTGCCACCACATCCAGCTAGTTTTTGTACTTTTAGTAGAGACGGGGTTTCACTATGTTAGCTAGGCTGGTCTCAAACTCCTGAGCTCAGGTGATCCGACTGCCTAGGCCTCCCAAAGTGCTGGGATTACAGGTGTGAGCCACTGTGCCCGGCCCATTTAACCATAAATTTGTATCCAGTATCTTTTCTAGTTTTCTAACAAAAATTTCAGGTTCCAGACAAGCAAAGGCACATTGGTACTCCGCACTTACTTTCACTTACCGATGACAGCCACTTTCGATTGTCATATTTACATGCTATTAACACACTGAAACTACTCTTGAAGAAAATAATGCAAAACTCTACATAGAAAATAATGAAAATTTTATCTTTGCTTCTTTAACACAGCACATGACAAAGCATATACTAATATAATGAAGAAATCACAGAACTTGATATAACTATCCATATCCTCACTACTGTCCTTGAAATAACTTGGCAATTACCTTGAAGATGCCCATCCCTCCTAATGTTTGGGGTTGGGCATGCCTATGGGAAGGGCACTGCATTGTAAGACTTCTTGACTTTTCATCAAGGTCCACTGGTATTTGAATTATAAAGCATTTTCTAAATGTTGCTTTAAACCACATATTTCTTGTTGATTTTTTAACAGCTGGCAGTAATAAACACTTAATTGCTGGACAATAATTACCACACTACCAATTAAAATTAAATTTTAAAATGACGATGGGCCAGGCATGGTGGTTCATGCCTGTAATCTCAGCACATTGGGAGGCCGAGGCGGGCAGATTACCTGAGATCAGGAGTTCGAGACCAGCCTGGCCAACATGGCGAAACCCTGTCTCTACTAAAAATACCAAAATTAGCCGGGTATGGTGGTACACATCTGTAATACCAGCTACTCTGGAGGCTGAGGCAGGAGAATCGCTCAAACCCAGGAGGTGGAGGTAGCAGTGAGCTGAGATCACACCACTATTCTCCATCCTGGGCAACAGTGAGACTTCGTCTGAAAATAAATAAAATAAATAAATAAATAAAATGATGATGTATTACTATAACATGTTAGAAATCTGGCACATCTGAGTTATAATTAAGTAGTTTGGGTTCTACAGCCAGATGTGGTAGTGTGTGCCTGTAGTCCTAGCTGCCCAGGAGTCTGAGGTGGGAGGATTGTTTGAGCCCAGGAGTACAAGACCAGCCCGGGCAATATAGCAAGACCTTTGTCTCAAAAAAAACCACCACCACCACCACCAACAACAAAAAACTTGGTTTCTGCTCCTTTGAGCTGAAATTTCAACATGAAAAGAGACTATGGTAGTATTGTTTTCTTCTCAATGTTGGGCTATATTTAATGTAATAGTGAGAGGGTTTATAATGCCCAAAAGATCTTTGGGGAAAAAAGGAAGTCTTATTTTCTCATTCATGTCCAACCTATGGGAATATCTTTAAATATATCTGTTATTAAAGTGACAATTACATAGACAAATGCTAACAAAATGCATGCTATTATAGTATTAAATATTTCTAAATTGCAGGAAATTCTACCAAGGCTGTCACACTTAATCATTAAAGATAGGATGACCATATGTCCCAGTGTGGCTGGATAATCCCTATTAAAGAAAAAAATGATAGCTTTACAACTTAAAGATGTGAAGGAGACTGGAGTCAACCTCTTACTCAATGAGTTTTTTACTTTATTAAAGGGGAACAGGAGGAGTTTGTAGGAGAAATTACCCGACAGATGAGCAGCTGACAATCAGTAGTGCTGCCTACTACTGTGTTCTCCCAGAACCACGTCATTTTAGACATGAAAGAAGTATCTAGTCTAGTGGTTTACAAACTCTGCTTCTCGAGGCTCCTTAGGGGATTTGCTGCTGGTAACTTAGAGGCTACTTGGCAAAGAGGCAAAACCTTCACTCTCATTCAAGAGATCCTCTCCACTCTTATCTGTTTTACATAAGATTTCCAAAGTTGGCTTAACAAGGTTTGAAGAGATCCCTTTTTGTAGATGATGCCCAGAGAAGTGGCAAGTCCAATTGACCCGCCAGGTTTGTGGCACAGATGTAATCAGCACAGAGGTGTCTGTCTGGATGGGACTCAATTTTCCGTACCGCGCCAACTCAGAGGCTGATCTGGTTACTGAAATGAGGCTTCTGATGTGCAACAGGAAGAGGAGAAGAAAAGGTCTATTTTTATGCCATGAGTCAGGTTCATACTTAGTAAGAATAGATTTTCCATAAAAATAGAAATTATCTATTCTAAAATTTTGGTTGAAAAGAATTCCATTCTATGTGAGTAAGAGATAAACTGTCAATGTTCCTCTTTCCTCCTTATTCAAGAATATATAAATCTCAGTGATTATAACTTCCAGTGACTATGATGGACTGGTTGGAAGCAGTGTCTCTGCCTCCCAAAATGTAGAACACACAGAAATATTGAATAAAATACACATTTTTCAAAGAGTGCAATCAAAAAATTTATGTGGCCCACCTTGAAAACAAAAAAGGAAAACCTCTGGGAGCAAGACCCCGTGGGGGAAACTGAGAGCCTAAAGCAGGGGCCTCACTAAAGTCGAGCGGCCAAAAGAAGTCTCCAACTGAATGGTCATTTAAAGGACAGGAGTTTTGATGTCCACACTGGGTCCAGGAACTGGGGAAGCTGGATTTTCTCACTGCATGAACCTGGTGATGAAAAGGACACTCCAATCTCTGAGAAAATGTTCAGGAAAAATTCTACCCATGGCTCCATTATCTGGCCATGGAGGTGCTCAGGTCACTGGTGGAGAAAGTCTTTTTGAAAGAGGAGAACCTGAAGTGTCTGCAACGTGTGGGTTTCAAGGCAATATTTTTACAATGCTTGTGAACTCTTGATTGAGATATTAAATAAAAACTGGTATGAAACCCTTAGGGCCCAGCAGAGGCAAATGCAAAAGTATTCTACAGGGACACCACAGAGCTCCTGGGATGTGACCAAAGATGAGTTTACAGCAAAAATTATAAAGCATATGGAGAAAATGACTATTCTGCGATCCACTATGGGCAGAAAGCATACTCCATGAACGACAGAACAAGAGAAGAATCTAAAAAAGATAATCATAATAATAAAAGAAAACACAGACTATATAAATGGCTCATGAGCATGACCTACATCCTTATTTCCTGCTCCCACTTTCTTTTATATATTTAATAATTATGTACACCCGAGTATCTGTCTTTATAGACTGCTAGCTCTTTGAGGCCAGACTTCAACGATGGCTTGTTCATCAAATTGTCTCAAGGCACAGGGCCCTGCCTTGCATGTGGGAAAACAGGCAATGCACTCAAAATGTCATCTACATGTATGTCCAATACAGGCATTTCATTGCATTTCCAGACTATGAGGAGTACTGATCGACATTTTATACTAAAGATGATAATAATAATTCCAAGTAATCATATTATAAGCAATATATCTCTTTCTTAATATATACATATATTAATACACACATATATATGCATATATATAATCTGTCATATTCAACAAAATATTTTAAAAGCGCACACAGAAAAAAGGAAACCAAATACCTTGCTCTGATGAAAGAGCTAAAGCAAATAAAGACACTGCGGATCACTCAAGGGAAGGCAGTCATTTTAGTAACTGATGTGGGTTTTCATAGGCTAGCTAAGCAACTTCGAATTGCTGGTTTGTGCAGTGCTGCGAGAGATCCTTCCCTGCTCTTAGGTCCGTGCCAGATCCTTGCAGCGGCCCCTGCCCCGACCTGGTGTGCAATCCCTTCTCTTGTCTTCAAGCGCAGCCTCCAGAGCTTGGCAGCCCTCGGGCTTGTCCAGAGCCTCCTCTTCTGTGGCACTTACTGCCTGTGCTGTTCGTTTCAGCACAAAACATGGAGCCCGCAGCGCATGACATAGGGTTTTGTCTTAAATCTCTTGTTATCCCCAAACCTACACTAGCACCATGCTGCACACAGTTAGTGCTCCACCAATTTTCATCTCTATTGATGACAGGCCAGCTCCACTGTATGCGCTGGAGGCATTCATTAATCAAATCACGAAATGTCACAGAGGGATGGAGCTGATTTCCACCTCCTTTTTTTTTTTTTTTTGCACACTGGGGACTTCAGGCACTGGGAAAGGGCATGTGATAAGCCAGTGGTGAGGTAGGCCCAGGATATGTGACTTCCAGACACATCTCATTTCCTTTATGATAGTCACCTTCATCATCATACCAACCAAAGCTGATGTTGATTGGGGTTTATTATGGACCATGCACTCAGCAGCCCCAGCAGATAGTTCTTAGTACTATTTCCATTTTACAAGGAAACAGAAACTCAAAGAGGTTAAGCTGCCCAGCTCACCCAGCTAGTACATTTCTTTTTTTTCTTTTTCTTTTTTTTTGTTTTTGAGATGGAATTTCGCTCTTGTTGCCCAGGCTGGAGTGCAATGACTAGACCTCGGCTCACCGCAACCTCCACCTCCCAGGTTCAATCTATTCTCC
This sequence comes from Homo sapiens, assembly GCF_000001405.40. NCBI lineage: Eukaryota > Metazoa > Chordata > Mammalia > Primates > Hominidae > Homo > Homo sapiens. Next base: position 182,278,273 of record NC_000004.12, on the reverse strand, counting down.
TGCCTCAGCCTCCCGAGTAGCTGGGATTACAGGCATGCGCCACCACACCCAACTAATTTTTGTATTTTTGGTAGAGACAGGGTTCCTCCATGTTGGTCAGGCTGGTCCTGAACTCCTGACCTCAGGTGCTCTGCCTGCCTTGGCCTCCCAAAGTGCTGGGATTACAGGCGTGAGCCACCGTGCCTGGCTGCTAGTACGTTTGTTATTGGCAGTTAATTACTTCTCAGTTCTGGTCTGCATGGAAAAATATCAATGGCAAAAGAAACAAACAGGATCCAGGCCAAGAAATGGAGGATTCCTGTAACAGGGTTGAGGGCGGTAGGGAGTGGGTCCCACCAGCTAACTCCTTGTCCTCTCCCTGAGTTGTAAATGTTATCTAAGTATATCTAAGTAATTTTGCACTACTGTTTAAATAAAAGGATTCTTCTAAAAATTTCCTCAGGTGCTTAGAATTTAAAATTGCCTGCTGAGCAGCATTTATTGATAGAACTGGACCACTTGGTAAAATAAAGAAAAAAGTAGTGATTTTACTGGCAACAAGAGCAGTTTTGCCTTCAGTAGTTGGATATGGTAGAGAACTGGGACTCTATCCTATTTTGTCATCCCTTCATAAGGCAACGCCGTACTGCTTAGATAATTCACTTGTTCCCAGGAGATGTCTAGCCTAACAACACAGCCAGAAGGGCCCTACTATTATGAGTGAAGAGTAGCTATAAAAATAAACAATAATAGCAACCAACATTCCTTTGTTCTGAATGGGAAGCTTATTATTCCATCTACCTTTGAGCAACCCACAGCCCAAAATGTAGTGTATAATTTTGCTTTTTAACAGTTTCATATTAAAGAGTGCTTGAAAATACCTGGTTTCTCTGAAACAGATGGAAAAGAAGACAATAAAAAAATTAAAAAAACAACAACCCCCACCCCCCAACTCTACCTCTGTGAACATACTTGCCTAACATAAGGTTTCTCTGAAATGAGATATTTTCACCCCAGGAAAAATCTGTGGATTTGGTTAACATTGCTATCTAATCTGGCACTGCATACTCAACATAAACTAATTCCACCAAACTCCATCTTATTCTGACCACACTGCAGAATTTCTAAGCCTATTATTGCCTGGTTTATGCTTTTTCTTTAAACATTCCCAAGTAATAGGACCTGACCTCACAGAAAAGCTGTTTTAATATTGCCATTTTATTTTCACATCAGGACATTTTGTTCAGACGTAGACATCAAAGGCCATTGCCAAAGAGGCCTTTTATAAATGCTTCTTGCTCTTTCCATACTATCCTTCATATTAATGAAAGTAAAATTAACACAGCTCTTTCTGTTTCACAAGGTAGTCCTGTTTACAGGACTGAGCTGAGTTCAGTGTTTACAACACAGAGCTGAGTTCATTTCATTTTACTTAGCAGACTTTATGCCCAGCAGAGAGATATCAAAGTTTGCCAAGTGGAAAGCTCTATATATACATACAGACGAAATATATGAAATACGTCACTTTGAAAGATAATAAGCAGAAGGTAAACAATAGGAAATCAGATAACCTAAGAAAATTCAGCTGATAATTTTCACTGAAACATTATTTCCTCTAGGCAAATAACATAGTTAAGTGCTGCACATTATTTAAAATAATTGGACAGCAGTGCTTAAAAATATGGCCAAGATTAGTTCACGTTCAGTGGGAAAAGACCTTTGATGATTTTATTGAAAATTTGTTTATAATAATGTTTACTGATTCTTGGCATTTAAACAAGTGTAACACCGCAAGTCCTCTGGAGACAGGTTCGCATTCGAGTCAAAGGCTTGATGGAAACCTTATGCTCTTTTCAACACCTTATCACAAATGTTATCTCAAGAGGGCTAGAAGAATGAAAGGCCTAAAGAGTGTTCTGCCCGTTTAAACACTAAAACATGATGTCATGTATGGTTACCTGATAACCGTTTAAGTTGACTTGAATTCTATTCTTTTCACGTGATAAAAGGTCAATGAGAGACATCTGGTTTGACCGTAAAGGGCAAAAACCTCTCATGCTCTGTGCTTATGTGGAAAATGATGTGTCTGCTCCAATGTTACTGATATTTCTGTTCCAGGATCACACCAAAGACCCTCTCTTTTTGGATCTGTGGGCTCTCTGGTGCCTAAGCCTGGCCAGCCCCCTCTTTAAATCCCTGCCCAGCTGGAGACTTCTCATTACTCAGGTCTCAGTGCAAATTCACTCCTGAGAGAGGCCGTGCTTGACCAGCCAAGTCAAGCAGCTCCCTTATTCCTCTAACACATAACACCTTAAAAAAATTTTTTTTGATTGATTGACTGATAATTTTTTAAAAGAGATCAGGTCTTGCTCTGTTGCCAGGCTGGAGTGCAGTGGCATGATCATGGCTCACTGCAACCTCAAACTCCTGGGCTCAAGTGGTCCATCCTCTCACCTCAGTCTCCTGAGTAGCTAGCACTTCAAGCATGCGGCACCATGCCCAGTTAATTTCTAAAACTTTTTGGAGAAATGGGTCTTGCTATGCTGCCCAGGCTGGTCTCAAACTCCTGGCCTCAAGCAATCCTCCTGCCTTGGCCTCCCAAAGCACTGGAATCACAGGTGTGAGCCACCACACCTGCCCCATAACATCTCTCTTCTTTTTTTTTAAAGAGTACTTACTATGCTCTAAAATTATCTTATCTGTTCACTTCTCCATTACCCCAGCAAAATACCAAAGTTTCACGAAAACAAGGATCTTTATTTCCACTTTATTCCCAGGGCCTAGAACACTGCTTGTCACACTGCAGGTGTTCTGTCAAAATCTGCCTAAGGAATGCCTGTGTGGTGGTGTTGAGAAAGCCAAGTAATGTTTCCACAAATCTGAGGGTGAAAGCAAGTACAGTGTAACAGATGCCAGGAACAACGTGAAGAATAAGACACACTACTTGCCCTTGAAGAGCTCCCAAGCTGCAAGTGTGATGTCTCATACGTGCCCAGGGGCAAGTCCTGCACCTGTTTCTTATGGTCTTTCCTGCTAAACAGGGATGATGTGTAAAAATGGCCATCACACCTGGTTCAGGAGAGCCAGCACACAGGAGGAAACTCTGCCATTACACGAGACGACAATAAAAACTAACCAACTAATCAACACTCCAATTAAATAAAAAATACTGCTGGGTGCGGTGGCTCAAGCCTATAATCCCAGCACGCTGGGAGGCCAAGACAGGTGGATCACTTGAGGTCAAGAGCTCGAGACCAGCCTGACCAACATGGTGGAACCCCATCTCTACTAAAAATACAAAAATTAGCCAGGTGTGGTGGTGCGTGCCTGTAATCTGAACTATGCGGGAGGCCGAGGTGGGAGGATTAGCTTGAACCCGGGAGGCAGAGGTTGCAGTGAGCTAAGATGGCACCACTGTACCCTAGCCTGGGCGACAGAGCAAGACTCCATCTCAAAATAATAATAATAATAAATACTAAACCAACAAATAAATTAGAGACCACTGGACTTAAACTCAGAAATAGCCATTTAATCTCAAGGTATTCTGTCTATGTACTCTAAAAGTAATCATTATCTTGCAAGTTTCAGAGCTCAAATACAAAGTCAAATGACCTCAGCTTTAATTTGGTAGACTTTCTACGTATCTGCACTTATTTACATTTCAGAAACTCAGCATCCACGCCCAGGATGCTGCGGTTAAGCAGGCCTCCTTCAAGTGATGGAGGTAGAACACGGCGAACATGCGACCCCAGTCAAACTCACCCTCCTCACTCACCTCTTTCAATATCCAAACACGTCCTCACTCCACTTTGCCTCTGAACAGTCATCACTGAAGGTGACAAAGCTGCCAAGGACATCTTTTTGTTGCCATGCCAAACACTATATCGCTCCTTAGGGCTCAGTGGAAGCCGGGATTCCTGTCATCTCAGGAGTATCTCCTTTCTCCTCTCTGGGGAGGGCTTCCTGTGAATTAGGAGGCCTCTCCGTCCTTGCCCTGATCAAAATGCTTTCTTTATGACACTAAATAAAAAATGTAGAAGACTACAATGTACAAAACCAAGTGTAGCTTGTGTGAATTACCTATCCACCAGCTCAAACATTTTCTTAGCCCAGCTTCCCCTAGAAGTTTCTTCTCATGCTACTACCGTGATGTTAGCATTTTCTACTTTCTTTGAAGTCTCTTTCCATTTCCTTTTCAGTTTGCCCTGCTCACTCATTCTGGCCTCCAGCAAGACTGTCCCTATATGTTTCTTTCACATTGTTGCTGATTCTTTCTCTTGCTCTAACAGGTCCATTGTAGGGAGAAAGAACACCTGTATGTATACTTGAGAAGATGCTATTCTTATTTAAAGCATTAATAGGAGAAACATCCTTCCTCGAAAGATAACTATTTCCATGCTTTAATCTTTAGAATACAAAGCTCCTTCATTAAATTTAAACCAAAATATTTTTGTAAAGCTCAAATTTCCGAATTGGCATTCCTTCACACTTCTCAATTTACACGTCCCTTTGTCAAAGGAAAACAGGGTATTCACTGCTGGAAATTGCCTTGTGTTGAATGTGGCCTGCTCCTCAAGTCTGAATAGGGTAGGCCAAGCTCTTGGAGTGTTTTTGTCCTGATTTTTCTTTAATTGTTTTGCACCTGCCTTCTAACAGAATGTACATATTTTCCTCTTACAATCAGCATGTATCAATGAAATGCGGTACAATCAATGAGAGCTTCCTGGAAGATGTTTGAGAGAATAAGGATATTCGGCCAAAAAGGAACAAAGCAGGGACTTGTATTCTTATCATGTTACTGATTCACTCACAAGAGTAAAGAATAGCTCGCCCTAATCAGGCTTCTTGGGGTGAATTCCCCCAAGTGAATTATCTGTCTTTCAAAAATCTGACAGGTATAATTGGAGAATGCAAAATGCTTATCTTCTGGAAATTATCTCAGGTCTAAGAACGTGAACTCTGGAGCCAAACCACTGAGCTTAAACCCCAGCTATATAGCATGTATAAGTAGTGAAATCGCAGGCAAACGTCTTAACCTCTTCAGAGCTGTGCTTGACAGCACCTCCCTCTCCCAGGGCTGTCGGGGGATCGACTGAGAGGGCATAGTGCCCAGCACCTAACCTGTGTTCAAACAGTGTTAGTTATTTTGTTATGATTATGTCTGGAAGATTGGTCTGTTTCCACCAGAGGATATTAAACCATATCATCTTCTCCATATTCATCCCAGTTACAACCATCTTCACTGACCACCTGGTTACGCTCCTCTCCTCAACCCTCAAGACTAACTCACAATCAACTGTCTTTTACAAACTTAAATCAAACCTTGTCACTCCCCAGTTTAAAACCCTTCCAGATCCTGCAGGACTCATACCGCAGGTACCTACGAGTCTCTGATGCTCCCAACCCCTGCACCTGAAGGAAACCATCTCACTCAGCCATTCTCTCTCATGGTGCTTCATTCATGTCACTCACAGCACCTATCCCAAGCTGAAATCATTGCAGTAATGTATGTTCTTGCACACTGACTTTTCTCTTCTCTAGATTATAAACTCCATGAGGGTAGGGACCATGTCTGTCTTCTTCACCGTCAGAGCCCCAGAAGCTCCATAAACGTTCAACAAATAAATAATATTCAGTTTTATCATTATGACTAGTAACCATTACTTGAGTGTCGTGTTGGCATGAAGGACTTCCCTGTAGTAATTCAACAGCTTGCCTCTGCGGGAAACCAGTGGCCTAAGCTTGACAAAGTTTGTGAGTTCTTATGTATGTGTCGTAGTTCTGTTTCTGCCCTTGTTCTCAGAGGGTCAGCTTGGCGTTTCTGCAGGCTGGCCTCTCGGAAGATTTGCTCTCGTCTCATTTCATTTGTTTCTTTATCTGGTGAATCTCCAGCAAGTCTGTCATCACCATATCTAAACCTGTAGTAAATCAACTCTAGGTGGTTTTTCCAAAGAGCAATGCGTTGTTACTTTAGAGGAATGTGGGAAATATTTGAGACTGCTGGGACATTTATTTTGCTTGCTTACTAATTCTTGGCTGAATTACAGTGTGGAGGATTGAGATTAATGACCTATAGTTAAGTAAGTCGTTATTATGGAAAAGAATGCAAACTAAATATTTCAGTCTACGGAACCTTTGCAAAAATACGTCGACTCAATAAATAAGACATCTATACCTCGAACTCATGTAGGTGGAAATGGGTGGACCAAAATTTTGGGTTATGTTCACTATACAATAATTCACCCTATATTTTTATATCTCTGTTGAGAGCTGTGTGGAGACAAACCACATCTAATCAGCTTAAACTGGCCGAACGGTCACGAGGACTGCGCAAGGGCAGAGCTGCCGCCTGTTCACACACCCTCCGTGAAGTCACCTGGCAAATCCCTGCTGCACCTGCTCTCACAGAAAAAATTAACAATAAGAAGCATCTCAGAGCTGAGATTAGACTTTTAGACCCTCCTGCGCAATAATCCTTTCTTCGACATTGACTTTCTTTGTGGGGTTTGGCAAATCAGTTTTCTCCTCTATAATACAGGGATAATAACGCTTTAGTCAAATGGATGCTGTGAGAATTAATTACCGTTATACAATTTATTGAAGATGGGAAGCCCCGTAAAAATATCGCCACTGCTTATAGGATTGAGGTTCCGAGACAAAGGCATCACACATAGCAAAGAAATCAAAACATCTCTAAATCCCCACTGTTTCTTTCTCTCCCAGTGTCCTCCTTCTTAACTCAGGTGAAAACTAGGCAAAATAATTTTCAAGGACATGTCCCCTTCTTCTGTGACAAGAATTGAAATGCACAACTGGACCCACCTGTTCCTGATGTCCTGCGCCTCCACCTATGCATGGTGGAAGGACGGGAAGGCCTTATTTACCGATGATTGCAAGGGGGAGAAAAAAGAGCTTTTGTTTCCTATGCAATTCTTCTGACCCTGAACCAGGGTCTTTCTAAATCAATGGATGCCCTAAAGACTAAATTTCAGGGAAAGGTCTTTTCAGCCGCACTTAGGAAGGGGGTGGTTAGGCTTTGAACTGTCAAGAAAGAAGAATAAGTCCTGCTGTAAGGCGATAACTAGCTGGTTACAAAGATTGAATCCTGTTCTACAGAAACAGGATCGGTTATAATAAACACTAAGAGCCCTCAAGACTCTGGTTGTCTTAGCAGGAGGAATTTCTATGTCCTGAACTATAGTTTTAAAATGACCAGAGATAAGAGAACACGGGTTCCACAGGAATTAAAGAAGGCAGGTATTTGATTTTGTTCCAAAACCAAAATAAAGCAACAGAATGCAAAATACTACCTATTATCAGTGCTTGTGTGACGCTTATTTTTACACAGTGTCAATCAACCCAGGATCCACGACTTGGGCTGAATGTAGGGATAATGCGATTTTCAGGGGGATTTCATAGTAGCGTCAGAGATACTGCAGTTTTGAAGTGAGCTCTAAGAATATTAAAAAATTAAGAATATTCTGACTATAGATTCTCCATCTTTAGAGGGTCCAGACTGTAAGCATTGATGAATTTAACCTATCAGGTTATACACAAACATTTCCTGAAAGTGAGAATTTTGAGTGTGTACCTTAGGTCTCTGTAGATGTCCTTCTATCTTGGTCCCCCATGCTCTTTCTTTCTTTATTTTGTAAACCAAAAATAAAATCCTAAGCCTCCAACAGACTGAACAGATGCCACTCTGAGCCAAGGGGACCCTGGAGAAACCTGAAAAACTGAATTCCAGATCAAGACTGGAAGGGAGGTCAGACACGCCTCCTATACCTTCTCCTTTGGAGTTTAGCCAAAATTGACCAGCACTAACGTTAAAATAGAAATCATAAGACTAATGAAACAAGATTCTTTGTGTAGCAATAAGATACCAAATTCCACCTTCAGTCTGGAATAGCATCACATGACAGATAGCAGACCTTGAAGGAAATCAAAATATTTTACCCCCAAATATATTTCTTTGGCATATTCTTAAATGAACCTGTAAAGCCATCTTTCATGGGGGGAATTAGCATCTACAGAGAATTTCCATTAATACAGCTGGGATTAGGATCTAAGAGAGATTAACTAAGAGTGATACCTTCTAAGGTCTGAAGAGACAGTTGCCATCTATTCTCTCTGAAGGCTGCTACCCGGAGGCTTCGTCTACATAACAAGAACCTAGGCTTCCACAACCCCCCTTATCTTAACTCAGGCAATTTTTTCCATTGACTTCAAGTCTTAGACAAAGCTTAACTCTTTCAACCAATTGCCAATTAGACAATCTTTGAATCCACCTATGATCTGTAAGCCCCCAATGCTCCTTATCCCCACTTCTGGATGCCCCAACTTTCTGGGCTAAACCAGTGTATACCTTACGTGTGTTGATTTATGTCTTTGCCTGTTACCCCTGTCTCCCTAAAATGTATAAAACAAAACTGTGAGCCAACCTCCTTGGGTACACTTTCTCATGACTCCCTTGAGACTGTTCCCCGAGCCATGGCCATTCATATTGGCTCAGAATAAACCTCTTTAAATCTTTTACAGAGTTTGGCTTTTTTTCATCAGCAATTTTCCCTTAATTACGATAACTGGGTGTGCTTTTCCTTAGAAAGAGGATATGGATTAGATAATCCTCAAGGTTCTCTCCAATCTTACTTTCCAAGGATTAGTCCCCTTAGTTTTGAACCTCAGATGGAGAGGAAGTCAAGCAGGGAGGCAGCCAGAGTTTGTCCGATTTTTAGATCTATAAAGGGGAGGGGGCCTGTACAGGGAGGGGCTGATTCCTTGTTGGCTTGGGTGACATCTTCTCTCAGTGATCGTCTACTTAATTCCTACACTCAACAGCATTTAGAGAGTCACTTCCGGGCACCAAGTCTTTAACTTTCCCTTGGCCAACTGTCCAGTACTCTCACATCTATATTTTGTGAAAAATAAATCATTTTGCTATAATGTCTCCTTCCTCTATGATTTTTCCTTTCTTGCCCCTGCAGACATCTGAATCCCTTTCAGGGTTTAGTGGCTGGGGCTGTGACATGCCTCGCTCATCCATGCTCTGATTCTGTCCTCACAGAAACACCCCTGAAGACCAACACAAACTCTGCCATAGATTTACACCCACGTCAAAGGGATGGATAATCTCCCACACCTGTCAAAAACTAGCATTTCCGAACTGTCCATTTCAAGAGCTCTGTATTAATATTGTGAGTCATTTGAATACTATTTTTTTTTAAAGAGCAAAGTTTGAATATATTCAACATCTTTGTCACAGGACAAAGAAATATGTTACAGGAAAGGGGTCCCCATCCAGATCCCAAGAGAGAGTTCTTGGATCTCACACAAGAAAGAATTCAGGGCAAGTTCACAGTCCAAAGTGACAGCAAACTTACTTAGTAAAGGAATAAAAGAATGGCTACTCCATAGACAGAGCAGCCCCGAGGGCTGCTGTTTACCCATTTTTATGGTTATTTCTTGATGATATGCTAAATGAGGGGTAGATTATTAATGCCTCCCCTTTTTAGACCATATAGCAGAACTTCCTGATGTTGTCATGGCATTTGTAAACTGTCAGGGTGCTGGTGGGAGCACAGCAATGAGGACAACCAGAGGTCACTCTTGTCATCATCTTGGTTTTGGTGGGTTTTGGCCGGCTCCTTTACTGAAAACTGTTTTATCAGTAAGGTCTTTATGATCTGTATTTTCTGCTGAGCTCCTATCTCATTCTGTGACTTAGAATGCCTTAACCATCTGGGAATGCAGCCCAGTAGGTTAGACTCATTTTACCCAGCTCCTATTTAAGATAGGGTTGCTCTGGTTCACAAGCCTCTGACACATTTCCCCCCTCCCTTTTATAAGAGAACCCTTCATTTTAAGGGTTGCAGAGGGACGAAGACTCATCTTTTGTAATGTTTTTAGGCTGAATAGGGGCAATGATATTTTTGCCTAAGTATGAGGGTCTTTTACATTTAGGGTAGAGAGGAGCTCAGTCAGAAAGCATGTATGGTAAGGTTTATTTATAACTCTTGAGTTTCAACAAAAGGAGATACTGGAAGATTAATAAGTGTTTAAGAAAACATTCAGTAAGCTTGTCCTGTATTCCTTGTCCTGTATTCCTATACAAAGAGTATATCAGCAATATATTCCACAAGAGGAAAGTAAAATAAGTAAAGTTATTTCAAGTAAACTAAATTAGAAGGCTTTTTTATGAACTGGGCAACTATTGGAACTAAGCTGACATGGGGTTGTTAGCTGATTGTAATGCGCCCAGAATGAGAATACTGATCAGATTTCTACATTACCCATCCCTCTTGTCTCTTCTGAGTAACAGTCAGAGATCACTGGTTGGTTCACAGGAATAAGCAGGGTTAGCCTAGATTGCAGAAATAAACTTAAAAACAACTGATGAGACTAGAATCTAATAACAAGTGTACCATAGTTTTTGAAACATAATATTTCTCTTTCTGGTTTCCCATTTTTATTAAAGACAAATCATGGTAAGACTGATTTGCTTTATTATACTTGGGATGATTACTTGTATAAAGTGTAGCAAGAAATAATTATTTTTCACATAAGCTTTTTTTTTTTTTTTAAATTGGCTTTGATGGAACTTTGTTCCACAGAAGGAATTTCAGATAAGACTTTTTTAAAGCTGAGCCCAGTCATGGGTTTGCACACTCCAATATCTGTGAATTGGGTAAATTTCTTTTCTCTTGAAGTCCCAAGATAACTTGAGGCTTCTGGACTTGTTAGAAAGTGACATTTTTTTACTTACCACAGGCTAGAAACCCTGTACAGGGACTGTTTTAGGCAAGGTATGAGGTTGGTTCCCTATGGGGCTTGTATCAGCTCTAAAAATTAAGTTTAATTCCTTAAAGGAAAACACACTATTCCAGTCAAAGCCTTGGCAAAATAATCACTTTTTCCAATTGTGTCCTGTTACAAAAGAAAACAGATTCTTATTGTACCTATGCAAATAATTATATTGCCATAAGTTAAGAATACTGACAACTAGTTCCTAAATTCTGGAGAAATTAGGTAGAGAGAAATAAATATGCCTTAAATTTTGTTCATAGGCATACACTCAACTGTTAAAAGCTGTAAATAACTCAAAAGAAAAGTTTTCTTGACTCTGAAAAACAAAGGATTAGCAACATTTCAAGCAAAGTTAAAAAGATTAGACTTCATCAGTTTAGTCCATGTAGTTAACTTTTGTTTGATAGTTATGAACATTTTAGTTTTCTATGAGAGTTTTGAAAGTTTTTTCCTTTAGTTTGATGTTACAATCTCCAGAGTTATTAGAAAACCTGCATTTAAGAACACCTGCTAGAGTTCTATAGTTGATTATAAACCACCTTCTAAAGAGGATTAAAACAAGACAACAATTGTCTGTGGATGATAAAAAGTTTTAGGACAGCCACTATTAAAGCCACAATTGATAAGGAAATTTGGTTACTTCTGTGGCACACAAAATTTTACATAACAATTATAATTATTAATAACATACACTAAATTATATTAGAATGATAGGAGTTTCCCATAACTTCGGAACATATGCCAATAATACATTTATGCAAATAGACTCCAAATAAAGCAAAACACCATTTCACATTTAATAATGCTTCCTGTATGATTTTTATATCAAATATGCCAAATTTTACCTTTATGTTAATGTACTATTCATGTTAAACCCAATTTTTAATAAAACCTTATAGATATATTTACCCATTTGTAATGTTTAACCATAAGGTAAGATTCTTATAAACCTTTTATAACCCTTTACTTTTTTTGTGAAAGAGCAGATTAATGCTTTAAGAAAAACCTGCTGTGCTTCTATTCCAATGTTGAATTTACAGAAAAACTGAATAATACCCTTTTAACTTTAGCCAGTATGTTCACACACACTCTCTTACAATTAATTTTTAGAAGTTTTCTACAACTTGTTTAAACCTAACAATTCTTTGACATTTTAATTTAGGCAGAAAAAAATCCACATTCCCATGACTTCTTACAATCTTCTACCAAAAACACATTTTACTTTCTTTACATACCTTGCAGGTAAAATTGTTACTTTAACAGTTTTAATTACATGTTATAATGTTAACTCTTAGCAACTTCTATTTTTGGTGAAAACCATAGTAAATTAGAGATTTTAATTACGTACTAGGTGTGGAGTCTATCCAGGACACACCGGGCAGAAGTGCAGATAAGAGCTGACTCTCCAGCACAGCTAGGGGGCGTGGCTAACTCCACATGTCCCCAGGCCTTAACTAGAATCTAATGGTAGGTAAGGTAGGTAAATTTTAAGGTAGGTCAATTGAACAATTTTTAAAAGTTAAAGAGGCAGTTTATGACCTTAAAGCATTTAGCAAACTTAATATTTGACTTGCATAATTTAGACTAAATGTTTTTATTTTATCAATAATTTTTAAAGCTGTTTTTATTTCTCAAAGATTACTAAAGTTACATGAACCAAAAGGCATTACAGTTTTTATGTTGCTTTTAAAATATCTGATTTAAGCACTTATTTTTATTTAAGCCAATTAACTAGAGCTCTTTTATATGAGCACTACACACAACACATATATAGCTACACAGAAAGGCAGAAGATTACAATAGTTGTAAGATGTTTTATTTGCCAGTTTTTAAATTTTTTAGTTGGATGACTGGCTTCAGGGTGGAGCCGTTGGAGGAACAGGGCCAGCATGCATTTCTAGGGCCAAATAAGCAGCAAATAAGCAAATAAGCAGCTGAAGGCAAAGACACATCCCCAAAATTAAGGGTGCTGTTTTACACTGATTCCTGGATTCCCAAAAGGAGGGAAACACTACGGGAGAAGACAGGGCTGTGATCCTACCCTGTATTTCATTGCAAGGCAGCCCAAAGCCAATCAGCCCATTTTGTCATCAGCCTATCCTTCATGGGAGTCTCATCTCCAGCGTGGGGTGGAGATGGTTCCTTATCTTCCAGGTAGCCAAGAACATGCTTCTCTGATCCAAGTGTGCAAAGAGTCAAGTATCCCTCTATCACTACTATTAGCCATCCCTTAAAGTATATTTCCTACCTAGTTATTATACACCAAAGCTCTCTTATAATGCTAAGTAATTTCTGATACCCCCAAAACTCAAAAACGTCAGATAACACAATGCAAAACAGAACAGAACCTTTGATTTTGAGAGGGAACTACCTGCCTTTAATTCCTGGGATTTCATGAGGAAAACAGAGGTTTTTTCCCAAAACGGAGTCTGTGGTGCCTCCTCTGTTTTTCTCAAGGAGTCCCAGGCTACCAGAAGTTATCTTAGGGCCTCTCGTGTGCATTAAGAGTGACAAGACAAAAAAAAAATGGAGAAAAATAATTCAGTCGACTAAGAAAAAAAAACCATTTTTCAGAAAAACAAGTTCCAAGAAGAGAAAAACATAAAGGCCTTTTAAATATATTTATAGCTTGTTTATCCACTTCTAATTAAGCTGACTTTTAACCATAGTGCTCTTTAAAAAAGAAATCCTTTCAGATTTCTTATTACCCAACTTTAGCCATGCCAAGTGGCCAATATTTTTAGTTTCTGAACTTTACCAAAGGTAACCTCCAAGATGCTCAGAGAAAGGAAAATTTAAAACAGTCCACGGAGAAGAGAAAAGACAAGGTCATGCAGATAATCAAACGAGAAATGACTTACTTTCTAGGCAGGGAATTGAACCTGGACCGCCACTGGGAAAGGGCAAAAACCTTAGCTACTGAGCTACAGCACAGGACAGTCTCTGTCTTTTTTCCCAGAAGGAGTCTAGAGTAGTTAATTTTGAGATTGCAAAGACTTTTAACTATTTAATAAGATTTTTAGAGATAACTATGACATGAACCCTCAAATTCCTGTTCCCTGGAAGGCAGAGACCAAGAGAAAGTACCGCCACGTGGTTAAAATGTAAAGTTCCCAAGGACATAAAACAACGTGGAGACTTCATCCAGTCTTTTGTTTGTTTCACGGACCTGCAGCCAAGTTTGCGACTAACCAGCTTGCTGGGCCGTCTTGAAAAGCGGGCTTGCAGGTGTTCCAAGCCCACGTTTCATCCTGAAGTACCCTCAACACAGAAAAACGAATTCATAGCTCAAAATACAGCAGCTTAAGACTAGCCTTAGAATTCTTTTTCGCATTAATCAAAACTTTACAGAAGAGATAAACACTGATTTTTTTTCATTCATTTAGCCATTTGCACAGAGAGAGAGAGAAGCCAGAAATCTGACTGGTAAAGAATTCTTACCCTTTGCCGGCAAGCCAGGCTTCTGGGTTCCCTTTCCCTGAGCGGCCCTAGTGATCCGGCTTGCGGCACCATCGCCCTGGGGGCCAAGCCGCATCATAAAGGAAAATTATTTTTTTTTCGTTCTGGCCAGAGCAAAATACAAGTGATAAAACACAGACATTAGCCACTCTGCTTAGCACCCAATATCAAATTGGCAAAGCTTAAATTTGCCCCCAGATGGGTGAGCCCCGTCATCTTTAATCCAACCTCTGACTTAAGAGTTTCGACACGTGGTCTCTGAGCAACATGGTTGCCCTGAGTAACAGAGAGATAAGAAAGGGAAAGGAGCGAATAAAAAGCACTGTCCGTGGCAGGGTGGGCAAGGCGAAATGCTCAGGGAGGCCAGAGGAAGACCTACCATTGCAGGAACACTGAAAAGTTTAGGCGGCTGAGGGTGCTGTCGTGAAGGTAGGGGGGGGAATTGCCCATGTCCCTCAATCCTGTACATGCCTAATCCCGTTACCCACAGCCATTAATAAAGAGTGCAACGCAGATGAATCCAAAGAGAACAGCAGTTAACATCTCATAGTGCCAAAGCTGTTCTTAGCAGAGGCGGACTTTATAGAGAGGGGCCTCTAACCCCCTGAATTAAGATTCAGGGGCCTCTAACCCTCCTAAGTTGGGCCTCTAACCCAAGGTCAAGCGCCTCTGCCTTTTATTAAGAGGGCAGGATCAAGGGACATGGGGAGCTCCCCTAAGATGGGCCACTAACCCAATCCCATTATTTACCCAGGAACCCACCACTTATCCACTGTCACCCAATCAGTGCTGCAGTCTATTTCCTTTGGGTCGGGGGTCTTCTCTTTGTGGTTCGCAAGACGTTATAGGACCCCCAACAACCCCTGACCCCGCGGCTCAGGGTTTCTGCACTACAGTCCCTTCGCGGTCGCCAGACATTATGTTACAGGACAGAGAAATATGATACAGGAAAGGGTCCCCATCCAGACCCCAAGAGAGGCTTCCTGGATCTCGCGCAAGAAAGAATTCAGGGCGAGTCCACAGTGCAAAGTAAAAGCAAGTTTATTAAGAAAGTAAAGGAGGGAGGCCGAGGCAGGCGGATCACGAGGTCAGGAGATCGAGACCATCCTGGCTAACACGGTGAAACCCCGTCTCTACTAAAAATACAAACAATTAGCCGGGCGTGGTGGTGGGTGCCTGTAGTCCCAGCTGCTCGGGAGGCTGAAGCAGGAGAATGGCGTGAACCCGGGAGGCGGAGCTTGGAGTGAGCTGAGATCAGGCCACTGCATTCCAGCCTGGGCGAGATTCCGTCTCAAAAAAAAAAAAAAAAAAAGAAAGTAAAGGAATAAAAGAATGGCTACTCCATGGACAGGAGAGCAGCCCCGTGGGCTGCTGGTTGCCCATTTTAATGGTTATTTCTTGATTATATGCTAAACAAGGGGTGGATTATTCATGCCTCCCCTTTTTAGACCATGGGATAACTTCCTGACGTTGCCATGGCATTTGTAAATTGTCGTGGCGCTGGTGGGAGTGTAGCAGTGAGGACGACCAGAGGTCACTCTCGTCACCATCTTGGTTTTGGTGGGTTTTGGCCGGCTCCCTTACTGCAACCTGTTTTATCAGTAAGGTCTTTATGACCTGTATTTTGTGCCAATCTCCTATCCCATCCTGTAACTTAGAATGCCTTCACTGTCCGAAAATGCACCCAGTAGGTTTCAGCCTCATTTTGCCCAGCTCCTATTCAAGACGGTGTTGCTCTGGTTCACAACACCTCTGACATGTTTGTAGAACAAGTAAATAGCTTGTGACATTTTAATAAAATTTGCTAATTACATCTTTTAAATTTCATTTAGTTGTGTCATTTATTTATTACAAATGCCATGTAGCTATGAGATGATCAGGTATGGCACTTAATTGCTGTAAAAAAATGCAGTTCTTCCTTATTTATCTTCACACACATCCATATCCGGAAACAGAGTGCTCATGCCTCCTGCCTTTCTTTACAAAGGAAACATTGATACCAACATAAGATCAGGTGGTGACTCATGATCTTGGTAATTTTTATTCAGAAAAAGGATTAAGTGACGACAGCAATTTGGGGATCCTCAAAATCAACTGTGGATGTTTTCAAATGAGCCTTTACTCTGGTCTTGTTGGAAGGCTGCCTACACGATCCACAGTGACCTGGAGGTGTGTGAAGTGTGTCTATGCAGTAAAGTTATACCACATGATTTGACTGCATAGACGACGTAATATGTAATGGCACATGTAAGACAATGATCCAGTGTTTCAGCCAACATCCTGGTGCGTTAGGACTGGGCAAGCGGGAGCATCAGCAAAGTGGTCTTGGTAGGGAATGCCCCGATTTGGATTTGGATAGTGCTGCTCTTACCAAAGCCTTTGCTGGAACAAATTTTTGCAAGTAGTCTTCAAAGCTAATATTGTATTCTATTGCTTTTCTTATTCTGTCAGATAGAGGCCATTATTCTTTAAAAGCGCATTTGTTATTTGAAACACCTAAAAGTCTGAAGTTAAGTCACATCAGTAAGGCGTGTATGACAAAACACTGAGGGACAAACACGGGGTGCTGACATTAATTAGCCCACATTCCTGTGTGTCCCCTGACCTGGCTGCCACAGGGGAGACATCACCCTCACGATGCCGGAACAGCCATAACTGCCCAAGGTGAACTCTCTGAAGGGCAATGTTCATTTTAGTGCTGGAGCTCTGGAAGGTTTTGTTTTAAAAATACTCAGCCTTTTAGAATTACAACTCACAAGCTTGTAACACTGAGTGTCCAAATCAGTGTCTCGAACTTCAGTGCATGCTAAATAAGTATGTGTTGAATGGATGAGTGACTATTTTGAAAAGAATGAATTAGGCCAGGCGCGGTGGCTCACGCCTGTAATTCCAGCACTTTGGGAGACTGAGGCAGGCAGATCATGAGGTCAAGAGATTGAGACCATCCTGGCCAACATGGTGAAACCCCGTCTCTATTAAAAATACAAAAATTAGCTGGGCGTGCTGGTGCGCACCTGTAGTCCCAGCTACTCAGGAGGCTGAAGCAGGAGAATCAACTGAACCCGGGAGGCAGAGGTTGCAGTGAGCTGAGATCACGCCTCTGCACTCCAGCCTGGGCAACAGGGCAAGTCTCCGACTCAGAAAAAAAAAAGAAAGAAAATAATGAATTAAGCTCTAGATACTTTTTATTTGCTATTTCCTGGCATTGGGATAACTGTTACAGTTCACTAACTGATGATTTTTCATAGTTGTCAGTATTATATGAGTTCAGTATGTTGATTTGATTTTCTACATTGTAGATAACATGTAAGAATAACTCATCTATTTGTCAGTGAAAGCTACACTTATACAGAAAGTACCATATGAATAAGAAACAACCTTTACTTGAAAAATCTGGGCTTTCTTTAATAGAACCATTTCAGAATTGGGGATAAATTATCAAAAACAGAAGTATAAAAAAACTGTTATTACAGACTGTCCCCAACTGTATAATTCTTATTATATCTAAGTATTATTTAGTAGGTAATAAATTTACTACAGTAGGTTATTATTAAGTTGGCTATGTGGAGTTGCTAATTTTGATACACTTTTTTTGTTCTTTTTCATATTACTAGTTAACACAGTAGGAAAAAGGAACACTTAAAAATGGCTTTCTTAGGAGAACCTTCATACACTGTTGGTGGGAATACAAATTAGTATAGCCACTATGGAAAACTATATGGAGGTTCCTCAAAAGAACTAAAAACAGAACTACCATATGATCGAGCAATTCCACTACTGGGTATCTACCCACAAGAAAGGAAGTCAGTATATTGAAGAGAGATCTGTGCTCCCATGTTTATCCCAGATCTATTCACTATAGCCAAGATATGAAATCGCCCTAAGTGTCCATCAACAGATGAATGGATAAAGAAAATTTAGTCCATACACACAATGGAATATTACTCAGTCATAAAAATTAGTGAAATCCGGTCATTTGCAGCAACATGGATGGAACTGGAGGACATTACGTTACGTGAAATAAGCCAGGCACAGACAGACGATGCTCCACATTCTCTCTCATATGCAGGGGGCTAAAAAAGCAGATCTCACCAGAAACCAAGAAGAGTAGGGGGGTGAGGGGAAGATGAAGAGAGGATGATAAGTGGGTACAAATATACAGTTTGATAGAAAAAATAAGACCTAGTGTTTCACGGATCAGTAGGGTAACTATAGTTTACAGTAATCTATTGTGTATTTCAAAATAACTACAAAAGAATTTCAATATTTCCAGCATAAAGAAAAGACAACTATTTAAGGTGATGGATATCCCAGTTATACTAATTTGATCTTTACAAATTATATGATTTGTATTAAGTCATCAGATGTATCCCCAGAATATGTACATCTGTTACATATCAATAAAAAAAATGTTAAAAAATAGGCTGAGTGTGGTGGCTTACACCTGTTCCCAGCACTTTGGGAGGCAGAGGCAGAATGCTTGCTTGAGTCTAGGAGTTCAAGACCAGCCTGGGCAACAAAGGCAGACCCTGTCTCTACAAAAAAATTTAAAAATTAGCCAGGTGTGGTGGCGCGCACCTGTGGTCCCAGCTACGTGGGAGGCTGAGGTGGGAGAATCGCTGAAGCCCAGAGGTTGAGGCTGCAGTAACCCATGTTTGCACCACTACACTCCAGCCTGGATGACAGAGCAAGACCCTGTATCTAAATAAATAAATACATAATAAAGGACTTTCTTAGAATATTCATAAAAATAACTTGTAAAATATGAAAGCTGTTCCCTGAGGTGTTCCATAAATTATCTGTGGAAAGCTAAGTAACACAGTCAGATCTGCTTACCTTAGCCAACAGCCAGGATATCCAGAATTATAACAAACATACCCTTTACAGACAGCTCTCCACTCTGTTACCTACCTTTATTCTTCTCAAATACACCTTCACCATCTTTTAGCTTGGGGTGCCACTGAAATGTGGAAAACATAACTGGCTTTATAGACAAAGGTATCTGCCTTCTCTAATTACTAAAACATTTTAAATATATTTGTTATTCTCCAAAACAAATGCAAAACCAACCAAAGCACAGCACTCCAAAAATAGCCAGAGTTTTCAGTACAAATGGAAGTGTTTAAATGTCGAGTTTCTGGAGCCATTTCCAAACAACCAAAGCTTTGTCCTTCTCAGACTGATGTTTATGTAACCAATGCTGGATGAGAAGAGGAGAGGAGTGAGTTTCTTTGTCAGGCTACTACTCTAAACTCCTGACATTAGTTTAATAGGTAGTCGCTGCATGGTCTCTTACAAAAATGATTTTGTAAGATGGTTGTAAAACTCAAAAGATTTGCTTTTTACATTGTGGGACTAAAGGCTATAGCACATACAAGTAACACAAGGTGAAACTCGGAAAGCAATGAAAATATCTTATTCTGACTTCTTACATAACAATACCTGTTCTTTGAATTGCAAATTAGCCCTTGGCCAGTTTCTTCTTTGCTGTATTTTTTTTTTGAGAGGGAAAATGGCTTTCTTGCAAACACTAAGCAATTTAAAGTAGGTGGTCATTGAATGCCTAAATGAAAAATGCAATGAGCGTTTGTATGTACTGACATTGTTCTTTTTACAGAGTGTAAGACAGAAAAATAAGTCTGCTTTTCTCCCTGAGTATTCTCTTTGGATATAAGTTATTAATTGTCTAATGAAGTCATTATAAATTGTTAAAAGCAGTTCATATAAATTGTTTGGTGAGGTTTAGCAAACAACCTGTTTACCATTAAATTTGTTTACCACTAAATTCAGTAATAAGCTCAGAATTGAGAAAAATAGATATAGTAGGATTTAATTTAGAATAAAAAATACACATGCATGTTTGTAAATGCATAAAAAGGACTGGAAGTATATGCTATATACATGATTCTATATACTTTACGTATTTATTTTCTACACTATATATTTTATGTGTGTATATATCTACATATATACACACATACACAATTTACATTTATTCTTTATACATTTATACTATATACTCCTGAATTCTGAGAATATTTTTCAATCAGGATACATTAAGATGTTGCTAACAGAGTAAAAACAACAAAATAGTTAGCAATAAGATTTATTGGTGGATGGGGGAAGGCAGTATGATATAAATGGCAAATTCTTGTTCTTTTTCCACTAGATGTAGCATTGTATGGGGACCAGATGAAGAGGTTTGAATCTCAATTCTATTATATAATGGCTTTATGACCTTGTGCAAGTTCTGTACTTTCTCTGAATCGACATTTCTCTTCAGTAAAATGAGGGTGGTAATACCCATCTCAAAGGGCTGCTCTTACATAACACCCCCAGGTAATCCCATGGCTCCTTTTGTTCTTGGCGATTCCGGTCCCTTTCCTTCACTAACCACAACTTGCCTCAGGTTTCTGCAAGTTAGTTAAAGCCACAGAAATGCATCCTTGGGCAGTGTTGATACATAATATACCAAGTCCTCTAGATGCTCACACTTCTGTCACCTCAAATACTCTGTTCTCTTAATTCACTTTCATTATTTTGCTTTTTTCCCAACCGCCTAATTGTTTTAGAGACAGTAACGCCATGACCCATTCCAAAGAGTCATTATCCAGCGTCCTCTAAGGTTTGGAGGACAGTCACAATCAGATCCATAGGTGGGCCTTGGAGGGCACCACTGCGTAACTTGCAAAAAATACCTATGTGTATATAACACACACAAACACACACACATATGTATATCTGTTACACGTGAATGCAGACATTACCATTAAGCAGAGGTTCTCAATGGGTGGTCTCAGTCTGTCAGCATCAACATCAACATCGCCTAAGAACTTGTTAGAAATGCAAATTCTGGAGCCCCACCCCAGATCTATGAAATTAGAGTCTAAGATGGGATCCAGTGCCCTTAACCAGCCCCTTCCAGTGATTCTGCTGCAAGCTCAAGTTGGAGAACTGCTGCCAAATATAATAACCATTACACCCTATGGCAGCTGCAAACTGCAAGTAAACCTTGAATATATTCACTACCTTTTTTTTGACACCAATTCTACCCTGAGGGAGCTCTGTGTGAAGCTGAGAGAAGAAAATAATGGCACTCCGGGTACCGTTTTTTTTTTTAATAATTATTTTTAAAGCAGTGTTTGAAAGAAGAAAAGAGTAAGCTAAAAATAATAATCCAACAGAATTTGGCCTACAACTATTTCCATTTAATTTGGCATTATATTGGGCTATATTACAAGTGGAAATGCTCCAACACAGCTAAAATCTTGTTCTATATAGTAACAAGAATATCAAAATTCATTAAAAAAT
The DNA here is from genome assembly GCF_000001405.40 of Homo sapiens. NCBI lineage: Eukaryota > Metazoa > Chordata > Mammalia > Primates > Hominidae > Homo > Homo sapiens. Next base: position 182,256,721 of record NC_000004.12, on the reverse strand, counting down.
TTAAATAAACATCTGAAATAAAATCCATAACTGCAATGCTATGATCTTTTTTTGGACGAGTGGATCAAAGACGTAAGGCTACTTTACAAGATAAAAGGAGAAAAGCAAAGTTACAGGGGATGACTTGACCAACTCCTGAAACTCGTATTGAGATTCTTCACGGACTATATACACATATTTTGAGAGTTTTAGGATCTTAAAAGGCAGATGAATGCATTTTCAGTTTACAGTTTTATCTGTAGGATATAGCAGCAAATGTACACTCAAAAAAATTAACTGCTTATATATATAGTCAGTGGGATGGTTATGACCTTTATTCTAAGATGGGGCAATTTTGTCAGTTCAGAAGAAAGTCTTTAAGTTACTAAATTGTTCCTGATTAGTATATCATCTGCCACTCACACCTTATGTGGAACTAGCCCCACAATGAAGACAGGCTGAGATGGAGCCCATAATCGATTCAAATTTCATCTATTCTTCTTTATAGCTATGTCCAAAGGGGAAAAAGACAATTATCCTGCACATTTTATTCTTATAACTTTAGGGTCGAAATAATTTAGAATTATCAGAATAACCTCGAGAAAGCCTAGAAGTGAAGAACATCATCATTTTGCAACGGTTGGAACCTATACGTACATCCAAGAGACAGTGAAGAGTGGGCAGGGCCCTTGGCAGAGTCCCAGAGTGTGCAATACGCCCTTAATGGGATTGCAGAAACAGGAATGCAGGGCTTTGAATGGAGCAAGTTGAATAACAGAACGATGTACAAAGAACAGCAAAGAAAGAATGCATGAAGGATTTAAGGGGATGTGAGAGTTAAGACGTGGTGTAGTGAAGGGTTGAATATATCCAACATTTTTAGAATATAACTTTTCAGTACTTCAGTCTTCTCATTCAGGAAAAAAAAATGTTAACAATGAAGGATGCAAATTTTTAGGACTGACTGTGAAAGAACTAGTCTTGATCACTCTAATTCTCTGAACCCATCCTCTCCCCATACACATAAGCCCAATTCTGGCAGGCTGTGTGACCTCCCAGGAAAAAATCTCTCTGGCTGCTGTTGGTCATCCCAGGGACACACACACTGCCATCTCCAGGAGTCACCACACGGTGCCACAATGATCTCTGACTCAGATCTAGCTGGACTGCTGGCCATCAGGTAGTTGCTAAAGATGCTTGCATGAAACACAAGCCATTCTGGAGTCTTGGAATCTCTACTGAAAAGCATAATATACCATAATCCTCTGTAAGTGTTGATTTTAACTTCTTTGGCAATACAATGCTAGGGGAGTGAACGAGACAGCGGGTCCTAGGTTAGTTACCTTACAATAAGAACCTCTTTTCTTCCATTGCTGATCAGCTTTCTTCCTAAAACAGTTAATGATCTCATCCATTACGTGTTTAAAAATGTTTACAAAGTTTGTGCTTTGGGGGTACATTATCATGATGCGCTTACAGAACTCCTATAGACTCAAAACTGTGTTAGAAGGCTTCTCCGATAAAAGAGATACAGATCTGTCTAACATGTGCAAGGGGAAAGGCAACAGGGTCCCACAGGGCTGTCATCCTTGCCAAATGACACAAAAATTAAGCTCTAAAATTTAAATCATATACAACTCCTGAAAATTTAGGGTAGAAACTGGCTCCTTTGTGCTGCACTGAAATTTAAGATATTTTCCGAAAGTACCAGTCTTTCGTTAAATGAGTACTGATTGAATTGCCTTAGAGACAAACTATTTCCCCAGACATATTTAAATATACACACATGGTTCGTAAACACAACACCAAAACCCAGAGTGCTTAGCTCACTGGTTTGGGTTTTTTGTTTTTTGTTTTTTGCTGACTGTAACAGCCTAGCTCTTATTCCATCAGTGCAATGGGCACTGATATATTTGATATATTATCTTCACTGTTGATTGTATTGTTTTCATTACATGTCTCCGGAAATCTGAAACTGAGGACATATCACACAATATGATAACTGCCATCCAAAAGTTCAAGAAAATA